>NC_000004.12:150739562-151042593 GCF_000001405.40 Homo sapiens | reverse complement strand
AAAGTGCTGGGATTACAGGCGTGAACCACCATGCCCAGCCAAAATTCACTTCTTAAAAGTACATAATTTACAAAGTTGTGCAACCATCTCATCGGTTTTTTTTTTTTTTTTTGGCCCAGGCTGGAGTACAGTGGTGTGATCACAGCTCACTGGAGCCTCAACCTTCTAGACTCAAGTGATCCTCCCACCTCAGCCTCTCGAGTAGCTGGACTATAGGCATATGCCATTATGCCAGGCTAACTTTTTTCACTTTTTGTAGAGACAGTGGTCTACCTATGTTGCCCAGACTGGTCTTTAACTCTTGGCCTCAGGCAATCCTCCTGCCCCAGCCTTCCATAGTGCTGGGATTACAGGTGAGTCACCATGTCTGGCCCCATCTCATTGTACTTTAAAATCCAAAGCATAACCATGGCCCATTTTTTCATGTAATATGGTTCCTGCCTACCTCTCCAACTTAATTTCATGACATGTTTGCCTTTGTAATTGCTGTTTCCTTAACCTGGAATCCTGGAATACTTTTTCTACTTTCATTTCATATGGCTGGCTCATCCTGATGCCTTCAGTTGAATACCTCTACAGAGAAAATTTTTCAAACACATTATCCAAAATACTTTCTCATCCACACAACTACCCTCTATCTTATTATCCTATTTGGATTTACAATCTGTAAATGGTATTATATTACCTATTTGTTATTGGTATATTCTATGGCTTTCCCACTAGAATATAAATTCCATAGGATATGGATTTTTCTCTCTCTTTATTAAAAAAATTTTCCACGTTTTTATTTTGAAAAATTTCAAACCTACAGAAAAGTTAAAAGAATACAGTGAACACCCTTATACCCTTCACCTTGACTCCAATTTTTGATATTTTGTCATGTTTGCTTTACTTCTCTCTATATATCTGTTTAAAAGTTGAATAATTTGCATTTATCGTACTTCACCCTTAAATACTTAAGACTGGGCTGTGCAGGGTGGCTCACGCCTGTAATCCCAGCACTTTGGGAGGCCAAGACAGGAGGATAGCTTAGGCTCAGGAGTTTGAGACCAGCCTGGGCAACATAGTGAGACCCTGTCTCAATTTAAAAAAAAAAGAAAAAAAATACTTGAGCCTGAATCTCCTAAGAACAAGTAATCATTCCTGTATAACCAAAATACTATTATCACTGTAAGACATTTAATATTACTATAGTGCTATAATCTAATATATAATCCATTTTCAGTTTTCCCCAATTGTCTTTTATGGCTGTTTTTTCCTAATCTAGAATCCAATCAGTGATCACCCATTGCATTTGATTAAGTCTTTTAATGTCTCCTTTACTTTAATCTACTTAATTTTTCTTTCTCTGACATTAACTTTTTTAAGAATCCAGGCCACTTGTAGAATCGTTTACAATTTATTTTTGGCAAGAGTAATTAACATAAGTGGTACTGTACTTCTCATTGCACCATATCAGGAGAAATGGAATGTCAGTTTGTCCTATTACTGGTGATGCTGAGTTTGATCGCTTGGTTAAAATGAAGTCTATCACATTGTTCCATTGTGAAAATACCTTTGTAGTTAAAATTAATATTTAGAAAACACAAGAATATTCCTATTTTCCAACAATTTTTCACCCATTGGTTTTAGCATCTTTTGATGATTCTTGAATCAATTTACAGTGATAGTTGCAAAATGATAATTTTTCTTTTCTGGCTTTATTTTTATTTTTTATTTTTTTGAGACAGGGTGTCACTGTGTCGCCCAGGCTGGAGTGCAGTGTCATGATTATGGCTCATTGCAGCCTCAACTTCCTGGGCTCAGCCTCCCAGTAGCTGGGACTACAGGAGCACACCACCACACTTGGCTTATTTTGGTTTTTGATTTTTTTGTTTGTTTGATTTTGTAGAGATGCGGTTTCACAGGGTTGCCCAGGCTGGTTTCAAACTCTTGGGGTCAAGCCATCCACCCGCCTTGGCTTTCCAAAGTGCTGGGATTACAGGCGTGAGCCATGGTGCCCAGACTTCTAACTTCTTCACAGCTCTATCATCAGTGCCTGGCACAGTACTTGCAATAAGGTCGACACTCAGTGAATACTTGTTGAATAAATCAATGAAAATCTACCTTATATCAGATATGTTGATCACAAATTTTGTCAAAATGGCAGTAATGCTGTAGGTTATTTTGGTGTTAAGGATAGAACTTTGGCATACATCTAAGTGAACTATTTTTTGGATTGGGGTCAGCAAACTATGGCCCATGAAACAAACCTGCTCTGCCACCTGTTTTTTGTATGGTCCACATGCTAAAAATGTTTTTTCACAGTTTTAGATCATTGGAGACAAAAATTCAAAAGTATAAGTGTATCATGATATGTGAAAATTATATGAAATCAAACTTCAGTGTTCATAAATTAAGTATTATTGGAATACAGGTACCCACATTTGTTTAGATAATGTTATGGATACCTTCCCACTACAAATGGTAGAGTTGCTGCAACAGAGATCATATGGTCTGCCAAGTCTAAAATTTAGTAGTTTTAATATCTTACCTTTTATCAAAAATGTTTGCTCCAGTGGGTGTGGTGGTTCATGCCTGTTTCTCAGCAGTTTGGAAGGCTGAGGTGAGAGGATCATTTGAGCCCAGGAGTTTGAGGTTACAAGGAGCTATGATTGCGCCACTGCATTCCAGCTTGGGCAACAGAGTGAGACTCCGTCTTGAAAAAAGAAAAGAAAAGAAAAGAAAAAAAGTCTGCTGACTCCTGCATTAGATCTTAAAGCCCTTGATGGCACAATGTTTTGCACATAAAAAGCATTCAATACATGTTTGTTGGATTAAATTGAAACTCTAAAGTCTTCTGATTTAATTTTTCTGATCTGAATTCCTTGCCTGGATCTACACAACTACTACCTGTTTGAATGGGTAGTATCTTACCTTGAAAAGTAGTTTTAATATTTGTCGAAGTTTATTTATCCCTTATGGATTCAAAAGGGAAGTCATATATTTACCTACCTCTTATACCAGGCTGAACGTGTTAAGAGCCACAAGAAAGTTATAGTTTTTAGGGTCGGGCGTGGTGGCTCATGCCTGTAATCCCAGCACTTTGGGAGGCCGAGACCGGCAGATCACGAGGTCAGGAGATCGAGACCATCCTGGCTAACATGGTGAAACCCCGTCTCTACTAAAAATACAAAAAATTAGCCGGGCGTGGTGGCGGGCGCCTGTAGTCCCAGCTACTCGGGAGGCTGAGGCAGGAGAATGGTGTGAACCCGGGAGGCGGAGCTTGCAGTGAGCCGAGATCGCGCCACTGCACTCCAGCCTGGGTGACAGAGTGAGACTCCGTCTCAAAAAAAAAAAAAAAAAAAAAGAAGGAAGCTGTGATATTGTTACCAGAAAGGGGTCCCCATATAGACCCCAAGACAGCACTGTTGGATTTCGTGCAAGAAAGAATTCAGGGCGAGTCTATAAAGTGAAAGCAAGTTTGAAGTTTGAGAAAGTGAAGAAACAAACGAATGGCTAGTCCCTAGGCAGAGCAGCAGTTTGGGCTGCTCAGCTGATAATACTTATGGTTATTTCTTGATTATATGCTACACAAGGGGTGGGTTATTCATGAGTTTTCCAGAAAGAGATGGGCAATTCCTGGAACGGAGGGTTCTTCCCCTTTTTAGACCATATAGGGTAACTTTCTGACATTGCCATGGAATTTTAAAACTGTGGTACTGGTGGGAGTATCTTTTAGCATGCTAATGCATTATAATTAGCATGTAATGAGCAGCAAGGATAACCAAAGGTCACTTTCGTCGCCATCTTGATTTTGGTGGGTTTTGGCCAGCTTCCTATTTTATCAGCAAGGTCTGTGTGACATGTATCTTGTGTCAACCTCCTATCGCCTGTGACTTAGAATGCCTTAACCTCCTGGAAATGCAGCCCAGTAGGTCTCAGCCTCATTTACCCAGCCCCTATTCAAGATGGAGTCGCTCTGGTTCAAATGCCTCTGACAATATGCCTGGCTTGGCTAGGGCATAGAACTCTGTGAAGGGCGCTGATGTGTCATGCTCAACCCTGAAGGAACTGCATATCCCAGAATTACGATCTACACTCTGTTCCAGGCATTTGTAAACACCTTCTCACTTTCTTTCTTTCTTTTTTTTTTCCTTTGGCCTCTTGAACCTGGTAACACTACTCACTTTCAAGCCTTCGGTAATCTGGCTTTTCCTTTATCATTTCACTGGGACAATACTCTTGAAGGTTACTTGTAATCACCAGAAAAACCAGTGGGCTTTGATTAGACCTCATCCTTCGTCTGTCTGCAGCACTCAACACTTTAATTTTCCTTCTTTCTTAAAACACTTTCCAGGCTGGGCATGGTGGCTTGCCTGTAATCTCAACACTTTGGGAAGCCAAGGTGGGTGGATTGCTTGAACCCAGGAGTTCGAGACCAGCCTGGGCAACATGGCAAAAACCCTATTTCTGCAAAAAATGAAAAAATTGCCTGGACTTGGTGCATGCATCTGTAATCCCAGCTACTTGGGAGGCCAAGGTGGGAGAATTGCTTGAGTGCAGGAGGCCAGGGTTTCAATGAGCCAAGATAGTGCCACTGCACTCCAACCTGGGTGACAGAGCAAGACTCTGTCAAAAAAAAAAAAAAAAAAATCGGCTGGGTGTGGTGGCTCACACCTGTAATCCCAGCACTTTGGGAGGCCTAGGCGCGCAGATCAGTTAAGGTCAAGAGTTCAAGGCCAGCCTGGCCAACGTGGTGAAACCCCGTCTCTACTAAAAATACAAAAATTAACCAGGTGTGGTGGTTCATCCCTGTAGTCCCAGCTACTTGGGAGACTGAGACAGGAGAATCGTTTGAACCCGGGAGGTGGAGGTTGCAGTGAACCAAGATCACGCCACTGCACTCCAAAGCTAGACTCCATTTCAAAAAAAAACAAAACAAAACCAAAAAACGACCCTTTCTGATGGCACGTATACTCCCTCCTCTGGTCCCTTTTCATTGACAGAGAATTAAAAGGGGTTACAATCAAGATATGGCTGTCAATTGGAAATAGTGAGGTTCCAAAATAGGTCTTATATTTGGCTTTATCTTCTTTCATTTCAACACAAACTTTTATGGAAACACTGGATGTTTCTGCAAAGTACACAACATCCAGATATTGTAAAGGGAAAAAAGACTCCTGGAATGTTCAGTCTTGTGGAGGAAAGAGATTGGTAAATAAGCAGTTAAAACTCAAAGAAGAATAAAGTGAGGGTGGATAAGAAGCATAAGTAGCATTCTGTGGCTGTGAAGAGGAAGGAGCAATTAAAAGTGACTTGAAGATTAGAATTGTTCATGTCTTTCTGTTTTTTGTTTTTGTTTTTTGAGACATTGTTTCACTCTTGTCGCCCAGGCTGGAGTGCAATGGCGCAATCTCAGCTCACTGCAACCTCCACCTCCCTGGCCTCAAGTGATCCACCCACCTTGGCTTCCAAAGTGCTGGGATTACAGGCGTGAGCCACTGTGTCCAGCCGAATTGTTCGTGTCTTTCTTAGTATGAAGGATGTATTGCCAATGCCCCATTGGTTAAGAAAAAACTAAGTAATAAAGTTTGTGTGATTCTTAAAGAAAAATTGTCTTCCTGCATTATTTGTTCATTATATTATGAACATTAAAAGTGCCTTTTTAAAGGATTGCTAAATCTGGGCCGGGCGTGGTGGCTCACGCCTGTAATCCCAGCACTTTGGGAGGTTGAGGTGGGTGGGTCACCTGAGGTCAGGAGTTCGAGACCAGCCTGGCCAACATGGTAAAACCTCGTCTCTATTAAAAATACAAGAATTAGCCAGGTGTGGTAGCAGCCTCCTGTAATCCCAGCTACTCGGGAGGCTGAGGCAGGAGAATCACTTGAACCCGGGAGGCGGAGGTTGCACTGAGCTGAGATTGTGCCACTGCACTCCAGCCTGGGAAACGAGAGGGAAACTCTGTCTTAAAAGAAATAAAAATAAGGCCAGGCGCGGTGGCTCATGCCTGTAATCTCAGCACTTTGGGAGGCCGAGCCAGGTGGATCACGAGGTCAGGAGTTCAAGACCAGCCTGGTTAAGATGGTGAAACCTCATCTCTAGTAAAAATACAAAAATTAACCAGGCATGGTGGCTGGTGCCTGTAATCCCAGCTACTCAGGAGGCTGAGGCAGAGAATTGCTTGAACCTGGGAGGCAGAGGTTGCAGTAAGCCAAGATCGCGCCACTGCACTCCAGTCTGGGTGACAGAGCGAGACTGTCTCAAAAAAAAAAAAAAAAAAAGGATTGCCAAATTTAATGGTCATCATTAATTGATCCTCAGAACAATCCTCTTTGGTAGGTATTATTAGCTGTGTTTCATAGGTGAAAAAAGTGAGATTCAGAGGAATTAAGTAAAGAATATAGGAAATGGCTATAAAATAGAATTCAACTTCCCTTTCTCTTATTATTTGAAATGAATTCTTTCGGAAACTAGCGGTGAAGGTTTATTTAAGTATACTCCTTTTGGTTTCTACTAAATAGGGAACCTAAATTATAGCACTTAAACTGAATGGACTCACAGGCCCCTGGATGCGGTACATTTTTTTTTTTTTTTTTTTTTTTTTTGAGGCAGAGTCTTGCTCTGTTGCCAGGCTGGAGTGCAGTCGTGTGATCTTGGCTCACTGCAACCTCCACCTCCCAAGTTCAAGCAATTCTCCTGTCTCAGCCTCCTGAGTAGCTGGGATTACAGGCATGCGCTACCATGCCTGGCTAATTTTGTATTTTTAGTAGAGACGGGGTTTCTCCATGTCGGTCAGGCTGGTCTCAAACTCCCGACCTCCGGTGATCCGCCCGCCTTGGCCTCCCAAAGTGCTGGGATTACAGGCATGAGCCACTGTGCCTGGCCATCTTTCTCTTTTCTTTCTTTTCCTTTCTCTCTTTCTTTCTTTTTTAAATTTAAACTGGGGTAATTTGTCATCTTCAGGCAGTTGAACCAGTCTGATGGGTACACCTCCCACTTCCCCCATCAGAAACTGGCTTGACATCTTACTGTTCATTGGCTGATGGTTAGAGCTGGATCGACAGGTGCAGCAGTGGAAAAAAAAAAAAAGCTTTGCAAACTCCACAAAGAGATTTCGTAAATAGAAATGAAGGCTGTGTAAACAAAGTACCTGTACTGTCTCTAGTTTCCATGGCACACTGAACCAAGCACAAAGGGACCACAGTAGACAGCCTGCAATCCACAAACAGTCTTTTTATAGGGTGGAGTGGGGTGGGAAAGATTTCTGGCTTCTGTTTTTGTCTAAAAAATCTACTGACCAAAACTTCTGATTCCAATAGCTCACATGTAGGAATCCTGAAGAATTTTCAGTAATTAAAAAAAAGTGACCAAGATATAAGTAAGAACTCAGTTCTCTACAAAGGAAGTCAGAATAATTATTTGTTGATACTAGAGCAAAAGGATTTTATAAGATTGGAAATGGAGTGCAGTTTGTAGTCTATGAGCAGTTGTGGGAGTGCTAGAGGAGGGTCTAGGGTGTTGGGGTGGTGCATTCTGCAGAATGGAGTTCGGTAACTATTCTTCTCGCTAGATGTGGTATGAACTTTGCTTATCCTTCTCTCTTTTCATTACCTACAAAAAAAGTGGCAGAGAGGAAGTAGGCAACAGTGGTAACTGAGCAGGCAGAGCTGGAGTTTGTACCAGTTTATAATGTTTAGTTCTAGATTCTTTTTTGATATATTTTGAAAGATTAGTACTTATTATGTGATTTGAAAGAGTTGCATCAGAGATCTGATTCTGAAATAAAACCAATATTTTTGATTCATAGAAACTAATGGTCTGAGTGAGCAGAGAAGAAACTGTTGTCAAGAGTTCCCTCTTTTGATCCAAGAAATTAATGGAATTTGCGACTGAATCAAAGATTATATGGACATTCCAAAGGCTAACCAGATTACCTGGCAAATAGAACACTTAACAGATAAATTGATTGGATTTTTTTTTTTTTTTTTTTTAAGATAGAGTCTCGCTCTGCTGCCTAGGCTGGAGTGCAGTGGCACGATTTTAGCTCACTGCAAACTCCGCCTCCCGGGTTCAAGCGATTCTCCTGCCTCAGCCTCTCGAGTAGCTGGGACTACAGGCATGCGCCACGACGCTGGCTAATTTTTGTATTTTTAGTAGAGATGGGGTTTCACCATGTTGGCCAGGCTGGTCTCGAACTCCTGACCTCAAGTGATCCACCTGCCTTGGCCTTTCAAAGTGCTGGGATTATAGGTGTAAGCCACCGCGCCCAGTCTAGAAAAACTTTTATAATTTTTTTCAAGAAATGTAAAATACAGCCGGGCATGGTGGCTCATGCCTATAATCCCAGCACTTTGGGAGGCTTAGGCAGGCAGATTACTTGAGTTCAAGAGTTCAAGACCAGCCTGGCCAACATGGCAAAACCCCGTCTCCACTAAACATACAAAAAATTAGTCGGGCATGGTAGCAGTCACCTGTAATCACAGCTACTTGGGAGGCTGAGGCTGAGGCAGGAGAATCGCTTGAACCCGAGAGGCGGAGGTTGCAGTGAGCAGAGATCGTGCCATTGCACTCCAGCCTGGGTGACGAGAGTGAAACTCCGTCTCAAAAAAAAAAAAAAAAAGAGTAAAATACGGTCATGCCTTAATTATTCTAATAATGGCTTACATTTATTAAGCAATAATTGCTTTTGGAGTATCATGGTAAGTGCTTTACCTGTAATCCTCACCATGGGTATTCTTAGTATAGACTTTTTTTCCTTTTTTGAGGGGGGCGGGGACAGGGTCTTGCTCTGTCATCCAGGCTGGAGTGCAGTGGTGCCATCTCAACTCACTACAGCCTCAGCCTCCTGGGCTCAAGTGATCTTCCCACCTCACCCTCCCAAGCAGCTGGGACTACAGGTGTGCATCACCATGAGTGGCTAATTTTTGTATTTATTTTAAAGACGGGGTCTCCCTATGTTGCCCTAGCTGGTCTTGAACTCTTGAACTCAAGTGATCTGCCCACCTCAACCTCTCAAAGTGCTGGAATTATAAGTGTGAGCCACCATGCCTGGCACTCTTAGTATAGTTGTTTTATAGGTGAGGAAACTGAAACTTCAATAATTTGTTCAATAATTTCTCATAAATACACAGCCAGTAGGTCATGGTAGTAGCACCAGATGTGTTAGGTGCTAAAGGCTATGCTGGTAACTAGTACATAATTTTATGATGTTTATAATAGCAAAACATCAGGAAAAAACTTGAATTTAAATAACAGAAGATTGCTTAAATTGATTTATTATGGTTTAGTCATATATTAATATACAGTTATTATATTATATACAATTAATATTTAAACACAAGTGGCCACGCAGTGTCTCATGCCTATAATCTTAGCACTTTAGGAGTCCAAGGCAGGTGGGTCACTTGAGGTCAAGGGTTCGAGACCAGCCTGGCCAACATGGCGAAACCTCGTCTCTACTAAAAATTCAAAAATTAGCTGGGTGTGGTGATGGGTGCTTGTAGTCCCAGCTACTCAGGAGGCTGAGGCAGGAGAATCACTTGAACCTGGGAGGCAAAGGTTGCAGTGAGCCAAGATTGCACCACTGCACTCCAGCCTGAGCGACAGAGCAAGACTCCATCTCAAAAAACAAAACAAAACAAAACAAAGAACCAAAAAAACCCCAAAATTCCACAAGTGACATGGAAAATGTTAATGATATATTTTTACGTGAAAAAAAAGCAGGGCACAGTATGTTTGGCATAATCTCAATTCTGTAATCCACATCCATTTAGTGGGAAGACAAACATACAGCAAATGAGTGTTGCAATTATGGGTGGTTTTTTTTTTTTTTTTTTTTGAGACAGAGTCTCACTCTGTCGCCCAGGCTGGAGTGCAGTGGCGCCATCTCAGCTCACTGCAACCTCCGCTTCCCAGGTTTAAGCGATTCTCCTGCCTCAGCCTCCTGAGTAGCTGAGACTACGGGTGCGCACCACTGTGCCCAGCTAATTTTTTTTTCTTTTGTTTAGAGATGGGTTTTTACCATGTTGGCCAGGCTGGTCTCAAACTCCTGACCTCGTGATCTGCCTACCTTTGCCCCCGAACATGCTGGGATTACAGGCGTGAACCACCGCGCCCGGGCCCCTTGGGTGTGTTTTTTTCTTTCATTTTTGAGCTTTTCTACATTTCCCAAACTTCCTTCAATTAACACGCATTACTTTTGCAATTATGTAAGATCTCTCAATGTTATTTAAAGCAGAGGTAAGAAATATAGTTAAGGGAAATAAATGTACCGTCATCAATTTCCTGACATATAACGAACATTTTGTGGGGAAAGGTGGAGGGGAAAACAGCATGTGAATGTCGCTGTAGCACAAATACATGCTCTTTCCCAGGTGCAGTCACCAGTACAGATATGTCTCATAACTTTCCATTAGCAATTATCATACTAACCAGGGGCATGAGTAAGCACAATCACATCCTGATCATTTTCCTCCTTCTTGAGTCACTTTCCTCCCCTGGCTTCCCTAACTCCACATTCCTATTTTCTGTTTACCACATTGGCCTCTCCTTTCTCAATCTCCTAGTTCCTTCTCCTCTAAGCACCCCTATTTACCTTTCAAAGAGCCCCAGGCTTGGTCTTGAGTCTCCTCTACCATCTAACACAGAGAAAAAGAAAATTAAAATACCTCCCAGAGCCTGGCCAATGGCAAGCAAGTGAAGCTACTCATTGATTTCACTGCTAGTCCTCTTCTAGCTCAACTCCCGTCAGGAACACCTCAGTCACGGGTGTATTCTCCCCACTTGCTCAAGTCAAAAACCTAGAAGCCATCTTTTGTTTCTCCCTTTTTTTTTTTTTTTTGGAGACCGAGTCTCGCTCTGTCGCCCAGGCTGGAGTGCAGTGGAATGATCTCGGCTCACTGCAAGCTCCGCCTTCCGGGTTCACGCCATTCTCCTGCCTCAGCCTCCCGAGTAGCCGGGACTACAGGCGCCCGCCACTGCGCCCAGCTAATTTTTTGTATTTTTAGTAGAGACGGGGTTTCACCGTGGTCTCGATCTCCTGACCTCGTGATCCGCCCCCCTCTGCCTCCCAAAGTGCTGGGATTACAGGCGTGAGCCACCGCGCCCGGCCTTGTTTCTCCCTTTTCACTCTTCCTCACTCCCTCATGTCCAAAACAGTAACAAATCCCGTTGGTGCTCTTTACTTTTCTTTCTTTCTTTTTTTCTTTCTTCTTTTTTTTTTTTTTGGTAGAGATGGGGTTTTCAAAATATATCTTTTTTTTTTTTTTTTTTTGAGACAGGGTCTCACTCTGTTGCCCAGCCTTGAGTGCAGTGGCACCATCTTGGCTGACTGCAGCCTCGACCTCCTGGGTTCAAGTGATTCTCCCACCTCAGCCTCCTGAGTAGCTGGGACTACCGGCTGGCGCCATCACACCTGGCTAATTTTTGTTTTTTTTTTGTAGAGACAGGGGTTTCTCCATGTTGCCCAGGCTGGTCTTGAACTCGTGAATTCAAGTGATCTGCCCACCTCTGCCTCCCAAATTGCTGAGATTACAGGTGTGAGCCCCAGCGCCCGGCAAAATATATCTTGAATCCTTTTCTTTTTCTTTTCAGCCTCCACCTTGCTTAGACTATTTAAGTGTTGTCCTAAATGGTCTCTTTGCTTTTATTCTTGCCTGATCACCATCTGTTCTTCACACACAGCCAGCCAGTTGCACTCATCTCTGCATTTGGAATTGAAACCTTAGGGGATATGGCTGTGGTCTTCTTTCATTCTTCCTATTGCAAGGTTAATATTTACCAAGCTTGCTGAATTATCACAATTCCAAGTTAAATTAGTAGTACCAAAAAAACAGTGAATTCACTTTGGTTTCCAAATATTTAATAGTCAAATGTTTGGGAACATAAAAAAAAAACAAAAAGGAAAAGAACAGTAATATTAATTTGCTCAATTGTTCTGTTCACCTTGTATGCCACCACCTTGGTTAATTGGTTAATAATGGCTGAGGGTGAATTAGAAAAAGAGGAAAATTACATTCTTTTTTTTTTTTTTGGAGATGGAGTTTAGCTCTTGTTGCCCAGGCTGGAGTGCAATGGCGCGATCTCGGCTCACTGCAACCTCCGCCTCCCAGATTCAAGCAATTCTCTTGTCTCTGCCTCCTGAGTAGCTGGGATTGCAGGCACATGTCACCACGCCCGGCTAATTTTTGTAATTTTAGTGCAGACGGCGTTTCATCATATTGGTCAGGCTAGTCTCGAACTTCTGACCTCAGGTGATCTGCCTTCCTCAGCCTCCCAAAGTGCTGGGATTACAGGCGTGAGCCACCGCACCCAGCCTATATTCTTTTCTTAATTCTCACCCATCTGTAAAGAACACAACACAAAGGCTGAATGTAATAAATGTGTACTATAGTCTGGAGGTGGCTTACCAAACTTGTTTCCATTTAAGTTAGTCTTACCTCATTTTTCCAGGGCCTCAATTCAATAGATTTTTTTTCTCTCTCTTTTTGTCTTCCAAGCTTCTACGATTATGACTCATGGAACTAAAACTAGATTAGTACTGCTATGTGTTACTTTCTGTATTAGATTTTTCTCAACTAGTTAAAATGACATAAGCGAAATATATATTTTTTAAAGCTTAAACACTAAGTAAAATGTTCTAACAACCTATTTTAAAAGGTTTAATTTAGCAGAGGAATAAAGACCTTCTAATTTTACTGTACAACATAATATAGTTTTTTCTGTAGTTGCTGATCACGGAACTTCCATTAATCTCATTTAGATTCTGGAAATTAGAGTACATTTTCCTAAATGATAATTTCTTGTTTACTAACCACATCTTTTTTCTTTATTTTTTTTTGCGGCAGAGTCTTGCTGTGTCACCCAGGCTGTAGTGCAGTGGCGAGATCTCAGCTCACTGCGGCCTCCGCCTCCTGGCTTCTAGTGATTCTTGTGTCTCAGCCTCATGAGTAGCTGGGATTACCAGGGTGCGCCACCATGCCTGGATTATTTTATTTTATTTTATTTATTTATTTTTTTGAGACGGAATCTCACTCTGTCGCTCAGACTGAAGTGCAGCAACCCGATCTCGGCTCACTGCAACCTCCGCCTCCTGGGTTCAAGTGATTCTCCTGCCTCAGCCTGCCGAGTAGCTAGGATTACAGGTGTGTGCCACCACACCTGGCTAATTTTTGTATTTTTAGTAGAGATGAGGTTTTACCACATTGGCCAGGCTGGTCTCGAATTCCTGACCTCAGGTAGATCCGTCCACCTCTGCCTGCCAAAGTGTTGGGATTACAGGCGTGAGCCACTGCCCCCAGCCCCAGCTAATTTTTGGATTTGTAGTAGAGACAGGGTTTCACCATGTTGGCCAGGCTGGTCTTGAACTCGTGACCTCAAGTGATCCATCTATATTGGCCTCCCAAAATGCTGGGATTACAAACGTGAGCCACTGTGCCCAGCTTACTAACCACATTTGATTTAGAAATAAACTATGGCTGGGTGCAGTGGCTCACGCCTGTAATCTTAGCACTTTGGGCGGCTGAGGCAGGCGGATCACCTGAGGTCAGGAGTTCAAGACAGCGTGGCCAACATGGTCACGCTGTCTCTATTAAAATACAAGAATTAGCCGGGCATGATGGTGGGTGCCTGTAATCTCAGCTACTCAGAGGCTGAGATGGTCAACCCTGTCTCTATTAAAATACAAGAATTAACCAGGCATGATGGTGGGTGCCTGTAATCCCAGCTACTCAGAGGCTGAGATGGGAGAATCGCTTGAATCTGGGAGACGGTGGTTGCAGTGAGCCGAGATCACACTACTGCACTCCAGCCTGGGCAGCTGAGCAAGACTCCATCTCAAAAAAAAAAAAAAAAAAAAAAAGAATTACCTAGAAAGCTATAAAAAAAACACTGATATCTCTGATATCTGTCTGGGTCCCACTTGAGATTCTGATGTGATTGGCTTGGGTATTAACATTTATTTATTTATTTATTTATTTTCTTTTAACAAATGGTTTATTGATGTTATAATGAATTACAAAATATTAGTATCTAATTCTATACTTTATGGCCACCCCATAGGATGAATCTTTGGAACAGAAAAAAAAAAATAAAGATTTTGTTATCCCATAATCATAAAGCTGTTATACTCAGCCCAGGCACAGCTAGTATAACATTCTGCTCAACCCCACAGGCTCCATTCCCTTTAACACTTATTTATAATATGTTTGGGTCACTCATAGTAGTGAAACACTGTCAGCATCAATAGTTAGCAGCACTTTCAAAATACATTTTATTGTCCTGAATAGAAACCTTAACTATTCAATTTGTCCAGTAATTCCAAACGGTCTTATTACTTCTATACATAAGATATGATCTTACAACATTTATGTAGCTAAATACTTATACTTCCCATGCTTTTTGAGGATTCCCACACTGCCACACTGTACTTGCTTTCTTTTTTTTTTTTTTTTTTTGAGAGACGAGTCTCACTCTGTTGCCCAGGCTGGAGTGCAGTGGTGCAATCTCGGCTCACTGCAAGCTCCGCCTCCTGGGTTCACGCCATTCTCCTGCCTCAGCCTCCCGAGTAGCTGGGACTACAGGCGGCTGCCACCACGCCCAGCTAATTTTTTTGTATTTTTAGTAGAGACGGAGTTTTACCATGTTAGCCAGGATAGTCTCGGTCTTCTGACGTCGTGATCCTCCTGCTTCAGCCTCCCAAAGTGCTGGGATTACAGGCGTGAGCCACCGTGCCCGGCTGTACTTGCTTTCTTGTGAAGGGCTTGAGACATGTGCAGAGACACCTTAAATGTGTAGGTGACCTTCCTTTTGAAAGGCAGAGGAGGGCCTCTTTGTGAACTCTTTCTACTCATTTGTTTTCCTATCAGTTCGCCATTTCAGCTAGAAAAGATGCTGCAAGCTACCTCAGCTAGCTTCTAATTTGGACACATCACCAATACTACACACACAATTGAATGAATGACCACCTCTTCCTGGTTCTCCCACTGGGCAGGGTCGATATGCTTCTTTGGACTGAATAGGTGTGATCTTGTTCGAGAAAAGTGTGTAAATGTAGGGTCAGATTTTGTTCGTCTCCATCCCAGAAAATTGGTGGAGCACTCCTTGGCTTTTGTATAATTCAATGACTGGCTTTGCCATGTCTTTGTACTGTCTTAGCCTGGCAGCAACTGCTTCAGGTTTATCATCCTCCTGCTGGACTAATGGTTCACCAGTACATCAATACCATGAACATGAGGTGGATTGAAGTCCAGGTTATATACCCTTCCGCTAGGAGGGTGAATCCAACGGCGGCTGAGACGATCTTTTAAGTGTTTCAAATGGAATGTTCAAACTGATCACTAGATCCACTTCACAGATTTTGTCCAGGGCTTCGGCTTGTCCTAATGTCCTAGGAAAACCATCGAGGAGCCAGTGCTGGCCACACCTATTCTCCAACTCAGACATCATTAGGTATGTGATCACATGGTCTGGAACCAAAAGACTTTTCTCTATATACTGCTTTGCCATCTCACCAACTTCTGTGCTCAGGATCTTCTTGGTAAATGATTCCAAGACTTCCATGCGCATTATGTTGGTGCTGCACCTATCGGGTATTAGCATTTATAAACTGTATCAAGTGAGGCTTAAGGTTCCAGGTGAATCTAATGACTGAAGACTAAGACCCACTGAATTGGGGAATTACAGCTTCAAATTGTCATTTTCTATATTTGAGCCTGGCTGCATGTATGACAAAGGTGACCATATGCTTTTCTAGGACTGTGTCACACCAGTTTCCTAGGACTGTGTGCCACACACAGCAACATGAATCTTCCAAATACATTTATTTGCTTAACAGTTAAGTAATACTTATACACAGCTCCTCACTAAAGATAGTGTGATATCTATGGGGAGATGACATTTTTCTTAATCTTTGGTTTCTCAACATTCTTAGGAAAAGGCCTAAAACTAAGCCCCTTTCTGGAATGAAAATATGTTAATCATCTCATCCCACACAATTTTTCATCTTTAAAATCCAAATTATAGAATAATGTAAACACTGCACTCCATCAGTTCTATATAATGGATGATTCTACCCAAATATATAGTGAGGGTTGGGTAGCTGCTAGTAATTTTCTTTTTTTGAGATGGAGTTTCGCTCTTGTTGCCCAGGCTGGAGTGCAATGGCGCGATCTGGGCTCACCACAACCTCCACCTCCCGGGTTCAAGCGATTCTCCTGCCTCAGCCTCCTGAGTAGCTGGGATTAAAGGCATGCGCCACCATACCCGGCTGATTTTTTGTATTTTTAGTAGAGACAGGGTTTCTCCATGTTGGTCAGGCCGGTCTTGAACTCCTGACCTCAGATGATCTGCCCGCCTTGGCCCCCCAAAGTGCTGGGATTACAGGCATGAACCACCCCGACTGTCTGGGATTTTCTTAAGAGGCTAGTGAAATCCTGTTACGTTATTGATTGAAATCCTCTAAAGGCAGCAGGTTGCCTTCAGGGTAGAGTCCAGTCTGAAAGTCCAAAGCCAGGTTTACAGTGGTCCATCCCACCTCTCTAGTCTCTTCTCTTTTTTTTTTTTTTTTTTTAGACAGGGTCTCATTGTGTCACAGAGGCTGGAGTGCAGTGGCACCTTCATGGCTCACTGCAGCCTAGACTTCCCAGGCTTAAGCCATCCTCCCACCTCAGCCTCTCCAGTACCCAGTAGCTGGGACTACAGACACGTGACCCCGTGCTGGGCTTTTTTTTTTTTTTAAGACAGGGTTTTGCCATGTTGCCCAGGCTGTCCTGGCTTCAAGCCATCTGCCCACCTCAGCCTCTCAAAGTGCTTAGATTACAGGCATGAGCCACCTCGTCTGGCCTCTAGCTTCATCTCTAGTCAAGTCCCATTAACAACCTACTTGCCGTTCCCAGACTCACCATTTTTTTTCCTTTTCTGTTTTTTGAAAACAAAATTAATTTTTGTTTTTTAGCTGGAGTCTCACTCTGTCACCCAGGCTGGAGTGCAGTGGTGAGATCTTCGCTCACTGCAACCTCTGCCTACTAGGTTCAAGCAATTCTCCTGCCTCAGACTCCCTAGTAGCTGGGATTACAGGCACCTGCCACCACGCCCTACTAATTTTTGTATTTTTAGTAGAGCTGGGGTTTCACCCCGTTGGCCAGGCTGGTCTTGAACTCCTGACCTCAGGTGACTCACCCACCTTGTCCTCCCAAAGTGCTGGGATTACAAGTGTGAGCCACCGCGTCTGGCCCAATTTTTTTTTTTTTTTTTTTTAGACGGAGTTTTGCTCTTGTTGCCCAGGCTGGAGTGCAATGGCGCGATCTCGGCTCACCTCAACCTCTGCCTCCTGCGTTCAAGCGATTCTCCTGCCTCAGCCTCCGTCCTGGGATTACAGGCATGTGCCACCACACCTGGCTAGTTTTGTATTTTTAGTAGAGATAGGCCTTCTCCATATTGATCAGGCTGGTCTCAAACTCCTGACATCAGGTGATCCGCCCGTCTCAGCCTCCCAAAGTGCTGGGATTACAGGTGTGAGCCACCGCGCCTGGCCCCCAAAATTTTAAAAAATAAATAAATAAACTAGATCAGAAGGCCCCCCACATCCACCGACACCATGAGGCAGAGGGCGGGGGCAGAGATGTTGGGCTAGATTCTGTACCCCTGCCTCCCACGCACCACCTCCCACGGGCGGGGAGGAGAGACCAGGGGGCCTGAAGGAAGGCAGAATGAGAAGAGCGGTCCCATTTGCCATGAGTGTCTGTCTCTCAGCTGTGGCGTCCCAGGCCCAGCTGGGGAGTGATCACTCACCATTTTCATGTAACAATTATAATTTTGGCATGGGCACTTAATTATGCTAACATAATTTTTGTTGTTGTTGTTTGTTTTTCTTTTTTTTGAGACAGTCTCGCTCTGTCGCCCAGGCTGGAGTGCAGAGGTGCGATCTTGGCTCACTGCAACCTCCGCCTCCTGGGTTCAAGCCATTCTCCTGTCTCATCCTCCCGAGTAGCTGGGATTACAGTAGCCCGCCACCACACCCTGCTATTTTTTTGTATTTTTAGTAGAAATGGGGTTTCGCCATGTTGGCCAGGCTGGTCTCGAACACCTGACCTCGTGATCTGCTGGCCTCAGCATCCCAAAGTATTGGGATTACAGGTGTGAGCCAGCGTGCCCAGCCACATAACTTTCATTCATTAAAAAAACCAAGTATTCAGGATGATCTGTTTTCGGCAGCCTATCGTGTGAGCACAGGGTCAGTTCCATTTCTCCTTTGCACAAGGGTAAAAAACATTATGCTGAGCTTTTAAGTAATCACGATACTATTTAATGTCATGGGATCACAGTTACCCAAACTCAGGTTCTTTATACATAAAAAGTGCCTATAGGCTGGTGTGGCGACTTACACAGTTCCAAGCACTTTGGGAAGCCGCAGTGGGAGGATCGCTTGAGATCAGGAGTTTGAGACCACCCTGAGCAGCACAGCAAGACTCTCGCCTCTAATGGGAGGGCGGGGGGAGGGAAGAGTATCTACAAAGAGAGTGTGGCTGGGCCCAGTGGCTCATCCCTGTAATTCCAGCACTTTGGGAGGCAGAGGCAGGCAGATCACTTGAGGTCAGGAGTTCGAGACCAGCCTGGCCAATGTAATGAAACCCCATCTCTGCTAAAAATACAAAAAAAATTAGCTGGGCATGGTGGCGCCCACCTGTAATCCCAGCTACTCAGGAGGCTGAGGCATGAGATTTGCTTTAACCCAGGAGGTGGAGGTTGCAATGAGCTGAGATTGCGCCACTGAACTCCAGCCTGGGCAACCAAGGGAGACTGTCTCAAAAGTAAATAAATAAAATAAAAAAAATAAAGAGTGTAACCTAAGTGGGGGTGATAGCATGCATTTTTCAACACATATAAACAAAGCAACCCTTTTAATGCTCTATAGTTCTATCTAGAAGAACAACCTAATTATTTAAGAGACATAGTTGAATTCAGTTGTCTTCTAAGGTTAAAATGTCCAACCATTCTGGAGACTTCATATCCTGGAATAACCTTCCCCAAATTTTTCATCTGGCTTATTCCTAGTTATTCTTTAAAATTCAAGTCTGGTATCACCTTCTCTTGGAAGTCTCTCTTTTAGGTTTTCATAGGCTTAACGTACTGAATTGAGTCCTTAAGGCAGGGACTGAATTTTTTACTTCTTAACCTAAATGTCTAATGCAATGCCTGGTACATTAGAATGCTAAACAAATGTTTTTGGAATGACTTAAGTTAATGAGTGAATTTCTTTTTGCTTTAAATATTTTTTGGTCCTATTTTGTACCACATTATCAATGGCACATGACTTGAAGAAGAGTCCCTTTATTTATTTAGAGACAGTCTTGCTGTGTCGCCCAGGCTGGAGTGCAGTGGCACAATCTTGGCTCACTGCAACATCCGCCTCCCCGGTTCAAGTGGTTCTCCTGCCTCAGCCTCCCGAGTAGCTGGGATTACAGGCTTGTGCCACTACACATGGCTAATTTTTGTATTTTTAGTAGAGATGGGGTTTCACCATGTTGGCCGGGCTGAGTCCCTTGATTGAATATGTCATGAAACTTTTCCATGTCCATTAACTACCTCCAATGCCCACTGTATGGAAGAACCAGAATGTACAACTTCTCTTTGTGTGTATTAGACATTTAGATCGTTTCTAAGTTTTTGAAATTATAAATAATTCTAAAATGAAAATGATTTTAACTGTACCTTTGAGCTACCTGGTTACGCCTGGGATATATCCTTAAGAGTGGAAGTGCAGTGTATTAATGCCTCTCAGTGATGTTGTACATTTGCAGTAAATAAGAGTGTACATTTCCCCTTTGGCAACACTGGATACTATAAATATTTGCAATGAGAAAGGCAACAATGTTATCTCAAACTATCTTAATTTACATTCCTTTATTAGTGGAGTTGAGCTTGTACATATTTCTTAGCAAAGAAAATCATATGGAGTTTCTGTAAGGAAATGGATATTTCCTTTAATAAAATTAAACCCAGGTCTTCTCAGCAACAAAGGGAAAAACCTCCTTGGAAAATTCCTTGTGGACCTTATAACCCCAAATGTGATCCCACAAAATTCCCCTGTCCCTTGAAAATCTCTGGCTAAATATGGGGGTATCACCTCACCCTCTTTAACATGCAGGCCCAATTATGGGTACTCTGGATTTCAGCATACTGTGACCAGGCTGGAACATTTTTAAAGTTTTTACTCTGAACAAATAAAAGGAATATGGTCCCCCTCCGAACCCCCCAAAAAAGTAATATGGTCAGGAATAAAACTAGATAATCTCTTTCACCTGATGTTTTGGCTTTATGTCTCTTCTATATAGAAACAACCCAAGACTCTGTGTAGGTTAACTAGACCCATGTTCAATTCTGCACCCCCAACAGCTAGCGCTGTTGTTATCTGAAGGCTGGAATATTCAAGATGGCTTACTCATGTAATGGCAGGTAGTTGGTGCTGGTTGTTGGCTGGGAATTCAGCTGGGGTTGTTAACTGATGGGTCTCAGTTGTTCTCCATGTGGCTTCTCCAAATAGATTGGATTCCAAGAGGGAATGTTCCAAGCATGCTACCACATGGCAGAAGTTATCTTTCTCTTTTTACTTAGAGTACTGGTAAGCAATTTAGCATTCAAACCCCAGAGAATGAGGGCTAGGAAAAGTAATCTCCTTTCCTGTCTGCTTGAAGTCAACATCCTGGTGTCTCATTTCTTGTGTGAACTCCTACCTCTATCCTGATGATGGAAATGGAAACCTACCACTTTAAGGGGATGGAGTGACCTCTCAGAGACCTCAACTGCACAAGCCATTCAGAACTTAGCTGATAAATGCCAACAGTCATTCTAGTGACATGCACTTATATAAATTGCAAAGGTAGGGTGGTGTGGTGGTGCAACATTTCATTGCACTCTAATGGCACTATCTTACTATCATAAGAGAACACTGCAAATGGTCTACCTATTTACATATTACTTAATAACCAAATAGAGAAGGGAAAAATAGAAAAGACAAATCAACCAAACTGTCTACCACCTTATCAACTACACTAAGTACTGCATTCATATTTTATGTCTTAAAAGGTATGTTTTGGCTAGCACATTTGCTGAAAGTGAAGTTGCCCTTTTCAAAGTCTCTACCCTTTGTGTGACATACACAAGGGAAAAAATGTTTTTTAAAATGTCTTGCTGGGCGTGGTGGCTCACTCCTGTAATCCCAGCACTTTGGGAGGCCGAGGTGGGTGGATCACTTGAGGTCAGGAGTTCGAGACCAGCCTGGCCAACATGGTGAAACCCCGTCTCTATTAAAAATACAAAATTTAGCTGGGTATGGTGGCAGATGCCTGTAATCCCAGCTACTCAGGAGGCTGAGGCAGGAGAATTGCTTGAACCCGGGAGGCGGAGGTTGCAGTGAGCCGAGATGGCGCCCGCCACTGCACTCCAGCCTGGGCAACAGAGTGAGACTCCGTCACACACAAAAAAGTCCAAGATATAGTAAGTTGATGTGGATCATTTTGAACTTAAATAATCACATAAACTTTTTTTTTTTTTTTGAGACAGAATCTCACTCTGTCACCCAGGATGGAGTGCAGTGGCACCATCGTGGCTCAGTGCAACCTCTGCCTCCCAGGTTCAAACGATCCTCCTGCCTCAGCCTCCCGAGTAGCTGGGACTACAGGAGTGCACCACCATGCCCAGCTTTTTTTTTTTTTTTTTTTTTTTTTTTTGGTATTTTTAGAAGAGATGGGGTTTCACCATGTTGGCCAGGCTGGTCTTGAACTCCTGACCTCAAGTGATCTGCCTGCCTTGGCCTCCCAAAGTGCTGGGATTACAGGAATGAGCCACCGTGCCCAGCCACATAAACTTTTGATGTTAAACTTTTGAGTTTCTAACTATAAATAGGTAATGTCTTTTTCCTTTAAATTATAATTGTTCCCAGTGTCAAATGCCCCATGAAAATGTCATTAATAAGGGCTACTAACATTTGAGGTTTATTTAACATTAGTAAGATTTAATGAATAGTAAAAGCAACGTTTGACTTTCTCATAGGAAGGGCTAAAAAACCATTGCCATGCATTTCCAGCCTAAGATATCATAAGCTATGCTTAATAATTTGAAGAAATTCCAAGTCCAGGGATACACAAACAGGTGTACAGCAAATCATGTAGGTGGTACTTTTCCCCTAAGTTATAATTTAATCTATACCCTAGGAAAATGCCAAAGTCACAATTGGGTGGATTGGGTGATTTTCCAGTAGAAAGAAAATTCCATCCCATCTTTGTTCTCAAAACGTTTTTTCTTTGCATATAGGTAAGGGTTTACAGATCAATAATCTTCTTGATTTCAGTATGAAATTACTTTCTCTTTGCTTGAGTTACTCTGAGTTATGCAGAAGGCTCCCTGTTCTGAATCCACTATGTATTTCTTTTTTTCTGAGAATATTTCAGTGTATGTTGAAAACAAGGAACATTATGGAAACTTTCAGTCCTTAATTGTGTCAAGATATTAATGTTAGTGATATACAAATTAGATGGTGATGGGAAACTTGAGCCTGGCTTTATAGGAGGTAATTTTTTTTTCTTCCTTCCTTTTTTTGCAGGGGTGGGGGTTATGATACAGGGATACAGGTAAGATAGTCCTATAAACTCATCTGCTGATAGTTCATATGAAGGCTTTTGACTAGAAAACTTCCATTAATAGTGCTGAAGATATAAACATATGGTAAAACTGCTTTCCATATTAAGATACCTTGCCACCCACTCCTTTTCTTTGAGACAAGGTCTTGCTCTGTTAGCCAGGCTGGAGTGCAGTCATGTGATCTTGATGCACCGCAGCCTCCACCTCCCGGACTCAAGCGATCCTTCCGCCTCAGACCTCCAAATAGCTGGGACCACAGGCATGCACAGGGACCATACCTGGCTAATTTTTGTATTTTTTGTAGAGACGGGTTTTCACCATGTTGCCCAAGCTGGTCTCAAACTCCTGAGCTCAAGCAATCTGCCCACCTTGGTCTCCCAGAATGCTGGGATTACAGGCATGAGCCACCACCACGTCTGGCTTCCCCCTACTTGTTTTTGATATGGGGTCTTGATTGGTCACCCACGCTGCAGTGCAGTGGCAACATGACAGCTCACTGCAGCCTCGAACTCCTCGGCTCAAGTGATCCTCCCACATCAGCCTCCCCAGTAGCTGGGACTACAGATGTGTTCCACCATGCCTGGCTAATTTTTAAAACTTTTTGTAGACAGGAGGTCTTGCCATGATGGCCAGGCTGGTCTCAAGCAATCCTCCCCTCTTGGCCTCCCAAAGTGCTTGGATTACAGGCATGAGCCACTGTGCCCAGCCAAGATACCCATTCATACCAGGATTTTCCTCCCTGTCACTGCTAATAGCTGTGTAGGCGCAGACAAGGGCTTTCAGGTGAGAAAAATTAAAGCAAGTAACTTTAGAGTTTCGACTCAATCCAAATAATATGAATACCTGTAATGTGTAAAGTATTGTGCTATAAAGGAGCTTAAGATTTGAGGCAGATAGTTCATCTGGAATCATTCCAAGATTCTATGTCGTACACCTAAATAATAATCCACAATGATTGCATTTTATTTATTTTTTGAGATGGAGTTGTGCTCTTGTTGCCCAGGCTGGAGTGGCCAATCTCGGCTCACTGCAACCTCTGCCTCCTGGGTTCAAGCGATTTTCCTGCCTCAGCCTCCTGAGTAGCTGGGATTACAGGCATGCGCCACGTAATTTTTAGTAGAGATTGGTCAAGCTGGTCTTGAACGCCCAATCTCAGGTCATCCACCCGCCTCTGCTTCCCAAAGTGCTGGGATTACAGGCATGAGCCACCGCACCCGGGCCTAGTGATTGCATTTTAACTGGCTTGCCTAGAAGTGAAGAGTTTCGCCTTCTACCTTCCTTATGCTTCTTTCTGCAGTGAACCTCCAATTTTTGCCAACTATTTTGTTTTAACCATGGGCAAAGAGGTTGAAAAATTTTTATAAATAGTTGACAATTTGTGCATATATATATATATATATATATATATATATGTATTTTTTTTTAGATGGAGTTTCTGCTCTTACTGCCCGGGCTGGAGGGCAAAGGTGTGGTCGTGGCTCATTGCAACCTCTGCCTCCCGGGTTCAAGCGATTCTTCTGCCTCAGCCTCCAAGTAGCTGGGATTACAGGCACCCACCACAACGCCTGGCTATTTTTTTGTATTTTTAGTAGAGATGGGGTTTCACCATGTTGGCCAGGCTGGTCTCAAACTCCTGACCTCAGGTGATCTGCCTGCCTCAGCCTCCCAAAGTGCTGTGATTACAGGCAGGAGCCACTGTACCCGGCATTTAGAAATATTTGGTTAATTGTCTGTGTTCATTGTTTCATCAGTAGAACAGCATTAACAGTGAGCTTGCAAATTTATGAGCTACAAACCTTAGCCCTAGATCATTTAGACTGTGATCACTCTGTGTTGGGGGCATTTTCATTATTATCATCTGCTTCTTAATGGAAGACATTTATTCATTTAACAAATACTTAATTAGCACTTATATGACAGATATATTAACACACCATTTGCCCCATCTGAGGAGACAAACTCCGATGAGAGGCCTTTTAGGATTAATGCCTCACTTTAGAAATACGGATGTGTGAAAGGTCAAGTGAAAGTTGTGTCTCTTCTGCAGGCACACCCTACTCCCCCTTATTCCAGAGTTATTCATTAATGATGTGAAACAAACTTGAGGTGTTTAGTTTTTCAGAGATTTCAGAAATGGGAAGCCACTGATGTCGCCTTTTACTTTGGAAATGTGTTGGCAATTCGGATCATCAGAAAGATGTCTGCTTCATCTCTGGAATATCTAAGTCTACTTACAGAAAACAAATCTTTAACAAACATTTGCAACCACATGAGATTTGGTGCAGTTGAATTCATTTTAGTATTTTTAAAACGTGTAACACTTTTCTAAAGAAAATATCCCCTTGCTTGTTCTTCTGCTTCTTTTTTAAAAAAATAGAGACCTTGGTCGGGTACGGTGGCTCACACCTGTAATCTCAGCACTTCGGGAGGCTGAGACGGGCAGATCACCTAAGGTCAGGAGTTTGAGACCAGCCTGGCCAACATGGTGAAACCCCACCTCTACCAAAAATACAAAAATTAGGCGGGCTTGTAATAAAAATAAAAAAAATTAGCGCATGCCTGTAATCCCAGCTACTTGGGAGGCTGAGGCAGGAGAATCGCTGGAGCCCGGGAGGCAGAGGTTAAGGTGAGCCGAGATTGCGCCATTGCACTCCAGCCTGGGCAACAAGAGCGAAACTCCGTTTAAAAAAAAAAAAAAAAAAAGAGCACGGGTCTTGCTGTTGCCTAGGCTAGTCTCAAGTGATCCTCCTGCACTAGCCTCCTAAAGTGTTGGGATGACAGGTGTGAGCTACTACACCCAGCCCTCCCTTGCTTTTTGCGTCTGTTACCTTTTTCTTCCCAAATTTCCATGTGAGAGTTAAAATTGTCTTTTTTTTTTTTTTTTTTTGAGACAGAATCTCGCTCTTCCTCTGTCACCCAGGCTGGAGTGCAGTGGCAATTCTCCTGCCTCAGCCTCCCGAGTAGCTGGGATTACAGGCGCCTACCACCATGCCTGGCTAATTTTTGTATTTTTAGTAGAGACGGGGGTTTCACCATATTGGTCAGGCTGGTCTTGAACTCCTGACCTCAGGCAATCCATCTGCTTGGGCCTCCCAAAGTGCTGGGATTACAGGCGTGAGCCACCGCGCCCGGCTTCTGTCCACTTCTCAAGGCCATCTCAAATAACTTTTTCTTCAGGAAACTATTTCTCAAACCACTATAATTTTTTCCTAAGTTCTCTAGAATTCTTCCTTTGTTTAATCCCACTTTTTGCTTCACTTTCATTTTAGGAGCTAGGCGTATTTTTAAAAAGGCCCTTTGACCTCAAAGGATACACGTGGGTGAAAAACCACCTTCCTCTAAATTTATTTTTCACTCACTAGGAAGAATGGTTTACTGTTAATAGCGGGTGGAAAGAAGGGACACTGAGTATGAGGACCTATCTGTACTACCTAATATAATTTATCTTTTGATCTACTCTGAGAATGACGCGAGCCTAATCTTCACATTGGAAAATCACGAGAGGAAAAAACCCTTCGGAGGTCTACAGGCACAAGGAACCCTGTCTCCACGCTGTTTATAGCAGCTGTCTCAGGAATCCTCTGCCTAGAATGAATGTGGGAGAGGTTTCGTGGCGCGGCAGCTGCAAAGCAAGGAATCTTTCCCATTCCTCGTCGACTCGGTCCCCTCCCCTCCCCTCCCGAATGGCGGCAGCTGCCGAGGTATCCCAGTGGAAATCTCCAAGTCTCCGCCGAGAGCGGCGGGCGGGCAACAGCTGAAAGCAGCCAGGGGTGGGGACTCCTCGCTCCCATTGGGCAGGGACAGCAGCCTCACTGGCTCCAGCGCCGTCACCTCTCTGGCTCGTAGAGGTGCCTCAGGTGTTCTTCTCCAAGTCCAATGAGACACCTAGGCAACGCAGCGCGTGTTCCCTCCGCGCCAAGAGACCCTACGGTAACTTAACAACAGCAGGAGCGCCAAAATCCCCGCCTCAGGACTTGGCAGAAGCACCTCCCGAGGTCCGAGAGTGGGAGAGGGGAAAGTGTAGGCCCTCGGACGGAAGGGTCTCTCCTCGCCGGGCCGGGTACACACCTGGTGCTACCAGAGCAGCGCGCCTAGTGCAGCCGGAAGCCCCAGCCCAGCACTCCGGCTGGCTCGGGGCCCCCTTGGCTGTCCGCGCGTCGTCACCGCGCCCCCGCCGCGCGGCTGCCTCCGCCTTCGCGCCCTCCCGCCCCGCGCACTCGCGCTCGCGCACGCGCACGCCGCGCCCGGCAGCACTCGGCGCTGTCATGGCGGCCGGGAGCAGCTTCAGTGGGCACACGACAGCCGCGCGACCCGTGGCGGGGCGAGCTGTGGCAGTAGCATCCTCACCACTCGCAGCAGCCTCAGCCGCGGCGCCCGTAGCGCCAGCAGCGGCTGCTTTTGCAAAGGCTGAGCGCAGGGGCGGGGCGGGCCAGGAAGCCATGGAGTTCTGTGCAGCCGCGGACTCCCGGGGAGCGGACTAGGGAAACTTGGAGGCTGCGACCAGGTGCACTGACCTCTCTGTCCTCCCTTCTCTCCCTGCGGTGGCCGCTGGGTTTCTCTGGCCGCTCCCCTCCCTTCCTGCCACCACACACACCTCCCCACCCCTTCCCGTCGAATCTCAGGTGCCTGAGAGAGGTGCTTCACTCCTCCCACTGGGCCGAGCATTTAGAATAATCACCGCCCCCTTCCCCCGCCTTTTCCTGCCCTGGATCTCCGCCGCCACCTCGGTCTCGCTGCTCCTGGGCGGGGGGTGAGGACGAGTCCGGAGTATCTGGGTGAGGAAGAACTTTCTACCTCTGTGATAGCTTGTGGGCCCCCCTTCTTTCCTCCGATCCCTCCTTTCCCCGCGACAGTTTCTCTTTCTAGTGCACCTGTGAGGAGAGGTTACCCTGCGCCTAGAACCTGCACGAGAGTGGGGGAGGAGTGAGCCTGTTCGGGGGCCTCTTGGACCTGCCTTCACCCAGAACCCAGCTTTTTGAGCCCGGGAGAAGCGGGTGGCTAGTAGTGGGGTGCCTTTAGTAACTTACTTGACCGACAATAACTATTTCCCTCTTGTCCCCTCAAAACCCTAAAACAAAACCTAGCCTATTTAACATATATTTAATCTTCCAATAGGGTTTGGCGTTGTTGTCAGCCTCGGGGAGAGAGATTGGACAAATATTCTCCAAGAGGAGGAGGGCGACGCCAAGGACTTTCCACATCAACTGCTTTGGGGTATCTCCACAAGTTGGAAGAGGGACCCTTTCGTTTTGCATTGCGTGTGTTGTGCTCATTACCAGTGCAGCGACTGCCGTCCCAGGGTGACTCTGAGTTGTCCTTTATCGTGAGCTAGCAATGGCTAGCGAAGACAATCGTGTCCCTTCCCCGCCACCAACAGGTGATGACGGGGGAGGTGGAGGGAGAGAAGAAACCCCTACTGAAGGGGGTGCATTGTCTCTGAAACCAGGGCTCCCCATCAGGGGCATCAGAATGAAATTTGCCGTGTTGACCGGTTTGGTTGAAGTTGGAGAAGTATCCAATAGGGATATTGTAGAAACTGTCTTTAACCTGGTAAGTCCATGAATATTTTATAAGCATATACTCTTTTCAGTGGGTTGGGGAACAAGATCTTAAAGCTGGAGCCATGTGGTTTACTCACACTGATGGTGACTTTTTTCGTGTATAGGGACACAAAATTCTACTCACCTAAATGAAACAATTTCATCTGTTTTTTAGATTGAAGGGAATTGTGCAAACTTAGATGATCCAGGTTTTGTGAAAGTGAACACATCACTTTTGTGCTAAGGAAATAATTGTTGCTATGGAAGTATTGGGGGGAGGTTCTAGCGGAGGAGTTATCTCTAATTTTTTTTTTCTTGGCTTGTATGCCTAAGTCTGCGTTTCCCTTTACCACTTTAAATAATTTCTTGTGACCTTTTTTTGGACTTGAGAATTAATGTCTTTGATTCTGTCGAAGTTATGTTTTGCTACAATAAGTTTAAAAATTTGTTTGTAGTGCTGATGCAAGATTAATTTGCTGCAAAGTTAGTATTTTTAATTTTGACTAGTTTTATTTTTAGACATAACTAACAAAAGTTAAATTGGTGATGAATTTAGGATTGCATTTAAAGTAATCTTGTGAAAATTGAATGGCAATATGAAAAAAGGAATTGAAGCAGATACAGTATAATTTTTATGTGTTTTATAAATTCATGTCTAGCAGGAAAGCATAGTTAGTCATTGGAAGTTGCTGATTATACTAAGATGAGCTATGAATGCTTTTTTTCGGGTGGGGGTGGGAGGGGGATGAGGCCTCTCTATGTTGCCCAGGCTGTTCTCAAACTCCTAAGTTCAAGCTATCCTCCTGCTTCAGTCTTATGAGTAGTTGTGGCTATAGGCATGCATCACTGTATAGGGCTTAAATTGTTTTTAAATTGAGGTATAATTCATATATTATACAATTCTACCTTTAATTAATTCATTAACTTATTTATTTAGAGATGAGGTCTCACTCTGTTGCCTAGGCTAGTTTTGAATTCCTGGGTTCAGGCGATTCTCCCCTCTTGTCTCCTAAGTAGCTGGAACTACTGGCATGCGCCATTGTGCCTGGCTTGGTTATCATTTATAATGGAGACTTTTTAGATTTCTTTATTCCAGCCTCTCTTGCCCATCAACTTAAAGAATCAAAAGGAAATCTGGCCCTAAAATACTTCCCCCTTTTCTACCTACCCACCTGTGTTAGAGGATAACAGGACCAAATATAAACATGCAGTTAATTGTAATAACTGTTTAGCACCTTTCCCTTTGCCTCTTTTCAAGGTTAGGCTTGTTTTATTCTGGGGCAGTTAATTATTTCTTTCACTAGACCTTCTCTAATGGTCTGGTCACCTGCAGTACAACTTCTAGAATAAGAAAGTAGCTAGATGGAATTCTGGCCGGGCGTGGTGACTCACGCCTGTAATCCCAGCACCTCAGGAAGCCGAGGCGGGCACATCACTTGAGGTTAGGAGTTTGAGACTGGCCTAGTCAACATGGTGAAACCCCATCTCTACTAAAAATACAAAAAAATTAGCTGGATGCGCTTGCTTGTACCCAGGAGGTGGAGGTTGCTGTGAGCCGAGATCGTGCCAATGCACTCCAGCCTGGGTGGCAGAGTGAGAGACTGTTTCAAAAAAAAAAAAAAAAAAAAGAAATTCACTTACTTTTGAAGAATGAAAGCTTTGAACAATTGGATATTTCTATGTCAGTTTATTGGGAGTTTATGTATAAACACCTATAGACACACACATGCATATTTTAAAAAACTGCATATTATGGAAATGTTCAAATATATGCAAAAATAGAATAGTATAATGAACTCTGGTATCCGTTGTGCAGCTTCAACAGTTGTCAACATTTTGGGGATCTTGTGTGTGCGCATGTGTGTGGGGCTTTCATATGTAAGTCTGAGGAAGATAAATGGTAAATTGATTGCTTTACCTCAAAATAGACTTGAAACATTTCCTTTCTGATTTTTTGTTCTTTTTTAAAATGTCATATGCCTTCAGTGAGAAACAGAAATTTGTGGTAGTAATATAATCCATAATTACTTATTTGTGTGTGAAGACACAACATCTTTTGGCAGAAGGAGGATTTGAACTCCTGTTCTTTAGAATGTGCTGTGTTGGAGTGGATGACCAAACGTGAGTCATTTGCATTTTTATCATTAAAGAAAATCCAAATTCTATAGCAGCATTTGCTTATACGCTTCCTAGAACTGTAGACCTGGTATAGATTTTAAGGTCATTGGTTAAGTCCTTCAAAGCTGCGTATTTGCAGGATAGTAGGTGCCTGGATAGAAGGAGAGAGAAGAGTCTGTTCAGTTAGTTACCCTCCTCTTCAATATCATTCGCTTGTCAGGTAGGGCAGGAAAAGTTGCTGAGAATATTAGGTAGCAGTTTCTCCCCTTCCATTGTCCCTTAAAATACTTTTCATGCTCTTTCATGGATTATCTGGGGTTTTGGCCACTCTAGAAAATCTTTGGAAGCAGCTGCGCACAGTGGCTCATGCTTGTAATCCCAGAGCTTTGGGAGGTTCACTTGAGGCCAAGAGTTTGAGACCAGCCTGGGCACTATAGTGAGACCCTGTCTCTACAAAAAAAAAAATTAAATAAAAAATTAGCTGGGCATGGTGGCATATACCTGTGGTCCCAGCTACTTGGGAGGATGAGGTGGGAGGATCCCTTGAGCCCAGGAGTTCGAGGCTACAGTGAGCTACAATCATGCAGAGCAACACCCTGAAAAAAAAAATTAGAACGAAAGTATTGGGATTCTGTAAATTAGTCCATCTCAATGTTGTTAGTACTGCTACACGTAAATATTTCCTAATTGATAGTTAGTCTTTTTTTTTTTTTTTTTTTTTGAGATAGAGTCTCAGTCTGTTGCCCAGGCTGGAGTGCAGTGGTGCAACCTTGCCTCCCTGCAACCTCTGCCTCCTGAGTTCAAGTGATTCTCCTGCCTCAGACTCCCAAGTAGCTGGGACCACAGGCGTGCGCCATGAGGCCCGACTAATTTTTGTATTTTTGGTAGAGGCGGGGTTTCACCATGTTGGCCAGGCTGGTCTCAAAATCTTGACCTCAGGTGATCCACCCGTTCAGCCTCCTGAAGTGCTGGAATTACAGGCTTAAGCCACCACGCCTGGCCTAAATATTAGCTACTTAAACAATAAAGTTTATACTGTTAAAATTGAACAAGTTCCTCTCCTCCAGAGGTGTCCAAATAGTACATGGTAGAGCCATATAACTTTCCAGAGTTTTTTCTCTTTTTTTTTTTTGAGACAGAGTCTTGCTCTGTTGCCTAGGCTGGAGTGCAATGGTGCGATCTCAGCTCACTGCAAGCTCCGCCTCCTGGGTTCATGCCATTCTCCGGCGTCAGCCTCCCAAGTAGCTGGGACTACAGGTGCCCGCCACCACGCCCAGCTAATTTTTTGTATTTTTAGTAGAGACGGGGTTTCACCGTGTCAGCCAGGATGGTCTCGATCTCCTGACCTCGTGATCCGCCTGCCTCAGCCTCCCAAAGTGCTGGGATTACAGGCGTGAACCACTGTGCCCGGCCTTTTTTTTTTTTTTTTTTAATTGAGAGGGAGTCTCACTCTGTCACCCAGGTTGGAGTGCAGTGGTGCGATCTCAGCTCACTGCAACCTCTGCTGCTCGGATTCAAGCAATTCTTGTGCCTCAGCCTCCCCAGTAGCTGGATCTACAGGCACGCACCACCATGCCCGGCTAATTTTTTTGTATTTTTAGTAGAAATTAGGTTTCACCATGTTGGCCAGGCTGGTCTTGAACTCCCGACCTCAGGTGATCTGCCTGCCTTGGCCTTCCCAAAGTGCTGGGATTACAGGTGTGAGCCACCGTGCCTGGCCCAGAGTTTTTTCTTAAGTGCTACCTTCCAACTTTGCTAATGTAGCTTGACCTTAGTCTGTTATAAATTACTTTGAAATTTACTACCCTGTTTATAATTTCTTTTGCAAATCTGTTTTGCAGATAAATTTTGATTAACAGTGCACCAATGTAGTCAAGTGTTTCAAACTTCTGGTCAACTTGTACATTTTTCTTGTTGCAGTTTAAAACATTTTATTTTGTTTTCATCTGTATTTTAAAGTAATTTGTCAAACTTTTAGACCCAGAATAATTAATATATGTTGGCATGTTTTCAGGAACTTGCTGCTGAGTTTAAGGCTTCCATCAGGTATTTAAAGGTATTTAGTGCTACCTAATTCAAGAATAGTGATTCCCATGAGCTGGTGACAAATACATACTTTCATGATTTTTTAAAAAATTTTTGTTAAGTAATTACAGTCACCCCTTGATATGTGGGGGATTGGTTCCAGAACCCCTAGTGGATACCACAATTTTCAGAAGCTCCAGTCTCTTATATAAAATGGTATAGTATTTGCATATAACTTACATGTATCTTCCGTATACTTTAAATCATCTCTTTAAAATTTTTATTTATTTATTTATTTATTTATTTATTTTTTTGAGATGGAGCCTCACTCTGTCCCCCATGCTGGAGTGCAGTGGCGCGATCTCGGCTCACTGCAAGGTCCGCCTCCCAGGTTCACGCCATTCTCCTGCCTCAGCCTCCCAAGTAGCTGGGACTACAGGCACGTGCCACCACGCCCAGCTAATTTTTTGTATTTTTAGTAGAGACAGGGTTTAACCGTGTTAGCCAGGATGGCCTGGATCTCCTGACCTCGTGATCCACCCGCCCTGGCCTCTCAAAGTGCTGGGATTACAGGCGTGAGCCACCGCGCCTTGCTCTGTTGCCCAGGCTTGAGTACAGTGGCTTGATCATAGCTCACTGTAGCCTCAAATTCCTGGGCTTAAGCTGCTCTCCTGCCTCAGTCTCCTGAGTAGCTAGGACTTAGAGGCGTATGCCACCAAAACCCGCTAGTTTTTTTTTTTTTTTTTGAGACAGAGTCTTGCTCCCTCACCAGGCTGGAGTGCAGTGGCGCGATCTTGGCTCAGTGTAACCTCCACTTCCTGGGTTCAAGCAATTCTCCTGCCTCAGCCTCCTGAGTAGCTGGGATTACAGGCGTGTGCCACCACACCCAGCTAATTATTGTATTTTTAGTAGAGACGGGGTTTCACCATGTTGGCCAGGCTGGTCTCAAACTCCTGGCCTCAAGTGATCTGCCTGCCTTGGCTTCCTGAAAATGCTGGGATTACAAGTTTGAGCCACCATGCCCGGCTTTCTCCCATATACTTTAAATCATCTCTAGATTACTTAGAATACCTAATAGAATGTAAATTCTATATAAACAGTTGTACTCTATATTTGAAAATTTGAGCTGGGCACAGTGGCTCATGCCTATAATCCCAGCAGTTTGGGAGGCTGAGGTGGGAGGTCAGAAGTTTGAGGTCAGAAGTTCAACACCAGCCTGTGCAACATAGTAAGACCTTGTCTGTATAAGAAAAAAAAATACCATTTTATATATATATATATATATATATATATATATATATATATTTTTTTTTTTTTTTTTTTTGAGATGGAGTCTCACTCTGCCACCCAGGCTGGAGTGCAGTGGCGTGATCTTGGCTCACTGCAACCTCCGCCTCCCGGGTTCAAGCAATTCTATCTCAGCCTCCTGAGTAACTGGTATTACAGGGATGCACCAGCAAGCCCGGCTAATTTTTGTATTTTTGGTAGAGATGGCGTTTCACCACGTTGGCTAGACTGTTCTTGAACTCCTGACCTCGTGATCCGCCTGCCTCAGCCTCCCAAAGTGCTCGGATTACAGGCGTGAGCCACTGCGCCCAGCCTAGAGGTGGCTTTTTTAAACCTTCATTGAGATATGCAGTTGACTCTTGAATAACATGAGTTTGAACTGCATGGGTCCATTTATATGGTGATTTTTTTTTTCAACCAAACTCGAATTGAAAATACAGTATTCCTGGGATGTGAAACTGTTGCATACTAAGGGCTTACTTTTTATATCACTGGGTTCCACAGGGCCATTGCAGGACTTATCTGAGTATGCTCAGATTTTGGTCTATGCAGGAGTCCTGGAACCAATGTCCCCAGTATAGCAAGGGACAACTGTATTTTACATGCCATAAAAACCACTAATTTTAGGCTGGGTGCGGTGGCTCATGCCTGTAATCACAGCACTTTGAGAGGCTGAGGCAGGTGGATCACCTGAGGTCTGGAGTTTGAGACCAGCCTGACCAACATGGATAAACCTGGTCTCTACTAAAAATACAAAAATTAGCCAGGTGTGGTGGCGCATGCCTGTAATCCCAGCTGCTTGGGAGGCTGAGGCAGGAGAATTGCTTGAACCCGGGAGGCGGAGGTTGTAGTGAGCAGAAATCACACCACTGCACTCCAGCCTGGGCAACAAGAATGAAACTCTGTCTCAAAAAGAAAAAAAAAAAAGAAAAAAACTTCTCATTTTAAGTATACAAGTCAATGATTTTTAGTAAATTTAAAGAGTTTTGCACCTATTACCACAATCTAATTTTAAAGCATTTACATCCTGTGTTCATTACTTTATAGTTTTAGCTGCTAAATTTAGGCCTATGATTCATTTTAAGTCAATTTTTGTATGGTGTGAGATAAGGGTAAGGGAAAGGTCTACATTCTTTTTTTTTTTTTTTTTGAGATGGAGTCTTGCTCTGTGGCCCAAGCTGGAGTGCAGTGGTGCGATCTCGGCTCACTGCAAGCTCCGCCTCTTTGGTTCATGCCATTCTCCTGCCTCAGCCTCCCAAGGAGCTGGGACTACAGGCGCCCGCCACCACGCCTGGCTAATTTTTTGTATTTTTAGTAGACACGTGGTTTCACCGTGTTAGCCAGGATGGTCTCGATCTCCTGACCTCGTGATCCGCCTATCTCGGCCTCTCAAAGTGCAGGGATTACAGATGTGAGACACCGCGCCCGGCCTACATTCATTATTTTGTATGTGGATATCCAATTGTTAAGAGTGCCATTTTTTTTTTTGTTTTTTTTTTTTTGAGACAGAGTCTCGCTCTGTCGCCCAGGCTGGAGTGCAGTGGCGCGATCTCCGCTCACTGAAAGCTCCGCCTCCCGGGTTCACACTATTCTCCTGCCTCAGCCTCCCAAGTAGCTGGGACTATAGGTGCCTGCCACCAGGCCTGGCTAGTTTTATTTTGTATTTTTTAGTAGAGACAGGGTTTCACTGTGTTTGCCAGGATGGTCTCCATCTCCTGACCTTGTGGTCCGTCCGCCTCGGCCTCCCAAGGTGCTGGGATTACAGGCGTGAGCCACTGCACCCGGCTAGAGTGCCATTTGTTGAAAGGCTATTCTTTTCCCATTGAATTACCTTGGCACTTTTGTCAAAAATCAGTTGAGCATAAATGTAAGGATTTATCTGGACTCAATTCTTTTCCATTTATCTATGTGTCTATTCTTAAACCAGTACCAAATTGCCTTTTGTTTACTGAAGATTTGTGGCGAGTTTTAAAATAGGGAAGACCTCTTTATTCTTCCTTTTCAAGACAGTTTTGGCTATTCTGGGCCCTTTGCATTTCCATGTGAATTTTAGGATCAGCGTATCAATTTTTGTAAAAAAGCAAGCTGGGATTTTACTAGCTATCATGAGTAGATATTATTGGTTATATATTAATATTAATGATAATTACAAGAAATTTGGGTGAATTGGTGAAATTTTAAAACTTCAAAGTTTCCTGGAAGTGACAGACTTGATAATTTAGGTTCCTGCAAGCATACAGTTTTGTTGACCTTTGAATTGATTTATTTTAAACTGAGAAATCATTTGGGAACTGGAAAATCAGATTTTTTTTTCCTGTTTGTGAATTAATAGAAAAACTAAGTAAGCTTTTTATTTCTCATACTGACCTAGTTGAACTAATCTATTATATTCACTTTTTATAAAGCATCCCTTTTCACACACATATTCTTGAAAATATTTTAAAATAGTTTTTATATGGTTGAAACAGAAATGTCCACAATGCATTTTTGTTTTATAATACTTATATAGATGTACAATAAGGTATTTTATTTATCTTTGTATCTCCAGAACTTTTTGAAGTGTTTTGATACTTCAAAAGTGTTAAATGGAAATGTCTTAATTTTTAAAATAAAAGTACAATCTTTAGGAAGCCTAGTTCCTATTATTCTTTTATTTTTATTTTATTTAATTTTATTTTTTTGAGACGGAGTCTCCCTCTGTCACCCATACTGCAGTGTAGTGGCGTGATCTCAGCTCACGGCAGCCTCCGCCTCTGGGTTCAAGTGATTCTCCTGCCTCAGCTTCCCGAGTAGCTGACCACCACTCCCTGCTAATTTTTGTATTTTTAGTAGAGACGGGGTTTCGCCATATTGGCCAGGCTGGTCCCGAACTCCTGACCTTAGGTGATCCGCCTGCCTTGGCCTCCTGCAGTGCTGAGATTACAGGTGTGAGCCACCATGCCCTGCCCTATTATTCTTTTCCGCAAAAGATATATTGTTAAAACCTTGATGCATATTTCCTTTATTATTTTGTTTCCTATGAAGTTATTTGTTAGGCAGTTTGTATTTTTCATTGTACAATTTTGAATTACTTTAGTCTGTTTTACCCTTAAGAGAACAGTGTTGCCGGGCATGGTGGCTCACGTCTGTAAGTCTGTAATCCCAGTGCTTTGGGAGGCCGAGGTGGGTGGGATCACCTGAGGTCGGGAGTTGGAGACCAGCCTGGCCAACATGTTCTCTACTAAAAAATACAAAATTAGCCAGGCGTGGTGGCGGGCACCTGTAGTCCCAGTTACTAGGGAGGCTGAGGTAGGAGAATTGCTTGAACCTGGGAGGTGGAGGTTGGTGTGAGCTGAGATTGCACCACTGTGCTCCAGCTTGGGTGACAGAATGAGATTACGTCTCCAAAAAAAAAAAAAAAAAAAGCCTGGGTAACAGAGCAAGACTCTGTCTCCAAAAAAAAAAAGAACAGTGTCATTATTTTCAAAAGTCTCTTATAATCTACTCTGTATAGTTTTCTAGTATTCATTCATTAGCTCTCATCTAATGTGGTATATACAGGGTTTTTTTTTTTTTTTTTTTTTTTTTTTGAGTTGGAGTCTTGTACTGTTGTCTGGGCTGAAGTGCAATAGTGCGATCTTGGCTCACTGCAACCTCCGCCTCCCGGGTTCAAGGGATTCTCCTGTCTCAGCCTCACTGGGATTACAGGCGCCTGCCACCACCCCTGGCTAATTTTTTGTATTTGTAGTAGAGACAGGCTTTCACTATGTTGGCCAGGCTGGTCTTGAACTCTTGACCTCATGATCCGCCCACCTTGACCTCCCAAAGTGCTGGATTACAGGCGTGAGCCACCGTGCCCGGCCATTACAGGGTGTTTTATAATCTTGGATTCTGAACTAAATTTTTGTGGGATTTTATTTGTGGGAATCCTGTGTAGATTAGTTTGTGTAAGTTTAACATCTTTCTTGACTATTTCTTGACTATTTCCCTCTCCTCCACTTCTTATCTTTTTTCCCTACCTTCTTTCTTTCTTTTTTGAGTCGAAGTCTCGCTCTGTCGCCCAGGCTGGAGTGCAATGGCATGCTCTTGGCTCATTGCAACCAACCCCTGTCTCCCAGGTTCAAGTGATTCTCCTGTTTCAGCCTCCCGAGTAGCTGGGATTACAAGGCTCATGCCGCCATGCCTGGCTAATTTTTTGTACTTGAGTAGAGATGGGGTTTCACTGTGTTGCCCAGGCTGGTCTTGAACTCCTGAGCTCAGGCAATCCACCTGCCTCGGCCTCCCAAAGTGCTAGGATTACAGGCGTGAGCCACCGCGCCCAGCCGTTACCTTATTTCTTAACAGATTTATCTTCTAATATATTATGTAACTTAATATATTTTGCTTTTTGTCAGTTTCTGTCCATTACAAGAGTACCCTGCCTTAGTCACATGTTAGCTTTTCCCAGTTTCTATTACCTTCCGTTAACCATGGTCTGAGAATATTAAATGTAAAATTTCAGAAATAAACCATTAGTAAGTTTTAATTTGCATGTTGTTCTGAGTAGTGTGATGAAATCACTCTCTGTCCCACCAGGATGTGAATCATCCCTTTGTCCAGCATCATGCTGTATGTATATGCTACCTGCCTGTTAGTCAGTTGCCGTCTCCGTTATCAGATTGATTGCGGCAGTATTGCAGTGATTATATTCAAGTGACCCATATTTGTACCTAATAGTGGCCCCAAAGTATAATAGTAGGCTGAAGCTGGTGGATCATGAGTTCAGGAGTTCAAGAACAGCGTGGCCAAGATGGTGAAACCCCCTCTCTACTAAAAATACAAAAATTAGCCGGGCATGGTGGCAGGCACCTGTATTCTCAGCTACTTGGGAGGCCGGGCAGAGAATTGCTTGAACCCAGTTGGGCAGCATGGCGAAACCCTGTATCAACAAACCATACAAAAATTGGCCTGGCATCGTGGTGTATGCCTGTAATCCCAGCTACTGGAGAGGCTGAGGCAGGAGATTTGTGGAACCCAGGAGGTGGAGGTTGCATTGAGCTGAGATTGTGTCACTGTACCCCACACTCCAGTCTGGGTGGCAGCATGAGACTGTCACACACACACACACACACACACACACACACACACACACACACACACACAGCAGTTGGCTATAGATACACATATTCATTTCTGGATTGTCTGTCTATTCTGTTCCATTCGTCTATGTGTTGGTTTTTTCTTTTCTTTTTGTTTTGAGACAGGGTCTTGCTCTGTTGCCCAGGCTAGAGTGCAGCGGCATGATTACAGCTCACTGTAACCCCAGCCTCCCGGGCTCAAGCAATCCTCCCACCTCAGCCTCCTGAGTAGCTGGGACTATGGTACATGCCATCACAGCTGGCTAATTTTAAAATTTTGTTTGCAGAGAAGGGGCGGGGGCTGGGGGGATTGTCTCACTATGTTGCCCAGTCTGGTTATGCGCTCTGTTTTTAGGCCAGTACCATGCTGTTTTCTTTTATGATAGACGTGATATACATCTTGTCAAGTAGTGTGACACCTCCAGCTTTGTTCTTTAGGCTCAGGATTCCTTTGACTATTGGCTTTTTTTTGGTTCCATATGAGTTTTAGGATTTTGTTTTTTTTTTTTTTTTTGAAACCGAATCTCATGCTTTCACCCAGGCTGGAGTGAAGTGGCTTGATTTTGGCTCACTGTAACCTTCGCCTCCCAGGTTCAAGCGATCCTTCTGCCTCAGCCTCCCAAGTAGCTGGTATTACAGGTGTGCGCCACCATGCCTGACTAATTTTTTTGTGTTTTTAGTGGAAATGGGGTTTCACCATGTTGGCTAGGCTGATCTGAACTCCTTAACTAAAGTGATCTGTCCATCTTGGCCTCCCAAAGTGCTGGGATTACAGGTGTGAGCCACTGTGCCTGACCAGGATTGTTTTTTTCTATTTCTGTGAAAAATGATGTTGGTACACACACACACACACACACACACACACGCAAACACATACACACACACATATTTTTTTTTGAGACAAGGTCTTGCTCTATTGCCCAGGCTGGAGTGCAGTAGTGCGATCTCGGTTCACTGCAACCTCCACCTCCTGGGCTCAAACTATCCTCTCATCTCAGCCTCCTGAGTAGCTGGGACCACAGGCAGGTGCCACTACACCCAGCTAATTTTTTGGGGGTAGTTGCCATGTTGCCCAGCCACCATGTTGCCCAGGCTGGCTTCGAACTCTTGGACTCAAGTAATCCTCCCACCTCAGCCTCCCAAAGTGCTGGGATTATAGACTTGAGCCACTGCATCTGGCCATTTAATTCTTCAGTACCAGATTTTTTTTTTTAATATCATCTATCTCTTTGGTAAACTTGTTATTCATATTCTGAATTATTTTTCTGATTCCTTTGTAGTAGTTTTCATTATTCTCTTGTGTCTCTCACTGAGCTTATTTATTCTTTTTTTTTTTTTTTTCTGAGAGATGGAGTTTCACTCTTGTTGCCCAGGCTGGAGTGTGATGGCACAGTCTCAGCTCACTGCAACCTCTGCCTCCTGAGTTCAAGTGATTCTCCTGCCTCAGCCTCCCAAGTAGCTGGGATTACAGGCACCCACCACCACACACAGCTAATTTTTGTATTTTTAGTGGGGGGGGTTTCATCATTTTGGCCGGTCTGGTCTCGAACTCCTGACCTCAGGTGATCCATCTGCCTCAGCCTTCCAAAGTGCTGGGATTACAGGCATGAGCTACCGTGCCTGGCCTGTAAATTTGTTTTTGATTGGGATATGTTGCTGGAGAATTATTATGTTCCTTTGGAGGTGCCCTTTTTTTTTTTTTTTTTTTTTTTTTGCTGTTTTATGTTTCCTCTGTCGTTACATTGATATCTTTCCTCTGGTGTAGTAATGACTTTTTCAAATTATTTGAACTTGCTTTCATAGGGGAGGACTTTTTATTTGAAGACGTATCTATGATGTTGGTTGGGCAGAGTGCATTGGCTTTGATTCTGGGTCTGTGTGGTAGTATAGTCTCTGTGATTTTTTTTCAGGTATAAACAGTGTCAGTGGCGTCTGTGATTTTTTGGGGGCCTTAGGGTTCGGACTATTAATGGAGGCTGTGGTGAAGTTTTGCTGGGGACTGAGGTGCCATGTTTGGCACTTTTCAGGCCTCAGTGGTGACAGCAGTGGGCTGAGAATGCCTGTCCTTGGGCTCTAGGGCAGCATACACTGGCACCAGTATCAGTGGGTTGAGGTGAACCAATTCCTGGGCTTCCAGATGGATTGCTGTGATTCTGGTAGTGGCAGTGATAGGCTGTGTGGGTGGGTGCACTCTCAGTCTTCTGGGTAGCCAGCATAGTATGGGTAAAGGCAGAGATGACCCACTGGATCCTGAGTGGTGTGTGTGTATATTGGCGGTGGGTGTGATGGTCTAGGCCTGCCAGTCTCTAGATTTGCAGGTTGTTCATGCAGGTAGATGCCAGCTGTGGTGGTAGCGGCAGGTGGGGGGTAGCCCTATCCTCAGGATAGGTGTTGTGTTCAGGTGCCAATGGTAGTGGGCTGAGGGAGACAATCCCCAGGCCCCTAGTCTGCACGCTTTGGCATGGGGACCTGGTTAAGCTGGGCTGGCATGTCATCAGGCCCCCCAACAATATGTGCAGACACCTACTGTGGTAAGAAGGGACAGGGTGGTTCCCAGGCCCTGGAATGATTGGGTGAGGGGCAGCAGTGGCTGTGCTGTGCTGCTGCTACTGGGGAACATGAGGCTGCCTTTAATGGTGGCAGCCTAGGTCGGCGGTCGGGGACACATGCCCCGCTTGTGCCTCAGTCCTGGTGGTGGCAGCCTGTTTCTTACTTCTGTCTGTGCACCAGCTGCTGGGCCCCAGGATAGTGCTCAGTCTGTTGTGGGCTGGGTTGTCAAAATGGTGCCTTGTTGTAGCTGCTTAGGACTTAGGGGGATTATGGGACCCAGTGCAATTTTCCTCAGTGGAGTGGTGCTGTTGCACCATTTCCAGACAGATCCTTATGTTAGTTTCAGAGCCCATGAGGTCCTAGGGGCTCCCCAATGGCTAGAATTGCAGGAGTCCACAGTGGGAATGTGGACCACAGGGAGTCTCCCACTTACTGTTTCCCCGCAGTGGGGATTGTCTCTCGGCTCCCAGCCGAGCAGGCTGTCTTGTTTCCCTCTCCTTCCTTTCTTTAGGTGTTTCTTGTCATTTTTCTATTGAATTCCAGTGTTCTTTCTTGGATTATCTATTCAAGGTGTGATTACTCACTATTTTGGTTATTCCTAGTGGAGGAGGCAAGTAGGAGATGCCTCTAGTCAGCCATCTTGAAGCCCTTGACAGTTCCTAAGTTTTAAATTGTGTGCAGCTCTTGAGTAGTGTGATGAAATCTCAAGCATTCTGCTCCATCCTGACTAGGATGCAAATCATCCCTTTGTCCAGCGTATCCATGCTCTACGTATATGCTACCTGTCCTTTAGTCACTTTACTAAGTGACTACCCTCTCCACGATCAGATTGACTGTCATGGTATTGCAGTGTTTAAGTAACCCTTATTTTACTTAATAATGTTCGGGACAAGAGTAGTGATGTTGGCAATTTGGATGTGACACAGAGACATTGTAAAGCACTTTTTTTAAGTGAATAGGTGGAAGTTCTTGACTTACAAGGAAAAAAAATCATGTGCTGAGGTTGCTAAGGTTTGCAGTATGTACGAATCTTCTATCCATGTAATTGTGAATTACACAGATGCTCCTTGACTTGATGCACTTACATCTAAAGCTGAAAATATTGTAAGTTGAAAATACTTGTTGATTTATGGTAGTTTTGACTTTTCAACTTACAATGAGTTTATTGGGATGTAACTCCATTGTTAAATTGAGGTTTGTGCTGAATGCTTATTGCTTTCACACCATCATAAAGTTGAAAAATTGTAAGTCAAACTGTCAAAAATTGGAAACTGTGTATTGTTCTAACTGTTCTATTTTATTACTAGTTATTGTTGTTAATCTCTTACTGTGCCTAATTTATAAATTAAACTTTATCATAGGTATGTGTGTATACAAAAAAACATAGTGTATATAGCATTTGGTATTATCTGTGGTTTTAGGTATCCACTAGGGGTCTTGCAATGTATACCCTGTAGATCAAGAGGGACTACTGTTTATGTTTCATAAGAGTAGAGATTTTTGTCTGTTTTGCTTATTGCATCCCTAGCCCCTAGAAGAGTACTTGACACATAGTATGTGCTTAGGAAATGTTTATTACCAGAACGTATGGATTAAGTTTGCCTGGAGCCTCAGGGGGTATATTATACCTGAAATTGTTTTTTTTTTTGTTTTGTTTTTTAAATTTGTCATTCTGGGGTTTGTTGTTCATGCCAGTAGTGTAAATTTGGACTTCCTATGTGAATAGCAGAATTTTACTATCTTAGAGGAAATCCCAGAATTTTACTATCTTAGAGGAAACTTAAAAATAATCAGTAGTGACCAGGCACGGTGGCTCATGCATGTAATCCCAGGACTTTGGGAGACAGAGGCAGGAAGATCATTTGAGCCCAGGAGTTCAAGACCAGCCTGGGCAACATAGACCTTATCTCTATAGAATTAAAAAAAAAAAGGAAATCAGCAGCCCAGCCAAAGACTAATTATTTGTAATTTCCTGTGCCAGGGAAGTTTTTTTGTGGGGGAGAGGAAGAATCTACTTTTTCCTGAGGGTCAACCTTTTGAGGATCCCATATTTATATAGAGATTTTATCTCTACTTCCCCATCTTGAGTGAATACTTTTTTTTTGTTTGTTTCTAAAAAGGAAATAAAATTCAAGCCCCCTAGTACTAGCTTCCTCTTTCTTGCCTCTTCAGCAGTTGTAATGGAAGTTCAGATACTTATTTTTCTGTTTCTTCTTCACTTTAGGCTCGGGGATTTTCCTTTCTTTCTTTCTTTGCAAACTCAAGCTCAGTTCTACATTGAAAAGTATTTTTTGTTATATTTACCTAATATTTGTAGGCATTTGTAAAGTGATGGATTTAAAGGTTATATTCATTATCTGCTGGAAGTCTAAGGTATAACGAAGTGATGAATGTGTGATAGCCATTGAATAAATATAGGACCAACTTAGGCTACAATTGACCAACTTATTTTTCTGCTTAGGAATACCTTAGATAATTTCAGATAATGGAGTTCTAGTGTAGATCACTGAAGAAATTGTAGGAAGATAAAATTAGTCATTTTTCTTCTTTCCCAAATGCTTACATGTATTTATACATACAGGCAGATGAGCAATTGTTATCTTAGAAAGCAACCTTGTATTACCAAAACAAAATATAGATTTATTCATGGGGGATTTTATGTGTGGAGGTGGTGTTTTAAAATTTTAGTAATTAAGTGAATTTTCCTGCCGGGTGCGGTTGCTCATGCCTATAGTCCCGACACTTTGGGAGGCTCAGGTGGGAGGACTGCTTGAGGCCAGGAGTTCAAGACCACCCAGGGCAACATAGTGAGATCCTATATCTACAAAAAAACAAAAAAATCAGGTCTACGTGGTAGTGTGTGCCTGTAGTCCTACCCACTGGAGATGGTGAGGTGGCAGGATCACGTGAGCCCAGGAGTTTGAGACTGTAGCGAACTATGATTATGCCACTGTACTCTATCCTGGGCGACAGAATGAGACCCTATCTCTCTTTTTTTTTTTTTTTTGAGACGGAGTTTCGTTCTCGTTACCCAGGCTGGAGTGCAGTGGCGTGATCTCGGCTCACTGCAACCTCCGCCCCCTGGGTTCAAACGATTCTCCTGCCTCAGCCTCCCAAGTAGCTGGGATTACAGTCATGCACCACCAAGCCTGGCTAATTTTGTATTTTTTTAGTAGAGACGGGGTTTCTCCATCTTGGTCAGGCCAGTCCCGAACTCCCAACCTCATGTGATCCACCTGCCTTGGCCTCCCAAAGTGCTGGGATTACAGGTATGAGCCACCGTGCCCGGCCGAGACCCTATCTCTTAAAAAAGAAAAAAAAAAGAGTTTTCATAGCTTTTACAATTATAGACTGTTTGGCCAGGTGCAGTGGCTCACGCTTGTAATCCTAGCACTTTGGGAAGCCGAGGTGGGCGGATCACTTGAGGTCAGGAGTCGGAGACCAGCCTGGCCAACGTGATGAAACCCTGTCTCTACTAAAAATACAAAAATTAACTGGGCGTGGTGGTGTGCGCCTGTAATCCCAGCTACTCGGGAGGCTCAGGCATGGGAATCGCTTGAACCCGGGAGACGGAGGTTGCAGTAAGCCAAGATTGCGCCACTGCACTCCAGCCTGGGCGACAGAGAGAGACTCTGTCTCAAAAAGGATTATTAAAAAAAAAAAGAATTGTAGAATGTTTTAGGATAATATAAAGGAGTCATGTTTTTTTCCCCAACCGCTACACACTTAAAATAAACAACCTAGAGCAAAATACTACTTTATCTTAATTCTTTTTTTTTCCCCTTAGGCATCTTTCTTGCAGGATCGTCTTAAGTCTTTATAAGTTCTTAGTCATTTAGATTGAATACAAGTAACCTGCATAGAAATCCCATTTGTATCAATAGAGAACTTGACTATTTTTAGTGAATTATACTATCTTTAACATGTTTATCTGCATGGGGATGAACTTTTGAAACACAATAGTTTGAGTGAGTCAAATGATGACCATTTGGTAGTCACTTGAATATTACACATAAATTGACACAATGACTTTTGACATAAAAATTTCAGGAGTCATTTCTATTTGTAGGGACTGCTCTGTTTCTTTATTTACATAAAGTATTTCAGAAAATTTTCAATTTAGCCAAGTTCTACATTTAGCATAACATATTGCACAAATATCTTTCTAGTTTTTATTGTTAGACACTGACTTTATTCTATAGTGCTGAATGCACTGTGTGAGAACAGTCACGTCAAGTTATTTAAGTGGTGCTTCAGAAGGAAAGACTGAAATTAATGCCACATGTATCCTGAACTTAAATTAAAATAAAATAAAAATAAAAAAAGAAATTAATGCTTTGCTTTATGATCCAGTTATAATAGAATGGAACCTAGATGTAAGTCAGGGTGTATATCTGAGTCTGCTGATAAACATAAGTGTTTTACGGGATTATTTTATTTTTTCCATGTAACAACTCCATGGGGCAGTACTTTATTAAACTTGATTTATAGCATGAAAACAGGATTGGAGTGGTCAATGATGCTCAAGTGTCATAGTTAGTAAGATGGCATTTGGACTCAGGTTGTTTGATTTTGAATTTTGTGTGTACCATGTTATACTGTGTGATTATTAATATAAGTTGTGTTCTTGTATTAGAACCTAATTTGATTAAATTTGTCAGGAATTGTATTAGGTTATGATAATTAGAAACATTGTTAAGAGTGATAAGCTTTGAGAAAATGAATTATTTTAAAACTTTTATCATTGATTTAACAATGCATACTTTGATTCTTTGCATCTATTTCTTCATGTGTCAAATGGTGCATGGTAGTTTATATGTATTTAAGATATCCACCAGTCAATTTTCTGTTATTTTGCTAATCAGGAAAAAATGGAATGACCAACTCTTTAATATTTAGGGATTGATTATACCTCTAGTTGTGGCTTATGAATATTATTCTTAACCTGTATTACTTGTGTTTTGTTCATGGCTTTTTTAGGCAATACCTTAGTCTGAGGGTAGGAATATGGAAGAAAAGAAAAATCAGAGTAGTACTATTTTGCTACTTGTTAGTGTCTTTTGAAAATATTTAGAAAAAGTTGAGAATTAAACCAGATAGTTAAAAAGTTTGGCATATCTTTGGGAGTTTCATTTATGCTAAATTCTCATTGTCATAGGATGTAAACGTTCACTTGAACCGTGAAATTTTTGAGTACTCTGAGGATGTCCTGATTACCAATTAATGCCCAAGTTTGAAATGTCTCCTACTTTGAAATGGTAATTCCATCTTGACTTTTTTTTTTTTTTTTTGGTTGTTGTTGATCATTATTATTTCCAGAAATGTATCTTCTGAATCACTTCATTTCTACCTTGCTCACACAAGACCCAGATGTCTTCCTTGGCACTGGGACCTCTACTGAAGACTCTCCCTACTTCATAGAAAAGGAATATTTTCTTATTTCCTTCTGAACCTACTTGAGATCCTCTGTAGCTCTGCTCTGGCTTCTATATTTAATGCAGAAATGGTAAAGAAGAAATTATTATTTCTAATATCCAAATTTTTCCAATAGAAATTATGGGATAATAAATAATATTTATTGAGGTATTTTGTGACCTATTAAGTACCAGTTCTTGGTCGTCATTTCTTCCCACTTTTCTTCCTTGTTTACTCAACTCTGGATGCCATGGCCCTTTTGTACTTCCTAAAGCAAGCCAAGCACAGTCTTACCTTAGGGCCTTTGAACTTATTTTTTCCTTTGCCTAGAATGATCTCCTCTCAAATATCCAATTATTGTATGACTATCAATAAGCAATTGTAATGTTTCTATCCAGAAACATTACAATTGTTTGATTTTTTCATATTCATGTTTTTTACAGTTTCTTTTCCTCAGTCATACTTTCTATATCTCTTTTATTTCCTTAAACATTAACATTTTTATATTATATATCTGATTATTTTCATGTTCCTCATCGTTTCTTCTGTTCCTGAAAGGCTTGTTCTGCTGATTCTTGGGGGCTTTTTTCATTATTTTGTGAATTTCTTTTTAATTGTGAGATAATCTTCCATGGATTTTTATTTGTGAATATCACTGAAGGCTTGGGTTTAGTGTACTCCTCTTGGCTGGATTGGTGTTTGCTTCTGTCATGCTCTAGTCTCTTCCAACCCAGAATCTCTCGAAACTGAATTTTTAGTCTGAGTTTTTCTAGACCACATAGGTAGTATGAATTTTGTCCTTAAACTGGAGTGAGCGAAGGGTGACTTCGTTTTTTCTCTTCCACCGAGACTGGGAAAGGCAAACATGCCAACTGTGATCTCTGTTTAGCATGTTGTTTACCCTCCTCTGCAGTTCATCCACTGAGTGTTGCTTTTCAGATTTCCCACCTTGTTTAGGCCCCAACCTTTATGTCCTTCTCACCAGTCCCTTAAACTGACTTCTAAGCCACTGGGGAATTGATGGATGCTCCCAGGGGAGAGGCTGGTTTCAGTGCTCACCAATGCTTTGTTGTTTTTTCTTTCTTTCAGCTCAGCCACTCATGAAAAATACTATTTTTGTTTTAATATTCAGCATTTTAAGAAATTCTGAATCACAAGTACTTTTCTGGGCATCTAGTCTACCATATTGCCAGAAATGGATCTGATTTCTTCCCCCAGTTCTCTGTATGACCCTCTTCTTCATTCTCTTATGGTCTTTGTTAAAATTTGTGGCCTTATTAGAGAACCTTTCCCCACTACCAAAATAGTATCCTTCTCCTTGTTACTCTTTATCTCTTATATCCTGCTTTATTTTCATAGCATTAACTCCATCAGATTTTTTTTATTGCGTGTTTTCTTTTATTAGAATACACACTCCATAAAAGTAGGGACTTACTTTTTTTGTTTACTGTTTCATTGCCAGGGCCTTGGGGCCTTGTACCTAACATGTAGTAGGTGCTTAATAAATACATGTTGGATGGATGACTGTGCTAAGTGCTTTAGGTTCCCTCTTTTAATTTTCACAGTAACTCGTGTGGAGCAGGTGATTTTATCATCTCCATTTTAAAGGTGAGGAATATTAGACTTGTAGAATTAATTACCCCAGTCGAGGTCACAAAAGATGTTGAACCTCAGGCAGCCTCAGAGCACCCTGTTCTCCTCAACACTGTACTTTGGTAGTGGTAGTGGTAGTGGTGGTGGTGGTGGTGATGGTGGTGGGGTTGGTTATTCAGCAGGTTGGTGTAATACCCTAGTATTGTTTAGCTATGCTTTAGTGTCACATTGTTTCTTTGGGGCAATATATTCTAAATTTCACATAATTGATTTTTTTTTTTTTTTTTTGAGACAGAGTCTTGCTCTGTCGCCCAGGCTGGAGTGCAGTGGTATGATCTCGGCTCACTGCAACCTCTGCCTCCCAGGTTCAGGCAATTCTCCTGCCTTAGCCTACTGAGTATCTGGGATTACAGGTGCCTGCCACCACGCCAGGCTAATTTTTGTATTTTTAGTAGGGATGGGTGATATGGTTTTGCTCTGTGTCCCCACCCAAATCTCATCTTGAATTGTACTCCCATAATTCCCATGTGTTGTGGGAGGGACCCGGTGTGAGATAATTTGAGTCATGGGGGCAGTTTCCCCCATACTGTTCTCGTGGTAGTGAATAAGTCTCATGAGATCTGATGGTTTTATCAGGGGTTTCTGCTTTTGCATCTTCCTCTTTTTCTCTTGCCACCACCATGTAAGAAATGCCTTTTGCTTCCCTCCATGATCCTGAGGCCTCCCCAGCCATGTGGAACTGTAAGTCCAATTAAACTTCTTTTTCTTCCCAGTCTTTTGTATGTCTTTATCAATAGCATGAAAATGGACTAATACAATGAGGTTTTATCATGTTGGTCAGGCTGGTCTTGAACTCCTGACCTCAGGTGATCCACCTGCCTTGGCCTCCCAACGTGCTGGGGTTACAGGTGTGAGCCTACTATGCCTAGCCATCACATAATTGCTTTTTAAAGACAAATTTGGAACCTATTACATAAGTTGGCGATGCAGTATTTAAATTTATTCTTTCCTCTCCTATTTTCATTTATTTTTTATTCTTTAAGTTCCTTTTTGTACACATTTATTTGCTGCTGAAAATTGAAATAGAACATTGAAATTTCCTTTTATTACAATTCAAATTTTTGAAAAACTAGGAAATCTAATTATCTGTTCTAATAATTATGCTCTAGCCAAACTGCCCAATGTTTTCTTTTTTAAAACTTATTTTTAATTTCTTTAAATTTTATTTTTTTGTAGAGATGGAGTCTTGCTATGTTGCCCAGGCTAGGGTCTTGATATCCTGGGCTCAAACAATCCTCCTGCCTTGGCTTCCCAAAGTGCGTGGATTATAGGTGTGAGCCACTGCACCCGGCCTTATTTTTACCTTTAAAATAACTATTCTGCTATATCTAAGATACTGTAAAAACTTTGCTGAGGTTTTGCTGTGTTGCCTTTACTTCTTATAGTTATTTTATAAAATAGTTCAAGTAGATAAGTCATAATAAATATCAGTTTTAGTTAGAGAAGGCATGCCTACAAGGAAGAGAGTTAGTAGATAGGAAAATGGAAGCCAGATGATTCTCCCCCCAACTTGGATTATCAAACAAATCTGTATTTCCTTTTATGTTTCTCATCTTATTGATGATCACTTGTTCTTTGCAGAAATTTCAATTAACCTTAACTTGTCTTTTCTTCCTTATTCCCATAAGTAGTCTTTCACTAAATAGCCTTTTAATTGAACCTTAATTCAGACCCCAGGTATCTCTTTCTAGGATTATTGTAACACCCTTCAAAACTGTTCTTGTTCTCTGCCAGTCATTCTATACCTCCATATATTTTCCCACATGATATTTATACTTATCTTTCTAAAACACAAATCTTATCATGTATGGCATGACCTCTGATGCTCTAACTCATCCTACACTTCGTTTACTGTCTCTCACATGGCTAATCTTGCCTTTACATACCTCTGTGTTTTTTCTCTCAACTGTTCTCTCTGCTTGGGTCCTTTTCTTCTTGGTCTGTCATCATCATGCTCGTTACCTTTTTTTTTTTTTTGAGACGGAGTCTCGCTCTGTTGCCCAGTCTGGAGTGCAGTGGTGTAGTCTCGGCTCACTGCAACCCCTGCCTCCCGAGTTCAAGCGATTTTCTAGCCTCAGCCTCACGAGTAGCTGGGCCTACAGGCGCACGCTACTGTGTCCAGCTAATTTTTGTATTTTTAGTAGAGACTGGGTTTCGCCATGTTGGCTAGGCTGGTCTCGAACTCCTGACCTCAGTGATTGTACCTGCCTTGGCCTCCCAAAGTGCTGTGATTACAGGCATGAGCCACTGCGCCCAGCCTTGTTACTTTTAAGACATAGCTTACATGTTATTTTCTCTGAGAATCCTTTGCCTCACTCTGAGACAGACTTTATTCCTCCTCCATTCTACCACAGAACTTTGTTCATAACTTACTATAGCATTTACCTTGTTCAAATTATGTGTTTATATATATTTCTCTCATTAGATCATGAGCTTGAAGGCAGAGATTACATCTTTGTCATCTTAAAAGTCAGGTTTATTAAGGTATGATTTACATAGAATAAAATTCACCCTTTTGAGTTGTGTAGATTGATGTATACGGTCATATAACAACCATCACATTTGGTATATGAGATATTTCCCCCACCTCAAAAAGTTCCCTTTTACCCCTTTGTAGTCATTTCTCTCTTCCCCATCCCTATCCCCTGGCAACCACTGATCTAATTTCTGTCCCTGTCACTTTGTTTTCCAGAATGTTGAATAAAAATGGAATCATGTAGCAAGTAGCCTTTCGTGACTAGCTTCTTGTACTCAGCAAATTGCATTTGAGATTCCTCTATGTCGTTGCATAATTAAGTTGCTTGTTTCTTTTTTAATTTTTGCTGAGAAGTATTCTATTCTATGGATGTAATTACAATTTGTTTATCCAGTTACTTTGGGTAAGTTGCCCCAAACCTTTGCCTATAGGCCTTTGGTGGACATGTTTTCCTTTCTCCTGGGTGAATACTGAAGAGTGTGCTTGGTATGGTAAATGTATGTTTAACTTCATAAGAACTGTCAAACTGTTTTCCAAAGTGGCTGTAGCATGCTGCATTCCTACCAGTAATGTAGTTGCTGTAGTTGTTCTCCATCCTTGTCAGCACTTGGTATTATCAGTGTTTTAAATTTTAGTCATTCTAGTAAGTTTGTAGTGGTGTTTAATTGTGTTGTTGTTTCTTCTTCTTACGCTTCCTCTTCCTCCTCTTCATCCTCCTCTTCCTCCTCTTTTTCTTCTTCGTCTTCTTTTTTTTTTTTTTTTTGGAGACAGAGTCTCACTTTGTCACTCAGGTTGGAATGCTGTGGCACAATCTCAGCTCAGTGCAACCTCCCTGTCCGAGGTTCAGCGCCTCCCTGGTTCAGCGCTTCCCTGGTTCAAGTGATTCTTGTGCCTCTCAGCCTCCTGAGTAGCTAGGATTACAGGTGTGCACCACCATGCCCAGCTACTTTTTGTATTTTAGTAATAGACAGAGTTTTGCCGTGTTGGCCAGGCTGGTCTCAACTCCTGGCCTCAAGTGATCCGCCCACCTCGGCCACCTAAAATGCTGATATTATAGGCATGAGCTACTGTGCCTGGCCATGTGATAGGGTCTTGCTCTGTCACCCAGGCTGAAGTACACTGGTGTGATCCCAGTTCACTGTAGCCTCAACCTCCTGGGCTCAAGTGATCCTCCAACCTCAGCCTCCCAAGTAGCTGGGACTATAGGCACATGCCACCACACCTGGCTAATTCTTTTGTTTTGTTTTTTTTTGTAGAGACGGGGTTTTGTTGTCTTGCCTAGGCTGGTCTGAAACTCCTGGCCTCAAGCAGTTCTCCCACTTTGGTCTCCTAAAGTGCTGGGATTACAGGCATGAGTCACGATACCCAGCAAAATATTACTTTTAGATGCTTGCCTTAACACTGGAGTGTTGGAGTAATGTATTTGTACAGTGAACTTCAAATATGAGGATTATATGCTAAATTCTTCTGGATGATAAATATAGACTACCACGTTAAATATGTAATGACACTTTTTAGAACATTTTCTTAATCTATTCTAAGTTGTATGTTAAATTCAGGTTTAGGGAAGTTTTGATATGGATATGTATATGTGAATTTACATATATATGTAAATATATACACACACACAACTGGTTAACATCATGGCTGAAATGGGATTTCTCCTCTGGATTCTAATCCTCAAGATATCCACCCTTACAGTGTAGATTTCTAAATACAGTTCTATTTTTTCTTTCATTTTGCTTGAATATTTGTTATTGCATACTTCTATAAGAATATTTTACCTAGTGATATTTTCTGGAAATTGTATTTCTCTAATTAAAAAAAATTAAATTCTAATTAAAAATTTTTTTTCATAGAGATGGGGGTCTTGCTATGTTGCCCAGGCTGGTCTCGAACTCCTGGCCTTAAGCCATTATCCCACCTTAGCCTTCCAAAGTTCTGTGATTACAGGCATGAGCCACCATGCATGCCTGGCTTATTTCTCTGATTGTTTCTTTTGTATATTAGTGCCAAAAAGGTTTTTTTTTTTACCCCCTTTACCAGTCATTGTCTTCCTTTTTTATTTCCTTCTTTCTTTCTTTGGCTGTGGGTCTCAGTTCAGCTCCTATATGATCTTGAGGAAGATTAAGTTTACCCTCTTGATTCTTAATTTTCTTTTATGTAAAATTGGGCTGATTCTATCTCATAGAGTTCTTTTTTTTGAGATGGAGTCTCGCTCTGTCGCCCGGGCTGGAGTGCAGTGGCGTGATCTCGGCTCACTGCAGCCTGTGCCTTCCGGGTTCAAGCGATTCTCTCACCTCAGCCTCCTGAGTAGCTGGGACTACAGGTGTGTGTCACCATGCCTGGCTACTTTTTGTATTTTTAGTAGAGTCGAGGTTTCACCATATTGGCCAGGCTGGTCTCGAACACCTGACCTCGTGATCTGCCTGCCTCGGCCTCCCAAAGTGCTGGGATTACAGGTGTGAACCACCATGCCTGGCCACAGAGTTCTTATATATTAAAACACCTACTTGGGGGCTGTGGCTCGCACCTGTAATTTCAGCTCTTTGGGAGGCCGTGGTGGGTGGATCACTTCAGATCGGGAGTTTGAGACCAGCCTGGCCAACATGGCGAAACCCCATCTCTACTAACAATACAGAAATTAGTGAGGCGGGGTGGTGGTGCGTGCCTGTAGTCCTAGCTACTTGGGAGGCTGAGGCAGGAGAATTGCTTAAACCCTGGAGGCAGAGGTTCCAGTGATCCCAGATTGTGCCATTGTACTCCAGCCTGGGTGACAGAGTGAGACTCTGTCTCAAAACAAAAAAACAACAACAAAAAAACAAACACTTTATAGGCACTTAATTAATGATAATTACCGTGTCCCCCCCACCCCCAATTTATAAACAGCCAATAAAAACTCATTTTGGTGAGTTTGATATACTGTTCATAAAATCTGATGGCTGGGCACGGTGGTTCACACCTGTAATCCCAGCACTTTGGGAGGCCCAGGTGGGTGGATCACAAGGTCAAGAGATCGAGACCATCCTGGCCAACATGGGAAAACCCTGTCTCTACTGAAAATACAAAAATTAGCTGGGCATGGTGGTACGCAGCTGTAGTTCCAGCTACTCGGGAGACTGAGGCAAGAGAATAGCTTGAACCCGGGAGACAGAGGTTGCAGTGAGCCGAGATTGCACCACTGCACTCCAGCCTGGTGACAGAGCGAGACTGTGTCTCAAAAAAAAAAAATTTGATATTCTGTTTCTCATAGAAAATTTTAGACATACACAAAAGCGAAAAGAAAACCTATGAACTCATCAGCCAGCTTTAATCATTATCAACATTCTTGCATTTTTTCATATGTCATTTTAACTAATGACATCATGGCCTCTATATGTTTGTTTTCTTTGCCTCTCTGTGATTTGTTTCTTGGAATTATTATACTTTAATTAAGGTTACAAAACTTTGGGGAACAATTTTCTAGGAACTTAAAGTCTGCTGCCAAAGTTTATATGAAATTGATGAAATAATATCCATGGTGTGTTGAATGTAGTAGTACCATGCTCAATAATGGGATCCAGTGTGTCCTGTACTGTTCTATTTTGAGGGTGCTGGCAATTTGATTCTTTATCCCTTCAAATAATTTTGAATAATTTTGGATTTAAAATTGCCTGAGGTCACCATGGGTTTATACATAGGGTTTGACTTTATTATTTTTTTCTTGTGTATTTGAGATAGAAGTCTAATAATCTATGATGATGGATGCTGATTTGGGTTTGATATTATAAGAAGAGTTTTCAATAAGGCGAATGCACTTTTTTTTTTTTTTTTTTGAGACGGAGTCTTGCTCTGTCACCCAGGCTGTAGTGAAGTTGTGTGATCTCTGCTAACTGCAACCTCTGCCTCCTGGGTTCAAGCGATTCTCCTGCCTCAGCCTCCTGGGTAGCTGGTATTACAGCCGCTCACCAGGACACCCGGCAATTTTTTGTATTTTTAGTAGAGACAGGGTTTCCCCATGTTGGCCAGGCTGGTCTCGAGCTCCTGACCTCAGGTGATCTGCCTGCCTCGGCCTCTCACAGTGCTGGGATTACAGGTGTGAGCCACCGCGCCTGGCCTGTTTTTTTTTTTGGATACAGAGACTCACTCTGTCGCCCAGGCTGGAGTGCAGTGGTGCGATCTCAGCTCACTGCCACCTCTGTCTCCCAGGTTCAAGCGATTCTCCTGTCTCAGCCTGCAGAGTAGCTGGGATTACAGGTGCCTGCCACCATGCCTGGCTAATTTTTGTGTTTTTAGTAGAGACGGGGTTTTGCCATGTTGGCCCAGCTGTTTTCGAGCTCCTGACTGGACTAAGTGGTCTGCCCGCCTCAGTCCCCCAAAGTGCTGGGATTACAGGTGAGCCACCACATCTGGCCTGAATGAACTTGCTGACTGGCACTTTTATCCTTTCTAGTAGAGATTTATATGCATACTTCTGTAAGTACCTTATTTTCAGTAACCTTTAAGGCATTAGCACAATTTCTTCAGTACTTACTGTATTGGCTTTGAGAAAGACTTGATGTATTTTTGTTTTGCTCTTGTCATTACTGGAGTAGGAGTAAAATATTCTTAATTGCAAATCAAAGTCTGTTTACAATCCTGGGAGCTTTTAATCATTGGGACCACTGTGTAATTTAAGTTCTTATTTCTAGCTGGAAATGCCAATTAATTGGTTATAGATGAGGAAAACCCTTCTTATGTAAATCTGAAGACATGAAAACTTGATATGGAACAAAACTTTAAGAATGATTTTGCCTGAGACATGTCAAATTTTGACTCTAATGAGGCTGTTTTCAGCTAGCTTCTCTACTCCCTGGCCCCAGAGGGTATATTGTTGGTCGAATGGAATATCCTATGATTTTTTTCTGTTCTTTAGCAGAAGGTGGAAGTTTCCACAGATTCCCTTTCTCTCCTTTCACCTATCGCACGAGTATCATTTTCTTTACTGCCTTCCCCCTCACTTCCTTGCCCCTTGGGCTGTTGCTTTTCCTTGGGATCTGTATTCTGTTCTTCTGCAGTTAGAAGCTTCCTTGGCATCCTGTGTCAAGTAAAAAGGCCTGTAAAATCTTTGTTTTCAGTCACCACAACATGAGTAGATCTCTGTTTTGTTTTTATGGTACGTTTGCTACCCTTTATGGAATGACAAAAATTAGCATGATGGCTTTGATTTGTGTATTGGAGATTTCAGTGATTGGTTTGGAAACAGTTGGGATAGCAGTCTACTTCCTTCCCTTTATTTTAACCATCTTACCAGATTGACAGATTTTGTCAGATTTGTCTACATTCTGTTTCAGACCATGTTTTAGCATCCTCTGATGGTTAAGAAGGAGGCCAAAAGTTGACCAAGTCTGTAGTACCTCAGGTCTATGTACCTCAGGTCTATGTACATATTCTCATAAGGAGCAAGCAACCCAGATCCCTCCTTTGTGCTCCTATGAGAATCTAATGCTACCACTGATCTGACAGGAGGTGAAGCTCAGGTGGTAATGCTCGCTTGCCTGCCGTTCATCTCCCGCTGAGGTGGAACAGTTTCATCTTGAAACCATCCACCCACCTCTGACCCCCGTTCTGTGGAAAAATTGTCTTTTGTGAAACTGGTCCCTAGTGCCATAAAGGTTGGGGACTGCTATTTTAATGTATAATTTTCAGATTCTGATGACCTGAAAGCACCCTTAACAGACTATGTTCAATTCTACATTGTAAATTATTTAGGTGAATTTGCCTGTGTGACTGTAAAAAATGTACTTTTAAGGAGTTCAAGACCAGCCTGGTCAACAAAGTGAGACCCCCATCTCTACCAAAAAAAAAGCACTTTTATACATTTAAAATGTTTTAGTTATAATATGTATTAAATATACTGGGAAAAATTTAATGTTGATTTAAAATTAGAGTAGTAGGATAGTAAAGAATCATTTGGATTTTTAACTATCATTCTTAGGTATTTTATTTTTTCCTCCTAACAACATGATATAAAAATATGACCATTAAAAACGTGCAATTCAACTGGGCGCGGTGGCTCACGCCTGTAATCCCAGCACTTTGGGAGGCCGAGGCGGGCGGATCACGAGGTCAGGAGATCAAGACTATCCTGGCTAACACGATGAAATCCCGTCTCTAATAAAAATATAAAAAATTAGCTGGGTGTGGTGGTGGGTGCCTGTAGTCCTGGCTACTCGGGAGGCTGAGGCAGGAGAACGGCGTGAACCCGGGAGGCGGAACTTGCAGTGAGCCGAGATGGTGCCACTGCACTCCAGCCTGGGCAATAGAGCGAGACTCCATCTCAATTAAAAAAAAAAAAACTATATATTAAAAAAAAGTGCAATTCTAGATTTCAACCTGTATTTATTAAATTTTTATCTTGGCTAAAATGCTAAATACAAAAACTTTACAGTACAATTTACATAGACTGAACTAACATAAAATAGTTATTTTGATTTTACTAGTTCCATGGTGGAACTTTTCTCATAGGTCTTATTTTAGAAGGGAACATGAGCTTTTGTTTTATTTTTTAATTTAAAATATAAGCTTTTTTTTTTTTTTTGAGATGGAGTCTAGCTCTGTCACCCAGGCTGGAGTGCAGTGATGCGATCTTGGCTCACTGCAACCTCCACCCCCAGGTTCAAGTGATTCTCCTGCCTCAGCTTCTCGAGTAGCTGGGATTACAGGCGCCTGTCACCATGCCTGGTTAATTTTTTGTATTTTTAGTAGAGACGGGGTTTCGCCATGTTGGCCAGGCTGGTCTTGAACTCCCTACCTTAGGTGATCCACCCGCCTTGGCCTCCCAAAGTACTGGGATTACGGGCATGAGCCACCGTGCTTTTTAAGACTTATTTAAAAATGCTTAATTACTTTCTTAAGAGTTAGATAGCTAGATAGACAAATTTGAGTGTTAGAGAATTGCTGCTAGGAAGAACAGTTTTGTGATATGTATGTTTTTTTTAAGCCATCACTTTTATAATTCCATTTACTTTTTTCCTTTCCTTTGCTACCTCAGCCTTTCTCCTTCCTTAAGGTGTGAATACGTTATAATAAAACCCAAATGCGTCTCTGTTTGTCTGTCTCTCATTCTGTTACAGACACACACACAAATTTATTTGGAAAGTCAAGGCACAGTAAAGAAGGAAATGTACATGTTAGCACATGAAGAAAGGTTAGTGATAAGAATGAAGACTTGTAGCAGATTACCTTTTAAATCTTTTATTGACAGATGGCATGTCAATTAAGAAATTATATGTATTTATTTTGGAATATTAGATATGCTATCAAATCCTAAAGTTCTTTTTTTTTTTGAGACGGACTTTCGCTCTTGTTGCCCAGGCTGGAGTGCAATGGCGCAATCTCCACTCACCACAACCTCCGCCTTCCGGGTTCAAGCAATTCTCCTGTCTCAGCCTCCAGAGTAGCTGGAATTACAGGCATGCACCACCATGCCCGGCTAATTTTGTATTTTTAGTAGAGATGGGGTTTCTCCATGTTGAGGCTGGTCTCGAACTCCTGACCTCAGGTGATCCGCCCGCCTTGGCCTCCCAAAGTGCTGGGATTACAGGCGTGGGCCACTGCGCCCAGCCCTAAAGTTCTGTAGATCGCAAAAATTTTCTTATGTTTGGTTTATTTTTCTTTCTGATTGGATTTTAACAGGTTGAATGAAATTAGCTAGTTTTATTGGCAGGCCGTAGTGTGGTTCTTTGTGGTTTACTACCCTTATCTTCTTATTCAGAAAGATTTGAACTAACTGCCCTTGAGCTGTTGGAGTTGGGGGTGGGCAGTAGAGGAAATTGGGCTTGTGGCTTGAATCAAGTGCCTTCAGAGGTTGGAAACAGCCTGGCATCATAGGAACTGAATAAATATTTGTTAAATAAATGAATAAATGAATGCATACATGAATAAAAACATCCCAGAAGTATTTCTGGTAGAAAGGTGAGTATGACCATACAACTCTTCTTTTACATGTAAGTATCTTGAGAGTTCAGATGGTAACTGGTCTCTAATTCTTACCTTATCAGCCATTGTAGTTTTTTTTTTTTTTTAAGACGGAGTACTCGCCAGCCTGGCGTGGTGGCTCACACCTGTAATCCCAGCAGTTTGGGAGGCTGAGGCAGGCGGATCACCTGAGGACAGGAGTTCGAGACCAGCCTGGCCAACATGGTGAAACCCTTTATCTACTAAAAAATACAAAAAGTTAGCCAGGTATGGTGGCGGGCACCTGTAATCCCAGCTACTCGGGAGGCTGAGGCAGGAGAATCACTTGAACCCAGAGGCAGAGGTTGCAGTGAGCTGAGATCGTGCCACTGCACTACAGCCTAGGTGACAGAGCGAGACTCCATCTCAAAAAAAAAAAAAAAAAAAAAAGAGTGCTTGCTTCATCACCCAGGCTGGCTTGCAGTGGCATGAACACAGCTCACTGCAGCCTCAACCTCCTGGGGTCAAGCATTCCTTCTGCCTCAACTTCCTCAGTAACTGGGACTACAGGCATGTTCCATCATACCTGGCTAATTTTTGATTTTTTGTAGAGATGGTTTTTGCCATGTTGCCCAGGCCAGTCTTGAACTTCTGGCTTCAAGTGTTCCGCTTGCCTCAGCCTCCCAAATGCTGGGACTACAGGTATGAGCCACTGCACCTGGCTAAAAACTTCACTTTTCTAATCTCTTATTTAATTTTGTGGTAGAAATATTTGAGTTTTATAATGTTGTTTTTTCTTTTTCTTTTTGTTTTTTTCTTTGAGACAGGGTCTTGCTCTGTTGCCCAGGCTGGAGTACAGTGGCACAGTCACTGCTTACTGCAACCTTGACCTCCTGGGCTCAGGTGATCAGAAAGTTTTAAAGTGGAAAAATCATCAGACTGGATAATTCCTAGGAAATAATTTGGTATACAGTTTTCTTCTCCCACTTTCCAGTTCTGCACCTTTTGTGTAAATCCATAGATCACAGTGTAGGTTTTCAGATGGTTGTCCCAGCTCAGTGAATTTATGGCTAAATTTGTTCCATTACATTCATAGTCTCCTGATTCACTTGGTTAAACTGATAAGCATTGCCCTACATTCTGTGGCTTCTTTGTTTACTTGTTGTCCTCTGTTGTTACTTGACCCATCTTAGTAATCTTCCTTTAATTCCTTCCAGAAGGGGAAATGTGGTGGTAAAAAATGCAAATTACAAGAGAAACTGGTATTTTTTATTCTATGGGTGTTTTTTTTTTTTTTGGCAAATACAAATGAAACAAAATTAAAAAATCTCTGATAATCCTAGCATTCATTTTCCTAGCATTACAGGGAGTTTACTGACAGTTGAATTGTCTTCTTACTGTATTTAAATCCCATATTTACTGTAACCTTACATTGTTTCCTTTTGTTACACATTTTATTTTGGATGATCACCTATTAAATAATTTAGTAGTTTTTAGTTCCCTCTAAACCTAGTTTTCAAGGGGCATTTTAGTTTTTGAAGCTTTAAAGCCCATTTAAAACATTACATATTTTAATAGCTATATATTGATTTCCTCACAATGTACGTAAGTACTTTTAAAATTATAATTAAGCACATTTATTATAGAATGAGACTTAAGGAACAATTAATAACTGAAGTCCCAATTACTTGAAGACCAGATCGATCATACTACTGTCTCTCATCTCTAAGTAGCCTTAATCTAGTGTGTATGGTGGGTCTTCTATTTTTCTAGTTAGTTGGATGAAGAAAACTTGATGTGTTTTGGCCTGTACATTTATTATTTTTCATTGACTCCATAAGATGCTATTGTAAGATGCATCATTTTTTGTACAACTAAGAAACAGAAAACATTATTTATTAAACTATGAAACAGGTTACTTTTTTTTTTTTTTTTTTGAGATGGAGTCTTGCTCTGTCTCCCTGGCTGGAGTGCAGTGGCATGATCTCAGCTCCCTGCAACCTCCGCCTCCCGGGTTCACACCGTTCTCCTGCCTCAGCCTCCCAAGTAGCTGGGACTACAGGCACCCGCCACCACCACGCCCGGCTAATTTTTTGTATTTTTAGTAGACACAGGGTTTCGCCGTGTTAGCCAGGATGGTCTTGATCTCCTGACCTCGTGATCCACCTGCCTCGGCCTCCCAAAGTGCTGGGATTACAGGTGTGAGCCACCGTGTCCGGCCCCCAATGTGTGTTCTTGGCACCTTTGTTGGAATTGAGTTCACTGTAGTTGTATGGATTTGTTTCTGAGTTGTCTGTTCTGTTCTTCTGGTCTGTGTGTCTGTTTTTGTGCTAGTACCATGCTGTTTTGGTTACTATAGCTGTGTGGTATAAATTGAAGTCAGATAGTGTGATTCTTCCAGTTTTGTTCTTTTGCTCAGGATAGCTTTGGCTATTCTGGGTCTTTTGTGGTTCCATATAAATTTTATAATTTTTTTTTTTTTTTTTTTTGAGACAGTCTCACTCCGTCGCCGAGGCTGGAGTGCAATGGTGTGATCTCAGCTCACCACAACCTCCACTTCCCAGGTTCAGGCGATTCTCCCACCTCAGCCTCCAGAGTAGCTGGGACTACAGGTGCATGCCAGCACACCTGGCTAATTTTTTGTATTTTTAGTAGAGACAAGGTTTCACTATGTTGGCCAGGCTGGTCTCGAACTTCGGACCTTGTGATCTGCCCACCGCGGCCTCCCAAAGTGCTGGGATTACAGGCGTGAGCCACTGCGCCGAGCTAATGTTTTTTTTTTTTTTAATTTCTCTGAAGAATGTCATTAGTATTTTGATAGGGATTGCATTGAATCTGTAGATTGCTTTGGGTACTATGGACATTTTAACAGTATTGATTCTTGCAATCCGTGAACATGGAATATCTTTCCATTTTTTGGTGTCCTCTTCACTTTTTTTCACCAGTATTTTATTGTTTTCATTGTAGAGATCTTTTAATTCTTTGGTTAATTCCTAGGTATTTATTTGTAGCTATTTTAAATAGGATTACTTTTTTTCATTTCATGTTCAGATTGTTTGCTGTTGGCATATAGAAATGCTACTGATATTCAAATGTTGATTTTGTATTCTACAACTTTACTGAATTAATCACTTCTAATAGTTTTTTGGTGGACTCTCTAGGTTTTTCCAAATATAAGATCATATCATATGCAAACAAGGGAAATTTAACTTCTTCCTTTCCAATTTGGATTCCCCTTCCCCTTCCCCTTCCTTTTCTCTCCGAATTTCACTCTGTCACCCAAGTGCAGTGGCGTGATCTCGTCTCACTGCAACCTCCGCCTCCCAGGTTCAAGCGATTCTCCTGCCTCAGCCCCCTCTCCCCTGGGCAGCTGGGACCACAGGCAAGTGCCACCACTCTTTATTTCTTTCTCTTGTCTGATTGCTCTAGCTATGGCTTCCAGTACTATGTTTAATAACAGTGGTGATAGTGGGCATCTTTGTTGTGTTCCAGATCTAGAGGAAAGACTTTCAGTTTTTCCCCCATCAGTATGATACTATCTGTGGTTGTCATATATGGCTTTTATTATGTTGAGGTATGCCTCTTCTCTCCCTAGTTTTTTGAGGGTTTTTTTTGTCACGGTGAGACATTGAATTTTGTCAAATGCTTTTTCAGCATCAGTTGAAATGATCTTGTTGTTTTTGTTCTCCATTCTGTTAATATGATGTATCATATTGATTGATTTGCATATGTTGAACCATCTTTGCATCCCTGGGATAAATCTCACTTGGTCATGATAAATGATCTTTTTCATGTGTTGTTAAATTCAGCTTGCTATTATAGTATTTTGTTGAGGATTTTCATGTGAATATTCATCAGAGATAGTGGTGTACAGTTTTCCTTTTTTTGATATGTCTTTGTCTCTTTTGGTATCAGGGTAATACTGGCCATGTTGAATGAGTTTGGAAGTATTCCCTCCCCTATTTTTCGGAATAATTTGAGTAGGATTGGTATTAGTTCTTCAAATGTTTGTTAGAATCCAGCAGTAAAGCCATCAGGTCCTGGACTTTTCTTTACTGTGAGACACTTTATTATGGCTTCAATCTCATTACTTGTTATTGGTCTGTTTAGACTTTGGATTTCTTCCTGGTTCAATATTGGTAGGTTGTATGTTTTCTGATTTGAGGTTACCATGAAGCTTGCAAATACTATCTTATAACTTATTATTTTAAACTGGTGACAGTTTAACACTGATTGCTTAAACAAAGAAGCAAAAAGAAAACTAATAAAAGCTCTACACTTTACCTTTATCTCCCTGCTTTTTAACTTTTTGTTGTTTCTGTTTATATTTTATTGTAGTGTCTGTGTTCATCTTTTAGTCATTCTACTTAAGAGTAATTTATATGCCCAAGTTATGGTGTTATTGTGTTTTTCTGTATGCTTACTGTTGCCAATTAATTTTGTACTTTCAGATGATTTCTTTTCTTGTTGCTTACTAACATCTGTTTCTTTTTGATTGAGGAACTAACTTCCTTTAGCATTTCTTGTAGGACAGGTATGGTGATGAAACACCTCAGCTTTTGTTTGTCTTGGAAGTCTTAATTTCTTCTTCATGTTTGAAGGATATTTTCACTGGATATAATATTCTAGGGTAAGAGTTTTTTTCCGTCTGCACCTTAAATATATTCATGCCACTCTCATGTGGCTTTAAGGTTTCCACTGAAAAGTCAGCTGCCGGATGTATTGGAGCTCCATTGTACGTTATTTGTTTCTTTTCTCCTGCCCCTTTTAGGATCCTTTCCTTATTATTGATCTTTGGGAGTTTGATTATTAAATGCCTTGAGGTAGTCTTTGGGTTAAATCTGCTTGGTGTTCTGTATCCTTCTTGTACTTGAGTATTGATATCTTTCTCTAGGTTTGCAAAGTTCTCTGTTATTATCCCTTTGAATAGACTTTCTACCCCTATTTCTTTCTCCACTTCCTCTTTAAGGACAATAACTCTCAGATTTGTCCTTTTGAGGCTGTTTTCTAGATCTTGTAGGCATGCTTCATTCTTTTGTATTCTTTTCTTTGTTTTTGTCTCCTCTAAGTGTGTATTTTCAAATAGGCTGTCTTCAAGCTTACTAATTCTTTCTTCTGTTTGATCAATTCTGTTAAGAGACTCTGATGCATTCTTTAATATATCAGTTTCATTTTTCAATTCTCAAATTTCTGCTTGATTCTTTTTTAATATTTCATCTTTTTTGTTAAATTTATCCGATAGAATTCTGAATTCCTTCTTTGTGTTATCTTCAATTTCTTTGAGTTTCCTCAAAATAGCTATTTTGAATTCTGTGCCTAAAAGGCCACATATCTCTGTTTCTCCAGGATTGGTCTCTGGTTCTTTATGTAGTTTTTTGGTGAGGTCATGTTTTCCTAGGAAGTGTTGATGCTTGTGGATGTTTGTCAGTGTCTGGACTGTTATTATAGTCTTCACAGTCTGGGCTTATTTGTGCCCATCTGTCTTGGGAAGGCTTTCCAGGTATTTGAAGGGACTGGCTATTGTGATCTAAGCTGTATCTGGATTAGGGGGCATCCCAAGCCCATAATGCTTTGGTTCTTGTAGACTCATAGAGGTACTGCCTTGGTGGTCTTGGATAAGATCTGGAAGAATTCTGTTGGTTACCAGGTGGAGACTCTTGTTTTCTTCCATTACTTTGTCCCAAACAAATGGTATGTTGCTCTCTCTCTCTCTGTGCTGAACCACCTGGAGCTGGGTGTAGGGAGACACAAGCACCTATGTGGCCACCACCATTGGGACTGTGCTGGGTCAGATCTGAAGCCAGCACAGCACTGGGTCTCACCCAAGGCCTGCTATAACCACTACCTGGCTACTCTCTATATTCACTCAAGGCCCTAGGGCTCTACCATCAGCAGTTGGCGAAGCCAGTAAGGCTTATGTCCTTCCCTTCAGGGTAGCGTGTTTCCTGAGGCCCTTGGCAGGTCTAGAGAGGCCATCCAGGAGCCAAGGAGTGGAATAAAAACTCTTAGAAATCTGACTGGTGCTCTATTCTGTGGCTAAGATGTTGCTCAAAGTCTTTCCCACTCTTCCCTCCTGTTTACATAGGTAGAGGAGCATCTCCCACTAGCCACCACCACCACAGACCCATGGGGAATACTGCCAGGTTACTGCCAATGTTCGCTTAAGGCCCAAGGACTCTTCAGTTAGCTTGTGGTGAATGCTTCCAGGCCTGGGACTCACCCTTTTGGGCAGCAGGCTCTCTTCTGGCCCAGGGCATGTCCAGAAATGCTGTCCAAGAGCCAAAGCCTAGAATCGGGGATCTCAGGAGCCCTTTTGGTGCTTTACACCACTGTGTCCGAGGTGATTCCTGAAGCCGGCACGTTTCAGAGTCTCACCCAAGGCCCATGGCTTACTACTTGGATGTTGCTTCTGGTTCTGCAGGGTCCAAGGGCTCTTTAGTCAGCAAGTAATCAATCCTGCCAGGATTGGGTCATTCCCTTCAAGGCAGCGGGTTCCCTTCTGGCCCAGCGTGTGTGTATATATGTTGCCCGAGCTACGACCTGGAATGGGGTCCTCATGACTGAGCTGGGACCTGGAATGGGGTCCTCATGACTGCCTGGTTTCCTATTCGATTGTGGCTGAGCTAGTATCCAAGATGCAAGACAAAGTCCTTTTAACTTTTCACTCTCCTCTCCTCAAGCTGATGGAAGGAGTCACTTTTGTTGTTGCAAGCTGCGCTGCCAGGGGTTGGAGAGGAGTGGCGCAAGTACTTCCTTAGCTGCCCCAGCTGGGGTCTTACCAGGTCACATGCCCCTCATGTTCAGAGCCAGTGGACTCAGAGCACAGTGCTAGGACTTGCCTAGGAATTTCAGTCCTTGTGGCCTAGACTGCCCTTCAAGTTTATTTAGAGGCCCCAAGCACTTTAAGCCACGGTGGTGAGGCTTGTCAATACTGTTTCCAGCCACTGGGATGTGCAGTTCTCTTCTGGCTAGGGCTGGTCTTAATACTCTCTCTGTAGGTGGACGTTGGCTAATTTTAGTCTTGTTCTGCTTTCCGCTGTGACAGGGCAGCACTGTTCAATGCAGGATCCCACAGTCGCTGCACTCTCCCACTCCCAGGCGCGTAGGTGCTCCATGACACACAGCTGCTTTTGGGGGGAATAGCAATTCAAGACTGTCTTGCTTACCTTCTTCAGTGCCCCTTTCTGTGATACGAAGTGATTGCTCACCTTATTTTTGGTTTTTATGAAGGTGCTTTTTTGTGGACATGGTTGTTAAATTTGTTGTTTCTGTCGCGGCGATGATCGGTGAAGGCTTGTATTTGGCCATCTTTCTCTGTCCTCTAATTTCTTTTAAAAAATAACTTAATAAAGATTAGTAACATATATAACATATTAGATTAAATAACAGATTAGTATTCAGTAACCCATATATAATTTATACGTTAATATATCTGTGATCTGACTACTTAATTTTTTGCCAGTAGGAGTATGTAATCAACTGTTTGGAAATCATTTATCCAGAGGATGAATTACTTCTTTTGTGCTATTTGAGCTCTGCATCATTAGTGAAATGTATTTGTTTGGGGGACAGCTCTTCTGTTAGCTTGTATGACGTGTGAGTTTATGGTGAGGCTATATTAGAAGTAATTTATATATTTCAACAAATTTGTCTAGTCAGTCAAATATTTTTCTGCCTCAGTCTCTTTCTACTCTCCTTTTTGTTCTTTTTTTTTTTTTTTTTTTCAAGACGGAGTTTCACTCTGTCACCCAAGCTGGAGTGCAGTGGCACAATCTTGGCTCACTGCAACCTCTGCCTCCCAGGTTCAGACGATTCTCCTGCCTCAGCCTTCTGAGTAGCTGGGATTACAGGTGTGTGCTGCCACGCCCAGCTAAGTTTTTATTTTATTTTTTTAATTTTTAATAGAGATGGGGTTTCACTATGTTGGCCAGGCTGGTCTCAAACTCCTTACATCAAGTGATCTGCCCACCTTGGCCTCCCAAAGTGTTGGGATTACAGGCGTGAGCCACTGCGCCCGGCCTCTACTCTCCTTTTTGGAACTCCAGTGACATGTATGTTAGACTTTTGGATACTGTCCCATATTTCCATTAGATTATTCATTTTTTTCAATCTTACCTCTTTCTTTGTTTTTCAGGTTAAATAATTTATATTGATTTATTTTTATATTCATTGATTATTTTTTCTGTCATCTCCATTCTGCTAATGTGCCCATCTAGGCTTAATAGGTTTTTACTTCTTAAATAATTTCTTAATAGATTTTTTACTTCTCAGTTTTCTCCATTGAATACTTCTATTCTGTCTTTCCATTCATTTCATTTTTCTTTACCTTTTCTTTTTTGTTTTCTTTCTTTCTTTTTTTTTTTTTTGAGATAGAGTCTCACAGTCTCACTCTGTCACTTAGGCTGAAGTGCAGTGGTGCGATCTGGGCTCACTGCAACCTCCGTCTCCCGGGTTCAAGGGATTCTCCTGCCTCAGCCTCCTGAGTAGCTGGAATTACAGGCATGCACCACCACACCCAGCTAATTTTTGTATTTTTAAGATGGGGTTTCACCACGTTGGCCAGGCTGGTCTCTAACTCTTGGCCTCAAGTGATCCCACCCGCCTTGGCTTCTCAAAATGTTGGGATTACAGGCGTGAGCCACTGTGCCTGGCTACTTTACCTTTATCTTTACCTCCTGAAGCATAGTTATAATATTAATAGCTGCTTTAAACTCTTTCCATGGTAATTCCAACATCTGATTAGTAGAGATTTGTTTTTATCTGTTTATTGTTGTTTCTCTTGAAATTCATAGTTTTTTGATTTTTTGTATGCCAAGTAATTTCTGGATTGTATTCCTGATTTTGTGAAAGTTATGTTGGTAGACTCTGAGCTGTGTTATATTTCTTGGAGAAGGCTGATTTATTTTGTTTGTTTAGCAGGCAATCAACCTTTATTAGGGTCAGACCACAAGTTTTGGCCTGCTTTCTATATGTAGTGGTTTCAATATCAGTTCAGTTTTCAAAAGCTTTGCCTTGCTTTTTTTTTGGGTTTGTCCTGTGTATATGCCACTCAGGGGCTAGTCTGAGATTTGAGTTCGATTCTCAAAGCTTTTACTTTTCTGGTTTGGGTCTGTCATATGCTTTGCACAGGGATGAGTCTTGTATTGGTTCATAGAGAACTTTTCTTCTCTCCATGACTTTCCTACCCTCTCCTGCCTTTTTCCAGTTTGTCTGGCTTGAAAGACAAGGTTTCTGTCAGCACTGTAGCCAGCGCTTCTATTTATCTGCTATACAGTTCTTTCAAGGCAGACTCAAAGCTTGTTTTTAAATATTGCAATGGTAGATATAGTGTAGCCTTTATTCTAGTCCTTGTTTAGTTGTACAACTAAAGCTTAGTCCAAAGCCTTGGATGTTTGAGATCTTTCCACTTTGAATAGAATTCAGACTTCTCTCAGCCCTGTGTGACCTGTAGAATTTTTCAGCTTACAACAATCTCGGTAGTTGTTCTTCTCTTGATGGTGTTCTGATTCTCACCCAATGCCCATGCAGTTTAGTATTCATCCAAATACTCAAAGGGACCACTACTAAGATTTCTAGAGCAATTTCTCAGGTAACCTTCTTCTCTGGTACTCTTCTCCTTGAATTCCAGCCATCTCATTCTCTCTGAACTCTGATCTGTGTCTCTTCAACTCATTAGAATGATGGTTGTCTCAACTCAATGGTTTCATTGTCTCAAGGTGTCACTGAGTTGAGACCTTGTTTGTTTTTGTGCTTTCAGTGATCACAGTCCAAAGAATTGTTTTATGTATTTTGTTTAGTTTTCCACTTTATGGTGAGAGATTAAATCTGGTGTCCATTACCCTTTTATAGCCAGTGGCAGTACTTTGCATACCGTACTCATTGTTATTTTGCCTGCTGAACATGAATATTTTTGTGAATCAGCGAGTGCGTCTTATATTTGATCTTTTATGTAATAGCTGCTTGATTAATGTGTGTTGATAGATTCATTTGCAGTGATGCATTCTTGTGTTGTGCTCTTTTAAACTTTACTGCACTGCTGATGCTCAAGTTTCTTTTGCTTTTTACTTTTTGTGGAGACAGGGTCTCGCTATTTTGCCCAGGCTGGTCTTGAATTCCTGGGCTGAAGTGATCTTCTCGCTTCAGCCTCGTGAAGTGCTGGGGTTACAGGCACAAGCCACCATGTCTGGTCATGAGTTGGTTTCTTTAAACAGAATCAATAGCCTAACTGGCAAAAATCCACACAAGTTTTTATTTAGACATCCTTTTATCTTATATGTAATCACACAGTTATTAGAACAGAATTATTAGAAGATTTTACTCTATATTGTACACATTTGATTCTATACATTATGCCTCTTTTGAAATATTAATGTAGAACAAGATTGGACTTGATAACTAGACTGATTAATATCATTTAAAAAATTTTAATTTTAGGCCAAGCATGGTAGCTCACGCCTGTAATACCAGCACTTTGGGAGGCTGAGGCGGGCAGATCACCTGAGGTCGGGAGTTTGAGACCAGCCTGACCAATATGGAGAAACCCCGTCTCTACTAAAAATACAAAATTAGCTGGGCGTGGTGGCGCATGCCTGTAATCCCAGCTACTCGGGAGGCGGAGGCAGGAGAATTGCTTGAACCCAGGAGGCGGAGGTTGCAGTGAGCTGAGATCATGCCATTGCACTCCAGCCTGGGCAACAAGAGCAAAACTTTGTCTCCAAAAACAAACAAACAAACAAACAAACAAACAAACAGACAGACAAAATATTTAATTTTAAAAATAGAGACAGGGTCTCATTCTGTTGCCCAGGCTGGTCTTGAACTCCTGGCCTCAAGTGATCCTCCTTCCTTGGCTTCCCAAAGTGCTAGGATTATAGGTGCCCATCACCAGTCCCGGCCAAGACTAATTATTGATAGTTTTTTTTTAAAGGACAATTTTTGTTCTCAAAGTTTGCCATTTCTTCTAACACTGTAAGAAGATACTTGATCTGACTATTAATTTACAGAAAGTGAGTTCATGTAATCTGAACCAAGAGAGAATGTGACACTGAAGTGCTTCAGTGAGTGTATGTTGCTACTGGATGAAATTTCAGGCAGGAAATAACTGCTTTGTTTAGTATCAGATAGTCTAGTTAATATATTCCACTTGATTGCCTTTAGAAAATAAACTTAAATGAAGAGCCAGGAAGCTGACAAAGATTGCTTTAGTCTTAAAGTAGTACATGTTTTTCTTTGAATGGGAAATGCATTTCCTTTTAAATGTACACCATTAGAGGAAATGTGAAATACGTTTTTTAAGCATTTCTTCTGACTTTTAAAAATTGATATGTAATATTTTACATATTTATGGGGTACATATGGTATTTTGTTACATGCGTAGAATGTATAATGATCAAGTCAGGGTTTTTAAAATGGAAAATCTGTTAGTCACTATGAGAAAGAGTTGATTTATGTTACTTTCAGATTTGCCAAATCTATCTAAAATCCTGTTTTTTCTTGTTAAGTACTATTTTATTTTATTTTATTTTTTAACAGTTTTGGATTTTGCTTCTATTTAACTCTTCTACAGAGTTTGTTTTGTGAGAATCATTTTACATCTCCTCCCCTTATATTTGTTGAAGCTATTTAAATACTGGCTTAAATAGTATATCTGTTTGTTTAAAACCCTTGTTAACTTTTTAGGATATATGTACAAAATTTGAAATTTTAAAAGAAAGTTTTATGATTAATCCTTTACTAAGTAACTTGGCTTTTTAAAGCTCTTGCAAAGGCTGGTTTTACATATATTACTTCAAATGCCCATGAGATGGTGCTCATTAGTTTCATTTTTGTAGCATTGATTTTTTTGGTAAGGTACTTATAAGAGAATCTATAAATATATTGTGCTGTAAATTTCTAATTATTTTCTCAGTAGTTATGGAATGGAGGTACATTATACTGGCATACATTTATGCATTTTTTCTCCCTAATCTGTGTGTTGGCTAATATACTACATTAATTTGCTGTAAGTTTTCAAATGATGATACATTAAAGGCATCTCCATTTTTACCTTCTTTCTTTAACACAAGCTTCAGATTGCATACCTGTTTTTTATAGCATGTGAATTCTTTTTCCCTTCCTCTTTGGGCCAAGCTTGGAACCCTTGTGAAATAGTAAATAAAAATCAGAGCTCTTAATGTTTCATTTGTTTATAGCTATTTGTTACATAAAATTTAGTATTAAATATATCTTATGATTAGAAAGAGAATGATATTTTGTTATCTAAGTACTCTGTACTGAAAGCATTGTTCTTTGACTTTATTTCACTATAGATTTTATTAAGACATGAGGAACCAAGTATATCTGTGTATTTTCACCCTTATGCCAAATATTCCTTTTGCAATTATTGAACTTTTATCAAATTTCTGTTGTGTTGAGTTGAGGAAAGAGAAGGTGGCTGGGATGAAGGTTAGAAGCAGAATTATTCAAAATAACATAATGAAAATGCCTAGACCCCTGAAGGATTTTGACTGGGCTGGCTTACATGATGACCTTATAGCTAAAACAATCATTATATGTGACAGTATGTGTCTGATTGCCTTATCTTTGTTGTGTGCCACTCTGTATGAAATTGGGCACCATGATTCATGTCCCTGCCAGGACTACTTTGAAGTAAGGAAAAAGTTCCTCAAAGGAACCAGAGAAAGGGAAATGTGAAATTATGCTTGCCAGAGAAAAGTAGTAGCAACCATAACTAATACATTGCCTCTAAGGGTTGCAACAAAAATGAAATGAGTGAGCACACTTCGACATATTCTATATACTGTATAGCTTTCTAATAGTTTTGTTTTGAATTTTTCTTTTCTTTTTGAGAGGCAGTATCTTGCATGGAATCAGGTAGACTTTTGGTTTGACTCAGGTCTGTCAGTTCTTGGGCTTATGATCTTGGTCAAGCTGTGTAATCTTTCTGACCTAGTTTCTGTATCTTTAAAATGAGAATAACAGTACCAGTTTCATAGGGCTCTTGGAATATTTGAAAATAATGCCCAGCACATAGTAGGTGCTCACCAAATGCAGTTTTCCTTCTCAGAAGCTTACAGTCTGATGGAAACAAGACTCATATAAAGATAACTAATACTCTAGACACAGTTATACCACCCTGAGCACACCCAGTGTTGTCTGATCTTTGAAGCTAAGCGGAGTTAGGCCTGATTAGTACAGGCATACCTTGGAGATATTGCAGATTTTGTTTGAGAGCACTGCAATAAAGTAGTGAATATGAGTCACACATTTTTTGGTTTTCCAATGCATATGAGTTACATTTACAGTATACTTTTGTGTGTGTGTGTGTGTGTGTGTGTGTGTGTACACACACACACACACACACACACACACACACAAGTATATATTATTATTATTTTTTTGAGACAGGGTCTTGCTTTGCTGCCCAGGCTGAAGTGCAGTAGTGTGATCAAGGCTTACTGCAGCCTCAACCTCTTGGGCTTAAGCGATCCTCCCACCTCAACCTCCCAAGTAGCTGGGACTACAGGTGTAGGCCACCATGCCCAGCTAAGTTTTTACTTTTTTGTAGAGATGGGGTCTCCCTAAGTTGCCCAGGCTGGTCTTAAACTCCTGGGCTCAAGTGATCTGTCTGCCTCAGCCTCCCTAAGTGCTGGGATTACAGATGTGAGCCATCACACCCAGCCTACTTTAGTCTGTTAAGTGTGTAATACCATTATGTCTAAAAAAACAATGCACACACCTTCATTAAAAAAATGCTTTATTGCTTAAAAATGCTAACGATCATCTGAGCATTCAGAGTGTCCTAATCTTTTTGGTGGTGGAGGGTTTTGCCTCGATCAGGGTGGTGGTTGCTCAGTGGCTGTGAAAAGTTGTTAAAATCAGACCACAATGAAGTTTTGCCCCATTGACTGATCTTTGTTTTCTTGTCTTGAAAAATTTCTCTGTAGCATGCAATGCTGTTCAGTAGTGTTCTATGAACAGTAGAACTTCTTTCAGAATTGGAGTCAGTCCTCTCAAATTCTGCTACTGCGTTATCAACTAAATTTATGTAAGATTCTAAATCCTTTGTTATCTCAACAATACTCATGGCATCTTCACCAGTTGTAGATTTCCATCTCAAGAAACCGCTTTGGCCAGGTGTGGTGGCTCACGCCTGTAATCTCAGCACTTTGGGAGGCTGAGGTGGGTGGATAACTTGAGCCCAGGAGTTCGAGACTAGCCTGGGCAACATGGTGAGACCTTGTCTCTACCAAAAATAAAAAGAAATTAGCTGGGTGTTGTGGCGTTCATCTGTAGTCCTAGCTACCTGGGTGGCTGAGGTGGGAGGATTACCTGAGTCTGGGAGGTCAAGGCTATAGTGAGTTGTGATTGCACCACTGCACTCCAGCCTGGGTGCTCCACTTCTCAATCTAGTTCTCTTGCTATTTCCACCACATGTGCTGTGACTTCCTCCATGGAAGTCTTGAACCTCTCAAAGTCATCCATGGGGTCTGGAATCCATTTCTTCCAAACTCCTCCTCCCATGAATCAAAAATGTTCCTCATGGCATCTACAATGGTGAATCATTTTCAGAAGGTTTTCTGTTTACTTTGCTCAGCTCTATCAGAGGAATCACTATCTATGGCAGTGATAGCCTTACAAAATGTATTTCCTAGATAATAAGATTTGAAAGTTGAAATTACATTTTGAACTATGGGCTGCAAAATGGATGTTATGTTAACAGGCACGAAAACAACGTGAATCTCCTTGTATATCTGCATCAGAGCTCTTAGGTGACCAGGTGCATTGTAAATGGTCAATAATATTTTGAAAGGAAATCTTTTTTTCCGAGCAGTGAGTCTCAACAGTTGGCTTAAAATATTCAGTACACTGTGCTGTGAACAGATATGCAGTCATCCAGGCTTTGTTGTTCCATTTATAGAGCATAGGCAGAGTACATTTAACATAATTCTGAAGGATCTTACGATTTTCAGAATGGTTTGTGAGCATTGCCTTCAACTTAGTCACCAGCTGCATTAGCCCCTAACAGTAGAGTCTGCCTGTTCTATGAAGCTTTGAAACCAGGCATTGATTTCATATCTGTATCTAGGAAAGTCCTAGATGGCATCTTCTTGCAATAGAAGGCTGTTTTGTCTACATTAAAAATCTATTGTGTAGCCACCTTTATCAGTTATCTCAGGTAGATCTTCTGGATAATTTGCTGTACCTTCTCCATTAGTACCTGAAGCTTTATCTTGCATTTTGTGTTATGGAGACTGTTTCTTTCCTTAAGCCTCTGCTGGCTTCCACTTTTTCTTCTACAGCTTACTCACCTCTCCCAGACTTCATAAAATTGAAGAGAGTTAGGGCCTTGCACTGGATTAGGCTTTGGCCTAAGGGAACGTTGTGACTGATTTGATCTATCCAGACCACTAAAACTTTCTCCATATCAGCCATGAAGCTGTTTTGCTTACGTTTAATTTCCTTCAAGAACTTTCCCTTTGCATTCACACTTGGATTTTGGCACAAGAGGCCTAGCTTTTGGCCTATTTCAACCTTTGACGTAGGCCTTTCTGTGCTTAATCATTTCTAGTTTTTTACTTAAAATGAGAGATGTGCGGCCGGGCACAGTGGCTCATGCCTGTGATCCCAGCACTTTGGAAGGCCGAGGTGGGTGATCACTTGAGGTCAGGAGTTCGAGACTAGCCTGGCCAACATGGTGAAACCCCATCCCTACTAAAATACAAAAATTAGCCAGACATGGTGGCAGATGCCTGGAATCCCAGCTACTCGGGCGGCTGAGGCAGGAGAATCGCTTGAACCTGGGAGGTGGAGGTTGCAGTAAACCGAAATCGCGCCACTGCTCTCCAGCCTGGGCGACAGAGTGAGACTCTGTCTCAAAAAAAAAAAAAAAAAAAAGATGTGCAAATCTTCCTTTCACTTGAACACTTAGAGGCCATTGTAGGTTTATTAATTGGCCTAATTTCAATGTTATGTCTCAGATAATAGGGTGGCCCAAAAAGAGGAAGAGAGATGGGGGAATAGTCTCTTGGTAGAGCTATAGAACACATACCACATTTATTAAGTTCACTATCTTATATGGACATGGTTTATGATACCCCAGAACAGTTACAGTAGTAACATCAAAGATCACTGATTCCAGATCATCATAACAAATATAATAATAATGAAAAAGTTGGAGATATTGTGAGATTTACCAAAATGTGACACAGAAACACAAAGCAAGCACATGCTGTTGGAAAAATGGTGCCAATGGACCTGCTGGATGCAGGGCTGCCACAAACCTTCAATTTGTAAAAAATGCTGTATCTGCAAAGAACAATAACATGAAGTGCCATAAAATGATGTATGTCTGTACTTGGATGGGAGACTAAAAATTCAAAGCAGTATCTATGAACTGAGCATATTTTGCAATGGACAAGTTTTATCTGGAAATGTCGTTTTGTAGAAGTGGGGCTAGAGCTAAACTTTGAATTTTAGGGAGGGAGAGCAAAGGCAAGGGAGTAGAATATTAAAACTCCTTCTGGATATAATAAATAGTCTGGACTGGATTGTATAGGGACAACATGGGAAGTGAGACTTTTTGACATTTTGCGTTGTTGCCCAAGTGATTAAAATTTTATTCTGTAGGTGATGAGAAGCCATGATGATTTTTGTTCAGGGGTTATTACATAGTTAAAATGGTCTTGAGAAGCTTGAGGTGGTGGTAATAATGTGCTATCATTAGAGTTCTGAATTAAATTGGAGTTATTTTTCAAGGAGGAATTTTTTTTATGTCCTTAATGTGTTAATGGTTTTTTAACTACTATTTAAAACAAATTAAATTAGACTTTTATTAAAAACCAGTGTTTACTTGATATTTTAAGTTTATGGAGTAAATAGTAGATCTCAAATAACTAATAAGAGATAGTGAAGGCTTATGTTTCTATGTTGTTTAGATTTCAAGGCCATGAGGTTGTCTCTGGGCCTCAGCCTGGGATTCCTGATGACACGACACTGAGGAAGACATTTAAATATTAATTCTTACCAAAGCTGTCTTGTTTCAGCCCTATTTTTTGAACTTCCATTTGTTTATGCTGATGGATGACATGCAATAGTAATAGATGTTTTGAGAAATACAGGCTGCAGTGTGCTCTTGTTTGGGAAAAATCTGTTAACTCAGCCAAATGCTTAAACTAGCACTGTTTACCTTCTTGGTTTTATAATACAAAAAATTATCTAGAAAGCATCCTGATTTGCCTTTTAGTTAATTTGAATAATTAAGAATGAACTAGCGGCCGGGCGCGGTGGCTCACGCCTGTAATCCCAGCACTCTGGGAGGCCGAAGCGGGCGGATCACGAGGTTGGGAGATCAAGATCATCCTGGCTAACATGGTGAAACCCCGTCTCTACCAAAAATTACCAAAAAAAAAAAAAAAAAAAAAATTAGCTGGGTGTGGTGGCGGGCACCTGTAGTCCCAGCTACCTGGGAGGCTGAGGCAGGAGAATGGCTTTGAACCTGGGAGGCAGAGCTTGCAGTATGTCAAGATCATGCCACTGCACTCCAGCCTGGGTGACAGAACGAGACTCCGTCTCAAAAAAAAAAAAAAGAATGAACTAGCAATACAAAACAAGCAGTAAGATGTAGCACTTAAGAGAATGAGCTACAAATATACCACTTGGGTATTTTGCTTTTAATGCATTTGCCTCATAAGTTGCTGATTCACTTCTTTTCTACCATCTTCCACTGCAGTCTCCAATATGTACTTCCCTTTCTCCAGGGGCAAAATTTCACATAATACCATAGTCAAAAACGAAAATGAAGATGGATCATGTACAAAACACTATCTTTATTGATATTAACATATTATTTGGGGTATCTCATCCAGTACCTGTGGGATGGTATTGTTTCTGGTCTGTCAAATATATGACTTTGAAACATTTTAACACAGGTCAAAAATAGGAATGTATTTAATGAAATCTCTCTCTATGACCTCTTTTCTCCTTGTTTCCAGCATACATTATCCCTTGCTCATCTCTCTCCTTCAGTTAATTTAGTCACTGCTTAAGAAAACCTAGGTCAGGCCCAGTGGCTCACACCTGTAACATCAACACTTTGCAAGGCCGAGGTGGAAGGACTGTTTAAGCCCAGGAGTTTGAGACCAACCTGGACAACTTGGTGAAACCCCATCTGTATTAAAAAAAAAAAAAAAAATTAGCCGGGCATGGTCGTATGTGCCTATAGTCCCAGCTACTTAGGAGGCTGAGGCGGGAGGATCCCTTGAGCCCAGGAGGTTGTGGCTACAGTGAGCTGTGTTCACGCCACTGCAGTCTGCCACCTGGACAACAGAGTGAGACCCTGTCTCAAATAAATAGATAGGTAGATGGATGAATGATTGATATATAGACGATAGAGAGAAAACCTGAAAAGTATTATTAGCAGCTCATGTATCCTTCTAAATTTTCTTAGGCTTTTATAAACTAATGTAAATACTTGTATGTTTCACTTGTTCATTGTACAGAAGGTGGCATGCTGTACCCCTTGTTCTACATCTTGCTTTTTCTTTGCTGATAATTTTTCTTATTTGTCTTTCTAAAGCATTTTATACAGAGCTTCTGTATTTTTAAAAGAGCTATATAAGTATTCTATTGCATAGATGAACCATGGTTGTCTTGACCCCTGTTTACTGGGTTGTTTCCAGTATTTTGTTATTACTAATAATACTTCAATAAATAATCTTTACATATACTATTTCATACTTAATGTAATTGTATCTATAGGATAGATTCTTAGAGATATAATTGCTGGGTCAAAGGTTTTATTCCTTTATAATTTTGGTTTATATTGCCAAACTGCCTTCCCAGGGATTATATTAATTTATTCTCCCTCCAGAACTCTATGAAAGTGCCTCTGTAGCATCTCCAACAGTATTAGCAGCTGTGGTTTTTGCCAGTCTAATAGGTGAAAAAGTGATGATTAATCAGAATTTAAATTTACATTTCCCTTATGACTAAGGTTGACCATATTTTCTTTGAATTATCCATTTGTATCCTTTGCTCATTTTTAAATTCATTTTTTTTAATTTTTTTATTTTAGTATTTATTGATCATTCTTGGGTGTTTCTCAGAGAGGGGGATTTGGCAGGGTCATAGGACAATAGTGGAGGGAAGGTCAGCAGATAAACATGTGAACAAAGGTCTCTGGTTTTCCTAGGCAGAGGGCCCTGCCGCCTTCTGCAGTGTTTGTGTCCCTGGGTACTTGAGATTAGGGAGTGGTGATGACTCTTAACGAGTATGCTGCCTTCAAGCATCTGTTTAACAAAGCACATCTTGCACCGCCCTTAATCCATTTAACCCTTAGTGGACACAGCACATGTTTCAGAGAGCACGGGGTTGGGGGTAAGGTTATAGATTAACAGCATCCCAAGGCAGAAGAATTTTTCCTAGTACAGAATGAAATGGAGTCTCCTATGTCTACTTCTTTCCACACAGACACAATAACAATCCGACCTCTCCTTCTTTTCCCCACATTTCCCCCTTTTCTATTCGACAAAACCGCCATCGTCATCATGGCCCGTTCTCAATGAGCTGTTGGGTACACCTCCCAGACGGGGTGGCGGCCGGGCAGAGGGGCTCCTCACTTCCCAGACGGGGCTGCTGGGCAGAGGGGCCCCCCCATCTCCCAGACAGGGTGGCGGCCGGGCAGAGGGGCTTCTCACTTCCCAGATGGGGTGGCTGGGCAGAGGGGCCCCCCACCTCCCAGACGGGGCAGCTGGCCGGGCGGGGGCTGCCCCCCACCTCCTGGACGGGGCGGCTGCCGGGCGGAGACGCTCCTCACTTCCCGGACGGGGAGGCTGCCGGGCGGAGGGGCTCATCACTTCTCAGATGGGGCGGCCGGTCAGAGACGCTCCTCACCTCCCAGAAGGGGTGGCGGCAGGGCAGAGACACTCCTCAGTTCCCAGACGGGGTCGCGGCAGGGCAGAGGCACTCTTCACATCCCAGACGGGGCGGCGGGGCACAGGCGCTCCCCACATCCCAGATGATGGGCGGCCAGGCAGAGACGCTCCTCACTTCCTAGACGGGATGACTGCCGGGAAGAGGCGCTCCTCACTTCCCAGACTGGGGGGCCGGGCGGAGGGGCTCCTCACATCCCAGACGATGGGCGGCCAGGCAGAGATGCTCCTCACTTCCTAGACGGGGTGGCGGCCGGGAAGAGGCACTCCTCACTTCCCGGACTGGGCGGCCAGGCAGAGGGGCTCCTCGCATCCCAGACGATGGGCGGCCAGGCAGAGACGCTCCTCACTTCCTATATGGGGTGGCAGCCGGGCAGAGGCTGCAATCTCGGCACTTTGGGAGGCCAAGGCAGGCGGCTGGGAGGTGGAGGTTGTAGCGATTCGAGATCACGCCACTGCACTCCAGCCTGGGCACCATTGAGCACTGAGTGAACGAGACTCTGTCTGCAATCCCGGCACCTCAGGAGGCCGAGGCCGGCAGACCACTCGCAGTCAGGAGCTGGAGACCAGCCCGGCCAACAGGGCGAAACCCCGTCTCCACCAAAAAATACGAAAACCAGTCAGGTGTGGTGGCGCATGCCTGCAATCCCAGGCACTCGGCAGGCTGAGGCAGGAGAATCAGGCAGGGAGGCTGCAGTGAGCCAAGATGGCAGCAGTACAGTCCAGCCTCGGCTCGGCATCAGAGGGAGACCGTGCAAAGGGGAGACGAGGACCGTGCAAAGGGGAGGGGGAGGGGGAGAGGCAGAGTGAGAGGGAGAGGGATTAAATTCATTGTTAAATAACATGTTACTTTGCCCCTTTTTATATTGAGTTGATGTTTTTGTTATTTTCTAGAAGCTTCTTATTTTAAAGGGATTGATTTGACTTGACTAGTGGTGTTTTTTTTTTTAATAAAAAGCTTTTTATTTTATTTTATTTATTTTTATTTCTTTTAAATTTTATTTATTATTTTTTTCAGACAGAGTCTGGCTCTGTCACCCAGGCTGGAGTGCAGTGGTGTGATATCGGCTCACTGCAACCTCTGCTTCCTGGGTTCAAGCAATTCTTCTGCCTCAGCCTCCCAAGTAGCTGGGATTATAGGCACATGCCACCACGCCCGGCTAATTTTTATATTTTTAGTAGAGACAGGGTTCTACCATGTTGGTCAGGCTGGTGTCGAACTCCTGACCTCAAGTGATCTGTCCACCTCAGCCTCCCAAAGTGCTGGGATTACAGGCACGAGCCACTGTGCCCAGCCAAAAGCTTTTTATTTTTATGTAGCTTGAATTTATTGTGCTATTCTTTTATAGTTAGTGGGTTTTGAATCATACATAGAAAGGCTTTTCTTACTCAGAACTTCCTTAAAGTTCTATGCTTTCCTGTATTATTTTGATGGTATTTATCACTCTGGTATTTATCCATCTCACTCTGTCACCCAGGCTGGATTGCAGTGGTGTGATCACAGCTTACTGTAGCTGGGACTTCCCGGGCTCAAGTGATCCTTCCACCTCAGCTGCCTGAGTAGCTGAGATCATAGGTGAGCACCACCATGCCCAGCTAATTTTGCATTTTTTTGTAGAAATGGGGTTTCCCCATGTTACCCAGACCAGTTTTGCACACCTGGACTGAAGCAATCCTCCTATCTCAGCCTCCCAAAGTGTTGGGATTACAGGTGTGAGCCACTGTGTCTGGCCTGAAATTTTTCCTGATTTGAAATATGGGCCAATTTATTTTTTCTACAAATGTCCATTTGAACATATGTAGAAAAAAATTGAATTCCAATTTAATGCTGTTTATTGAATTGTTTATTATTCCTCCATGATTTGAGATGTCACCTGAATGAAAAACAGAAAAACCATAGTGCGTACAGGTTAAGAGTGTGGACTTTGTAGCTAGATTACCTAGGTTGAAATTCTAGCAGCACCACTTCTTGCCTCTGAGATCTTGGGCAAGTTACTTCATATGTCTATGCCTCAGTTTCCTCAAATAAAAATACAATAATTGTACCTATCTCATGGAGTAGTCAGACATTTAATATACATAAGATTCTTAGTGCCTGGCACAAGTAAGTGCTCTAAAAATTGCTATTATTATGGTGTGATAATTTCCTGTTGTCTTTGGCACTATGTGTGGACTTTCTGTTCTCTTCTTCATCTAGCAGACATTCATCTACTGCTACCGCTTTTTAAAAAAGTTATTTTATTTCATATTATGTTTTAATCTCTGATGGAGCTAGCTTCCCATTGTTGCACTTCTTTTTCACAGCTTCCTGGCTATTCCTGTTTGCTTACTTTTCCTAGAGAAATTTAGAGTCAGCTTGTCTACTTGCTTCTCTTCTATCCTCCTAACCTTTCTAATAAAAATAATAAGACTGGTATTTTTAAAAATAGTATTTTTTGTTTTTGAAACTCATTTTCTGCAGCTGTTAAATCTTTTGAAATATATCAATGTTGATTTTTCTAGACTTTGTTTTTTTCTGGCTAATCTCTGTTTCTTCTGTCTTAGCTTTAAGTTTTCTCAGGATATCATGATGCCTTGCAGTATTTCTCTTTAGCTCTTATGCATAAGGTGATAGCATTTTAAGATCTCTTGGGTGAAGATTAGGCCTGCAAATATGAGTTCTTTTTAAGGACATTCTCTTTTGTTTAATTATTTCACATAGATTCAGTGATTCAAGAATGCATTTGTGAATATGGCTGTTTATCCTCCTCCCCCACCTGTTTGAGCCTGGGTTTGACCCTCAAAACCAAGGCAGTGGTTGGTGAGCTGAGGCCACCCACAGCTGAATCTCATCTACAGCCACAGCCAATATGGGGTGAGGATAGAGGGGTGTGACTGGCAATCAAAGCCTGTCTCCCCCATCACCATCAGGATGCAGTGGGCGGCCAAAGTGGCTATACATAACTCAGCAGAGAGGTGGCGCCATGTTCCCTGAGGCAGCTTGAGAGCACTGTTACTGTTTTGAGGTGACTTACATATGGAGGTTAGTTATGCATCAGAAGCTTCTTAGGAGTCACTGAAAGAAATGTGTTATATGTATTTAATACAGGCTGTGAGTTACAAGTTTACAAAAACTGAAACTACTAATTTTATGATGGAATTGCATTGCCTGAATATAGATGTTTTAAAATATGAAATTAACCATTGACAGAACTTTCTCATAAAAATTTTTATTGTAAAACTGTAACTATTGAAAAACCAAACCAAAACAAATATAAAACTAAAGGGCAAATAATTACCTTTAAACCACCATGTAGGTCAAGAAATAGAATTTTGCCAGTCATCTTAGAATCCCTCTAATTACAACTGCCTCTCTCCCTCAAATGGAACCTCTATCTTGACTTTTACAGTAATCACTTTCTTTTATTTATTTGTAATTATGTAATCTAATAATACATCCCTTATCTATAATTTAGTTTTTCTTAGTTTTAAAAAACACGTTTTTTAAGTCTCAGGTCATTCTATCTGTTAAAAAAACCTGGACCTTTTAAAAAACCTGGACCTTTTGACATTTAGCATTTCCCATGGTCTGGATTTTGTTAAGTGCATATTCATGGTGTAGTTTAACATGTTCTTGTGTCCTCCGTATTTCCTGCAAATTGGAAGTTGATTCCAGAAGATTTGGCTTCCATACCTTTGGCTAGACTCTAGGTGGTGCTGTGTTCTGTCATCCGGAGGCTCTTATGTCAGGTTGTCTCTTTTTATAATGTTATCAGCTGTTGATTCTCAACATCTAGATCCATTAAATCACTGGAGTCTGAATAATGATGATATTATATATATTTTTTCATGTATTAAATGGAATAGTTCTATGAAAAGATGTATTTAATTATCCAGTTGTATTTAGTTATCCAGTGGCACAGTTAATACATAGATAAGCCAGGCATGGTGGTACACACCGGTAGCCCCAGCTAGTTGGGAGGCTGGGGCAGGAGGATTCCTTGAACACAGTAGTTCAAGGCCAGCTTGGGCAACATGGGAAGACCCTGTTTCTTAAAAAAAAAAAAAAGTATGTATACGTACATGCACACACACACTTTATATATTTATGTATACTTTATATAGATTTATAAATATATTCTTTGTGTATTTACATTCTTTTATATATTTATATACTTTTTATATGTTCTTTATATATAATTATAGATAATATAATAAGTATATTAGATTTACACTATGTTACATATTATATAAATATTATATAAATATGTAATTGGAACAGTTTCATTCCTTTTATTCATTAATTTTGTAAGTAACAGCCATTTCTCTTCTTATCCTCTACAGGAGACCAATTCGTTGTTATTGTCTTTTTGAAATATTATGAATTAAAGGATTTAAACATATTTGATGGCAATTATTATTACTTTATTGAACCTCAAACTTTTATTTTTGGCCAGTAGGCACTTCTTCAGGTTGATTCCTGAGTCCTTTTGGTACAACCCTACTAGACTTTGATCATGTTTCTGCTATTTTTATGGCAAGATATTTCAGGCTCATATTTTCATTTCTAGTTCCAGACCTTGAACCAGCTATCATAATGGCTTGGCTGTGTCCCCACCAAAATCTTTCTTGAATTGTAGGTCTCATGTGGGAGGGACCCAGTGGGAGGTAATTGAATCATGGGGGTGGGTTTTTCCCCTGCTCTTCTCTTGATAGTGGATAAGTCTCACGAGATCTGATGGTTTTATAAAGGGGAGTTCCCCTGCACACACTCTTGGCTGCTGCCATGTAAGATGTGTCTTTGCTCCTCCTTTGCCTTCAGCCTTGACTATGAGGCCTCTCCAGGCATGTAGAACTGTGAGTCCGTTAATCCTCTTGCCTTTGTAAATTACCCAGTCTCAGGTATGTCTTTATTAGCAGTGTGAGAACAGACTCGGACAGTAAATTGGTAATGGTAGGGTGGGGTGCTGCTGTAAAGATACCTGAAAATGTGGAAGTTACTTTGGAAGTGGGTAACAGGAAGAGGTTGGAACAGTTTGGAGGGCTTAGAAGAAGATAGGGAAATGTGGGAAAGTTTGAAACTTCCTAGAGACTTGTTGAATGGCTTTGACCAAGATGCTGATGGTGAAATGGACGATAAAGTCCAGGCTGAGGTGATCTCAGATGGAGATGAGGAACTTGTTGGGAACTGGAGTAAAGATCATTCTTGCCATGCAAAGAGACTTGCGGCAGTTTACCCTTGCCCTAGAGGTCTGTGGAATTTTGAACTTGAGAGAGGTTATTTAGGGTATCTGGTGGAAGAAATTTCTAAGTGCTAAAGCATTCAAGAGGAAGCAAAGTGTAAAAGTTTGGAAAATTTGTAGCCTAATGATGCAATAGAAAAGAAAAACCCATTTTCTGAGGAGAAATTCAAGCCAGCTGCAGAAATTTGCATAAGTAAAGAGGAGCCAAATGTTAATTGCCAAGACAATAGGGAAATGTCTCCAGGGCATGTCAGAGGTCTTCACAGAAGCCCCTCCCATCACAGGCCTGGAGTCCTGGGAGGAAAAAGTGGTTTTGTGGGCTGGCCTCCGGGACTTGCAGCTTTGTGCAGTCTGGGGACATTGTGCCCTGCATCCCAGCTGTGGCTAAAAGGGGGCAATATACAGCTCACACCATTGCTTCAGAGGGTGAAAGCCCTAAGCCTTGATGGCCTATGTGTGGTGTCGGGCCTTTGGGTGCACAGAAGTCAAGAACTGAGGTTTGGGAACCTCCACCTAGATTGCAGAGGATGTATGAAAATACCTGGATGTCCAGGCAGAGGTGTGCTGCAGGGGTGGAGCCCTCACAGAGAACCTCTGCTAAGACACTGTGGAAGGGAAATGTGGGGTACAAGCGCCTCCACAGAGTTTCCACTGGGGCACTGCCTAGTGGAGCTGTGAGAAGAGGGCCACAATCTTCCAGACCCCAGAATGGTAGATCCACTGACAGCTTGCACTGTGCACCTCGAAAAGCTGCAGATGCTCAACGCCAGCCGTGAAAGCAGCAAGGAGTGGGTCTGTACCCTGCAAAGCCACAGGGGCGGAGCTGCCCAAGACCGTGGGAACCCACCTCTTGCATCAGTGTGACCTGGATGTGAGACATGAAGTCAAAGGAGATCATTTTGGAGCTTTAAGATTTGACTGTCCCACTGGCTTTGGACTTGCACGGGACCTGTAGCCCCTTTGTTTTGGCCAATTTCTCCTATTTGGAATGAGTGTATTTACCCAATGCCTGTACCCCCATTGTATCCAGGCAGTAACTAGCTTCTTTTGATTTTACAGATTCATAGGCAGAAGGGACTTGCCTTGTCTTGGATGAGACTTTGGACTGTGGACTTTGGAGTTAATGCTAAAATGGGTTAAGACTGGGGGGACTGTTGGGAAGGCATGATTGGTTTTGAAATGTGAGGATATGAGATTTGGGAGGGGCCGTGGGCAGAATGATATGGTTTGGCTGTGTCCCCACCAAAATCTCATCTTGAATTCTAGCTCCCACAATTCCCACATGTTGTGGGAGGGACCCAGTGGGAGGTAATTGAATCATGGGGGCAGGTCTTTCCGTGCTGTTCTCTTGATAGTGAATAAGTCTCATGAGATCTGGTGGTTTTATAAAGGGGAGTTCCCCTGCACATGCTCACTTGCCTGCAAAGACATGTCTTTGCTCCACCTTCACCTTCAGCCATGATTGTGAGGCCTCCCCAGTTCCACTGGGGAGTGGAACTGTGAGTCAGTTAAACCTCTTTCCTTTATAAATTACCCAGTCTCAGGTATGTCTTTATTAGCAGTGTGAGAACAGACTAATACAAGCTACTCCTTCAAGAAGCCCTGATTTTTAGTGAGAAATGGTATTTCAAGACCACAATCTGGGCAGTAAGCATGTTCATTGTTATTGTGTTGGTCATTGTTTGTACCCCTTTCCAGTTGATAAAACTACACATACACACACACGCACACACTCACACACATTACATATTTATGTGTGAGTGTGTATGTGTATATGTGTGTGTATATGTATTTTAAGATAAAATACCTAATTGGTTCATAGTGATACTTCCATTAAGTATGATGTTAGCTGTGGGATTTTCATAGATGCCCTTTGTCAGGTTGAAGAAGTTTCTTTCTATTCTTAGTCTGTTAAGTGTTTTAATAATGAAAGGTATTAGATTTTGTCAGATGCTTTTTTTGTCTATTGAGATGATCATGTGGTTTTTCATTTTATGGTGTATCACATTTATTAATTTTTGAATGTTAAACTGAGCTTGCATTCCTGGAATAAATCTCATTTAGTCATAGTGTATAACTGTTTTTATATGTTCCTGGATTTGGTTTGCTAGTATTTTGTTGAGGATTTTTGTGTTCATATTCATAAGATATATTGGTCTGTAGTTTTCTTTTTTGTGATGGTTTTGTCTGATCTTGGCATAAGGTTAGTACCGGCCTCATAGATTTAGCTGGGATGTGTTCTCTCCTCCTCAGTGTTTTGGAAGAGTTTGTGAAGAATTGTATTAATTTGTCTTTAAATGTTAGGTAGAATTCACCAGTGAAGCCACCTGGGCCTAAGTTTTTTTTTTGTTTTGTTTTTTGTGAGTTGATTTTTTTATTACTAATTTAATTCTTGTTGTAGGTCTGTTTGTATTTTGTATTTCTTTTTGAGTCAGTTTCTGTAGTTTGTATCCCTCTGAGGAATTTGCTCCTTTTATCTAAGTTGTCTAATTATTGGCATACAATTGTTCATAGTGTGTCTTTATAATCTCATTTATGTAAGGTTGGTAGTAATGCACTCTCATTTCTGATTTTAGTAATTTGAGTCTTCTCTTTTCTTCTTGGTTAGTCTAACTAAAAATCTGTCAATTTCATTTTTTTGTTGTTGTTGTTGAAGGACCAAAGAAGCCAGGTTGTATTGATTTTATTTTTAAAAATACCACTAATTTTATATTGTTAATTTCATTTTATTCTCATTTGTTTCATTCATTTCTTCTGTAATCTTTATTATTTTATTCCTTTTGCTTGCTTTAGGTTTACTATGCGCTTCTTTTGTAGGGTTTAAGATGGAAGGCTACATTATTATTATTATTTTTGAGATGGAGTCTCTCTCTGTTGCCCAGGCTGGAGTGCAGTGGCACAATCTCGGCTCACCACAACCTCTGCCTCCCGGGTTCAAGTGATTCTCCTGTCTCAGCCTCCCAAGTAGCTGGGATTACAGGCGCCCACCACCCCACCTGGGTAATTTTTGTATTTTTAGTAGAGATGGGGTTTCACCATGTTGGCCAGGCTGGTCTTGAACTCCTGACCTCAGGAGATCTGCATGCCTTGGCCTTTCAAAGTGCTGGGATTACAGGTGTGAGCCACGGCGCCCGGCCTACGTCATTATTATTATTATTGAGATGGGGGTTTGCCTTGTGTTGCCCAGGCTGACCTCGAACTCCTGGGCTCAAGCAATCTTCCTGCGTCAGCCTCCTGAGTAGCTAGACCACAGGTGGGTGCCACCGGACATGGCTTGGCTCCTTCTTTTTATGCATGTTCAAAGGTTATATTGTTGATTTAGTATCTTTCTTCTATTTTAAAGTAGGCATTTACAGCTATAAATTCCCTCTGAACACTGCTTTATACATTCCATACATTTTGTCATGTTGTATCTTCATTTTCATTCATCTCAGTGTATTTTCTATTTTCTTTTTTTCCTTTCCTTTTTCTTTTATGAGATAGTGTGTCACTCTTTCAGTCAGGCTGGAGTGCAGTGGTGTGATGGTGGCTCACTGCAGATTCTACCTCTCAGGCTCAGGTGATCCTCACAGGTGTCCTGAGACACTGGGACTACAGGCATGTGCCACCACACCTGGCTCATTTTTCTGTTTTTTGTAGAGACAGGGTTTCACCATGTTTCTCAGGCCATTCTCGAACTCTGGGCTCAAGTGATGCACCTGCCTTGGCCTCCTGAAGTGCTGGGATTACAGGTGTGAGCCACTGTGCCTAGCCTAATTTTTTTTCTTCACTTATTCTTTTATATAGGCTATTTAGGAGTGTGTTGTTTAATTTCCATATATTTGTTGAGTTTCCAAAATTTCTTTCTGTTATGATTTCTAGTTTTATTCCCTTATGGTCAAATGATATACTTGGTGTTCCTTTTATTCTTTTTTTTTTTTTTTTTTTTTGATTTCTGAGTCTAGGTTCTTTTTTTTTTAATTTTTAAAAAATTTTTTAGTATTTATTGATCATTCTTGGGTGTTTCTCAGAGAGGAGGATTTGGCAGGGTCATAGGACAATAGTGGAGGGAAGGTCAGCAGATAAACATGTGAACAAAGGTCTCTGGTTTTCCTAGGCAGAGGGCCCTGCCGCCTTCTGCAGTGTTTGTGTCCCTGGGTACTTGAGATTAGGGAGTGGTGATGACTCTTAACGAGTATGCTGCCTTCAAGCATCTGTTTAACAAAGCACATCTTGCACCGCCCTTAATCCATTTAACCCTTAGTGGACACAGCACATGTTTCAGAGAGCACGGGGTTGGGGGTAAGGTTATAGATTAACAGCATCCCAAGGCAGAAGAATTTTTCCTAGTACAGAACAAAATGGAGTCTCCTATGTCTACTTCTTTCTATACAGACACAGTAACAATCTGATCCCTCTTTCTTTTCCCCACATTTCCCCCTTTTCTATTTGACAAAACCGCCATCGTCATCATGGCCCGTTCTCAATGAGCTGTTGGGTACACCTCCCAGACGGGGTGGCGGCCGGGCAGAGGGGCTCCTCACTTCCCAGACGGGGTGGCCGGGCAGAGGGGCCCCCCACCTTCTGGACGGGGCGGCTGGCCGGGCGGGGGCTGCCCCCCACCTCCCCGACGGGGCGGCTGCCGGGCAGAGATGCTCCTCACTTCCCAGACGGGGCGGCTGCTGGGTGGAGGGGCTTCTCACTTCCCAGACGGGGTGGCTGCCGGGCGGAGAGGCTCCTCACTTCTCAGACGGGGTGGCCGGTCAGAGACGCTCCTTACCTCCCAGACGGGGTGGCGGGGCAGAGGCGCTCCCCACATCCCAGAAGATGGGTGGCCGGGCAGAGATGCTCCTCACTTCCTAGACGGGATGACGGCCGGGAAGAGGCGCTCCTCACTTCCCAGACTGGGCAGCCAGGCAGAGGGGCTCCTCACATCCCAGATGATGGGCGGCCGGGCAGAGACGCTTCTCACTTCCTAGACGGGGTGGCGGCCGGGCAGAGGCTGCAATCTTGGCACTTTGGGAGGCCAAGGCAGGCGGCTGGGAGGTGGAGGTTGTAGTGAGCCGAGATCACACCACTGCACTCCAGCCTGGGCAACATTGAGCACTCAGTGAGTGAGACTCTGTCTGCAATCCCGGCACCTCGGGAGGCCCGGGCTGGCAGATCACTCGCGGTAGGAGCTGGAGACCAGCCCAGCCAACACGGCGAAACCCTGTCTCCACCAAAAAATACGAAAACCAGTCAGGTGTGGCGGTGCGCACCTGCAATCCCAGGCACTCCCAGGCTGAGGCAGGAGAATCAGGCAGGGAGGTTGCAGTGAGCCGAGATGGCGGCAGTACAGTCCAGCCTTGGCTCGGCATCAGAGGGAGACCGTGCAAAGAGGGGGGGGAGGGGGAGGGGGAGGGAGAGAGGGAGAGGGAGCTATTCTTTTAAATTTATTGAGATTTGTTTTATGGATGAGTAACATGGTCTATCCTGGAGAATAAATATCCTATAGATGTTCGTGAGGTTAGTTGGTTTATAGTGTTGTTCACCTCTTCTGTTTTTCATGTTGATCTTCTGCTGAGTTGTTCTATTATTAAAATAAGGATTAGTTACCCTAATTTTAATTTAGTTAGCATGTTATTTTGTAACTAACAGAACTCTTCAGATACGCTCTTCAGATAGAAATGATCATTTGTGATCCAGTTGAAGAGAGTTTATCAGGGCTATGAACACATTAACACTCTAGCAGTGTGAACTTTGCTTATATGGAAACAGTTGGGGAGGTAGTAGAGGAAGACAAGATGGGCGAAGGGCTTGATGGAGGGAGATGAGGGGTCAGGGAAACAGAAGAGGAAAGGAAGCAAAATAATTGTAAGTGAGAAAGTGGAAGATGGACACATACACAGAGATATAAAGATGAATGCATTAAGACTGGGAGGAGGTCAAGGCCCATGCTTCCGTCTGTGCTCCGGGAGGAAGACATTCATGCATACACAGAGAGACAGATACTCAGAGAGTAAAGCACAGATACACATAATTTCAAGAGAGACACACTCAAAGAAGAGATATGCAGATACCAAGAACCAGAGAGAGATAGGTACAGAAACCCTCTCCACCCCGCCCACCCCACGCACAGAGAGAAAGAGAGAGAGAAACAGACGGCCTTATAGACGGTCAGGATGAGGCTCAGGCAGACATTGACAGACACAGGCAAAGAGACAGGCTCTTGGGAATGATGTTGGACATGGCCTTTACTACTTGGATTTTTTAAAGTCCTTTTTTTTATTGTTTAAAGCAGTATATGCTCATTTAAAAAAGTATGAAGTGAAAATGAAAGACTGACTGTCTAATTTCCCTCTCCTCAACCCACTTCTTTGAGGTAGCCATTGTTAATAGTTTATTGTCTGCCCTTCTTGCAGCACACACACCCATATACATCCTACACATTTTTATATGTATCAGCATCTGTCTTCATTTGTCTCTACCTATCTCTCTCTCTATAGACATACACACACACACACACACACATATACAACAGGTTATTTTGTACATATCTGCTTTTTTTCCTTTAATCATGTATCTTAAACATCTTTCCTTGTCCAATCATGAGTAGTTCTCAGTGAGACCAGTACTGCTCCTTGGAGGTGTTTAGGAAATTTGGTGAGTATTTTTGGTTCTTAGAATGATTTGGAGTTGGTAGTGGACACTTAGTGTTCTGGACTAAGGCTGCTAAGGACCTTGCAATGGAAGATACATTTGCAAACAGCAAGGTGTGATATCCTCTGTTCTCCTGAACTTATTAGACTTTAATTTCATTTTCCATATCAGCATAAACTTTTTGAATACTTTTAACATATGCTGAGTTTTTTTAGAAACATAAGTAAGCTTTAAAGAAGAAAAAAATCATACTTTGTTTTATTTGGAACTTTATGAAGAATTAAAAATCACGTCTAATTGGAATATAATAGTATTTGAATATCTAATACACACCTGAATCACTGTGCCTTGTTTCTGTAACATACATTAATGTAGATTCTGTATATAGTTACCAGGACCTAACTACTTTATTATTTGGTTATTTACAAGGATTTATATATGGAAAAAATACTGAAAAGTATTTTAATTATTTTTCTTTTATTATGGTTAGAGTACTTTGTAGATTTTTGTTGTTGTTTATAGGTAGGTCTTATTATCTATTGTGTTTCCTCAAGTCTAAGATGCCAAGTTGTAAGATTTGTCATTATTTTTATGCAGCATTAGGAAAAAACCCTGCAATTGTAATTTTAGATGCCATTGATTATAAGACACATTCTGATCTCTGATCTTTTTAAAATAATTGATAAAATGGAATGTGTCACTTTTATTTCAGGTTAGTATAGGGGTGTCACAAAGAATTTTTTTTTTTTTTGTAAAAAGATGATGTTGAGTCTAACGTAGACTGTCAGTGGAGAACTATGAATGAAAATGATTTAAAAAATTGCTGTGTTATATACAACTATACGTATGTGCCATAATTCAGCTAGTTCCTTCTTTTTTTGGAATTAATCCGGGATTTTCTCATTGTAAGAGATAGAATCTTACATCAAAGTAGCTTAAGTATAAAAGGGAATGATTGGTTCATAGGACCAGGCTACATCATTGAATGAAGCTGCAAGAACCAGGGAAACCCTGGAAACAGGGAATTGATGTCACCAGAATATTCTTCTTCCATTTATGGTGCAGCTAGGCCTCCTCTGTCCACATGGCAGGGAACATATCTGCTGGAAGCCTTCAGTTTACATATTTCTCCTACTTTTGACCCAAAGACCAAGAGCCCTTCTTTTTCACCTTATAAATTAAAAAACAGTCTTGGTAATGATTTTGATTGGCCTGACTTAGCTCACATTCTCAGTCTTGTATTAATCACTGTGGCCAGTAGAAGGGGGAAGTATATATTTAGCCAGGCCTGACTTAAGTGACCTCTCTGTGACCTGGGTGTGAGGTACTGAGACTTTCTTGTCAGAATTCCATAAATGGAAGAGGATGGAAGGAAGAGTAAATACAATACAGACAAAAACAACATTGTCTATTACAGTGAACATTTTGGTAATTTCCAGTTTATTTCCCTATTGTTAATATAATCTCCATTTTCACATCTGATAAATCTCCCTACATAAGGATATTGGTATGAAATTATTATAAAGATCTAAAAGTACATTTTTTTTTTTTGGTGGAGAAAACCTAATATATAGATCTTTCTTTCATGTACCCTAAATTTTGGTGTTCTTCAAAGTAAGATTTGTAGAGTCTTCAAATTATGAACTATCAAATTTAAAAATGTATTTTAAAATACAGGTAGTTTGGACACATTGAGGGAATCATGACATAAAATATTTGGGGTACTGAAGTATTAAGTAATGTATGTGATGCTATAGTTTTAAACACTTATAAACATAAACTCAAATTGATTTGAATATGAAATTCATGACATTTTGCTATCTCTTTCATATCCTATGATGTTTGAGTTCAAGTAATGTAAGTTCAGTGGACTTTGACTGGTTGTCACATAGTGAGAGATTTCTGATTTTTGAAATATGTCACTGCTATAAATCACTAGTTTGCTAGATTGAACCAGCAAGCTATTAAAGAACATGACAGAATTTACTGTAGATAAATGCAAATTTAAAAAGGTTCTCTGTATGAAGGTTTAGATGATTTATTAGCCTTCAGTGCACACATGAATCTGAAGTTATGTAATGGATTTAGAAAATTTCATTTCCTGTTTGAAGGTTCAAATTTGCATATTTATTCTATAATGCAAGTATTAGATGTGAGTCAGTAGGATATATAGTTAAACTCTGTGTGATATCAATATATGCTTCATCTTTTTTGTATAGTATATGGCAAACATTTTTTCAGGTGTAGGGCAAGTAATTAAATATACTGATTTTTTTTTGGCTGGAGTAGGGAGGGAGGGATAAGTAAAGAAGCTGGGATTATGTATGTCTGTAGGTGGCTTCAGAATTTGAACTTACGAGTTTCCTTGCCGCTTAATTTGGCTCTCATTTTTCTACCAATTGAAGATTCATTTAGGTTAATATAGTTTTCTTTTCAATGGGAAATAATTGGTGGAAAATTAATCCTGTGACAATTTATACCTCACATAGAATTACTTATTTTTTAAAACTAGGTCTTCTATTTTGAGATAATTGCTGATTCACATGCAGTTGAAGACATAATGCAGAGAAATCCTTTGTACTCTTTATCCGGTTTCCCCCAATGGGAAAATCTTGCAAAACTAGAACAATATTGATATTGGTATAATCGAGGTGCAGAAAGTTTCCTCCTGTTACCCTCTTACAGCTATACCCACTTTCCTCTACCCCATCTTAACCCCTGGCAACCACCAATCTGTTCTCAATTTCTATATTTTTGTCAGTTGAAGAATCTCCAGAAGACTGTACGAACTTGAGAAAAAAACCAATTGGTTCTCTGGAGATTCTTCTAGATTGCTGTGTGTGTCAATAGTTTGTTCCTTTTTATTGTTGAATAGTATTTTATGGTATGGATGTACTACAGTTTGTTTAACCATTTAGCTGTTGAAGGACATCCGAGTGATTTCCACTTTTTGGCTATTACCAACAAAACTACTGTAAATATTTATATACAGGTTTTTGTGTGAACATAAGTTTTTATTTATTTGGGAAAAATGGCAGGAGTGCACTTGCTAGATTGAATAGTAGGTGCATATTTAGTTTTTTTTTTTTAAATAGAAATTACCAAACTTTTTCATAGTGGCTGTGTCATTTTACATTCCCACCAACAACATACGAATTATCCAGTTTCTCCACATCCTCACCAGCATTTGGTGTTGTCATTATTTTTTTAGTTGTTTTGATTGATGTATAGTGATATCCACTGTGGTCTTAATTTGCATTTCTTTAATGCCTAATGATGTTAGACTTTTTGTGTGTGTGTGTTTATGTGTCTTCTTTATGTCTTCTTTGGTGAAACGTTCTTCTGCACATTTTCTAATTGGATTTTTTTTACTCTTGACTTTTGAGAGACTATATTTTTTAGATATTATTCTTTTGTCAGATATTTGGTTTGCAGATATTTTCTCCTAGTTTGTAGCTTGCCATTTCATCCTCCTGAAAAGGTTTTTTGGTGAGCAGAATTTTTAATTTTAATAAAGCCTAATTTATCAGTTTTCCCTGTATGGATCTTGCTTTTGTGTCAAGTCTAAAAACTTCTTGCTTAACCCTAAATTCTGAAGATTTTCTCCTATGTTTTTAAAAAAGTTTTATATTTTACATTTAAATCCGTGATCAATATTGAGTTAGTTTTTGTGTAAGGTGTAATACTTAGGTAAAGAAAAGTTCATTTGTAATTGTTCCAGTACCATTTGTTTTAAAGACTCTTCTTTCTCCCTTGAATTGCTTTTTGTACTTTTGTTAAAACTGTTCAGAATATTTGTGTGGGTCTAGTTCTGGGTTCTTTATTCTGTCTCATTGATTTATGTGTCTGCCCCTCCACCAGTTCCTCACAGTGTTGATTGCTGTAGCTACATAATAAGTTTTGAAATTGGGTAGATGGATTCTTTCTACTTTATCTTTCTCTTTCAAGATTGTTTTTGGTATTCTAGTTCCTTTGCTTTTCCATATAAATCATACAATAATCTTTTCTATATCTGCAAAAGTCTTGCTGGGATTTTGATGGGAACTATGTTAGATCTATATATCAGTTTTGGAGGAATTGACAGCTGTACTATGAATGCAGTGTGCCTCTCCATTTATTTAGATCTTCTTTGATTTCTTTCATCATCATATTATTGTTTTCAGCATTCAAGTCCTGTATATATTTTGTTAGATTTACATCTAAGAACTTCATATTTTTGAGCAATTATAGATGGTATATTTTAAATGTCATTGCCCACATGTTCCTTGGTAGTATATGGAAGTATAATTGATTTTTAAATGTTTATCTGGTAACCCGTTACCTTGCTGAACTCATTATTTCTAGGAGGTTTCTGTTTTTGGAAATGTCTTTGGTGCAAATAGGGACAGCTTAATTTCTTCCTTTCTCACCTGCATACCTTTTATTTCTTCTTGCTGAATTGCCATGGCTGGAACTTTCAGCACTAATTTGAATAAAAGTAGTGAGAGTGCATGTCTTAGCCATGTTCCTGATCTTTAGGAGAGAAAATACTCGGTCTTTTATCATTGAGTATAATGTTAGTCGTAGGTTTTATGTAAATGTTGCTTATCAAGTTGAAGTTTTTTTTTGTTTCCATTTTTCTGAGTTTTTATCCTCAATAGTGTTATTGAATTTTTGTCAAATACTTTTTCTGCATCAGTTGATATGATCGTGTGATTGTCCTACCTTATCCTATTAATATGGTGGATTACATTAATTGATTTTTAAATATTAAAACAGTGTTGCATTCCTGGAATAAAATCTACTTGGCCATGGTGTAAAATTCTTATTTATTGCCGAATTCTACTTGCTAATTTTTTGTTAAGAATTTTGGTGTTTATATTCATGAGGGATATTGGTGTATAGGCTTTTTTTTTTTTTGGTACTGTCTTTGTCTGGTTTTAGTAAAATAGTAGCTTCGTAAAATGGATTGAGAAATTTAAAATTGGCATTAATTTTTTAAAAAATATTTAGAAGAATTCTCCAGAGAAACCATGTGAACTTTGAGATTTCTTTTTTGAATTTTAAAATTATGAACTTAATTTCCTTAATAATTATAGGATTATTCAAATTATTTCATATTGGGCAAGTAGTGGTAGCTTCCAGTTTTGAGGAATTGGTCCATTTCCTCTAAGTTGTCACATTATATGTTTAGAGTTGTTTGCAGTATTCCCTATTTTTTTTTTTTTTGCTGCCTCTAAGGCCTGTAGTGATAGTGTTTTCTCCCTGATACTAGTAATTTGTGTCTTATTTCTTGCTGCTTTTTAAGTCCTGCCAAGGTTTGTCAATTTTATTGATCTTTTCAAAGAACTAGCTCTTCATTGATTATTGTTTTCCTACTTTCTACTTCACTGACTTCTGCTTTTGTCTTTATTATTTCCTTCTTTCTGCTTGTTTTGGGCTTATTTTGCTTTTCTACTAGGTTCTTTAAAATGGAAACTTAGATTATTGATTTGAGACTTCTGGTTTTAGTGCTACAAATTTCCCTCTCAGGTATGGCCCACAAATTTTGATATATTATATTTTTATTTTGATTCAGTTCATCGTATTTAAAAAATTTATTTGAGACTTCCTCTTTTGACACATAAACTATTTAGGAGTGTAATAGTTTCCAAGTGTTCGCACATTTTTCTGTGATCTTTATCTTTCTGTTATTGATTCCTAGTTTGATTTCATTGTGGTCAGAGAACCCACTCCATATACTTTCAATATCTTTAAATTTGTTGAGTTTGTATTATGTCCCAGAATATAATCTCTAGTCCATAGGCCCTTGTAAACAATATTTATTGTTCTATAATTGGGTGGAGTCTTATATAAATGTCAATTAGTTCTTCTTTGTTGATAGTGTTATTGAGTTCTTTTAATCCTTTCTGATTTTCTGTTTATTTCTACCAATTATTGAGGAAGGCACAGTTACTTTTGTAAGATAAAATTAGTAGCTTTCATAATACTGTTTATTTCATAATAAATAAATATTGTAGCATTTTATTCTTATAATAAGAAATATGCCGGCTGGGCATGGTGGCTCACGCCTATAATCCCAGCACTTAGGGAGGCTGAGGTGGGTGGATCACAAGGTCAGGAGTTTGAGACCATCCTGGCTAACACGGTGAAACCCCGTCTCTACTAAAAATACAAAAATTAGCCATGCTTGGTGGCGTACACCTGTAGTCCCAGCTACTTGGGAGGCCGAGGCAGGAGAATCGCTTGAACCTGGGAGGCGGAGGTTGCAGTGAGCTGAGATTGTGCCACTGTACTCCAGCCTGGGCAACAAAGCGAGACTCCATCTAAAAAAAAAAAAAGAAATATGCCTTAATTCCTCACTTTTACCATATAAAGCACATAAGGAGATTTTTCCTCAAAAATTTGTCTGCATTTGAAAGTGAATATTCAGATACTATATCCGAATGACTTGCCTTATCTATATTACTGACATTGTCATACTGATTATATATGATGTTAATATACTTGATAATACAATTATTTATCACCTACACTTTAGGAATGTCAGAAGCAGTGCATAAGTGGGCACTTAGCTGAAACCAAGCAATATGTTTTGGCAACTACCTAGGCTGAAACTGCAGTTTCACTTATCTCTGATTTAAATATAATTGTATCTTTTAAGGAAATGTGGTCATACTGTAAATACTGTCCTGCACCTTTAAAAAAATTTAGTATTGTGTCTTGAACATCGTGGCATGCCAGCACATATTGATTTATATTCTTTTTAAAGGCTGTACAATATTCCATTACATGGCCATCAGCTGGTTATAAGTATCTCTCTATTGCTGGATATTTAGGCTATATCTAATGTTTCAGTTTCACAAATAGTGCTGCAATAGATATCTTTATATCTTATTTTCTATACGTAATTTTATAGAAGATATTTATATAGGTACTCGAATTATTTGATTCTGCCTTTTTTTCCTTGAACTCTAAATACCTTCCACATTTCAGACTGACTTGGATATTTGAGATGGAAAAAAAGAACTTTCCAGTTGTATTAGTCCATTTTCATACTGCTGTGAAGAAATAACCGAGACTGGGTAATTTATAAAGAAAGTGAGTTTTAATGGACTCACAGTTCCACATTGCTGGGGAGGCCCCACAGTCGTAGTGGAAGGCGAAGGAGGAACAAAGGCACGTCTTATATGCGGCAGGCAAGAGAGCATGTGCAGGGTAACTGCCCTTTATAAAACCATCAGATCTTGTGAGACTTATTCACTATCATGAGAACCCCCCACCCCATGATTCAGTTACCCACCACTGGGTCCTTCCCACGACATGTAGGGATTATGGGAGCTGCAATTCAAGATGAGATTTGGGTGGAGACACAGACAAACCATATCACCAGTATTCAGATGTATAGAGTCATGCCAGAGTACAAACTGTTAGCCACTCGAATTTTTTTCACTGCTTTTTCTCTTCTTAATACATAGGTATAGAGTATGATTTTAAAGCCTGGCTATATCTTTTTGTTTCATTTTTCTCATTGCCAAAACTGTCTTCTTGCCATATGAACTATTTTTTTTTTCTCATTTATACTTTCTTTTCAGTTTTGTCTGATAGACTTTGAGGAATTGGTGTTGGGTAAGCCAGTCTGCAGTAACTGTCACAAATAATTAAATACAAGTATTATGTAGTGTTGAAACCCATGTTCAGAAGTTACTTATGTTTCATGTTTACAAGAGGTAATTAAATATGATAATCCATGTAAAGTGCTTATGTAAAGTGCCTATGTAGCTGACAGCAATCACTTATTCTGTGCATTTTTATTATTAGAATATTTGAATTAAAAAATTTATGATACAGGAATAAATAGCATAATAAAGTTTTCCCCAATTACTGATTTGTAACTGTACTAGTTATGTATTGCTGTGTTACAAATTACCCCCAAACCTTACAGTGTAAAACAGTGATAAACATTTATCAGCTCAGTTTTTCTGGGTCAGGAATTTGGGAGTAGGTTGGCTAGATAGTTTTGACTCAGGGTCTGTCACGAGGTTGCATTCAAAATGTTGGCTGGAGCTGTAGTCATCTAAAGACTTAACTGGGACTAGAGGACTTGCTTTCAGGGTTACTTACATGACTGGCAAGTTGGTGCTGGCTGCTGGCTGGAGGACTGTTCCTCTCTAAGTGAGCCTCTCACTGAGCTGCTTGAATATCCTCATTTGTGGTGACTGATTTTCCTTAGAATGAATGATGTAAAGGGAGCCATGAAGCTCTAATGACCTAACTTCGTAAGTCACACATTACTTCTGTGGGCACACAGACCAGCCAAATGTGGGAGGATATCTATGTTGCTTGACTTTTGGACTGACTGGTTCAGAAAGGGATGAGGGGTTAGTGTGATTTTATTTGCTCATATTTTCTTTTTTCCTAAAGTAATCTTAATTGAAGATGTCTTTTTTGTTTACTTACTAACTTCAATAAGTCATAAAAGGAAATCTGTGAAAAAACAAACAGGTTGAGTTAAACTACTTACCTGAAAAACTTCTGAAGTGCCTACTAAATGTTTGCTTAAAACATAGTTAATTCTGTGATATTTATTCATCCAGCTGCCTATCTAAGACTTCAAGCACTTTTATTTTTATGGATTTAGGGGTCTGGGTGAAGCTTACAATAATAAGCTTCAAGAACATAAATATGTTACATCATCAAATGTTTTTTGAAAAAGCTGTTGAAGAATGCTATTTATGAAAAAATCTCTTGTTCAAACAGAAACCTGGGAGGCTGAGGCAGGAGGATTGCTTGAGCACAGAAGTTCAAGTCCAGCCTGGCCAACATAGTGAGACCCTATCTCTAAATCAAATAAAAAGGAAAAGAGGTTCCATTGTGAAATAACTTTTGGGAAGTCCATGCATTGGTTGTATATCTTCCTTTCAAGATGTCTACTGCACAGTTGCATATTAAAGCTCTGGTAATTCTATCATATAAACATCTCTTTACCATTGTTTAATTCATTATTTCTTAGACTTATTTGATCATGGAACCTTTTTTCTTAACACTTTTGTAGACATACCATTATTCTGTGAAAATTTCTAACTCTTATGAAGGGTACAATAAACAATGAGAGGAGATTTCGACTATTTTGTAGTATGTTTGGGGATTTAAATAAATATAAAGATGATACTTCTAATTTATTTTCAGTAACATATACTTTGACTAATTTTTGTATAGATAGTAAAGTTCACAAATTTTTCAAATACTTAGCTCACTATTTAAAGAAAAAAAAATCTAACTTAAATAATAGATTATTAGTGAAGGTGTAAGGAAACATGAGACTATGAGTCAGATAGTCTGATTTGTAGTCTTGGCTATGAATGGACACATTTTTTTTTTGTTCCTTTATCAGCTAGATGTGATAATTGACTAATCTGTATGACTTACAGGGTTCTTGTAAGGATTAGTTATGATAGTAGAAATGGAAATCTTATATGATTGTGAGTTTGTTGATAATATTGCTGAAACTGCTAGGGCTTCTGTGCATTCTAAGAAATAGTGAAAGACCCAGAATATAGTAAGTAGAAGGAGAACAAAAACTTCAAAGGGAATATTTTCAGTTCAGCATATTAAATGACTATATTGTATTGGTAATATGATGTGTATCATTCTAGTTTACTGTCGGCTGGAGAGGTCAAAATGGTTCTCAGAGAGATATTTCTTGAGCTGGGCCTTAAGAAAACGTTAAGGTATAGTTCTTTAAAAGAAGCAAGAAAGAGGAAAGGCAATTGTAGAGAATACCAAATTTAACCTAATTTTCTGAAATGAGAAATTTCTTATACGAGACTAAATGTTCTGTGATTCCTGGGACATGGACATAGTTTTTTACAATTATGATCTTAGAGAAGGGACAGGGGAAAACCAGAGTGAGCTGAAATTTTGTCTACCCAACCCATATTGTTGTATTCGGTGAAAACATTTTAGAATTCAAATTGGGTCCTAAAACAGCAGATTTGATTTCTAGTACCTGATAATTAGGAAATATTTTGGACTCATATTTGTGTGAAGTTCTTTGGGTGGGATATGTTGAAAATTTATATTTGTTTCTAGTGACATTCTACATTTACACTTAACTGTAAATCATATTAAACTTACTCTTTTTCTTTTATATAGTATCGAACTCATAATTTTCTTTACCTGCAAGAAAAACACTTTACTGTCTTTACCTACAGAGATTTAGAATCCCAGTAGAGACAAATATTACTAAGAATTTTTTTTTTTTTTTTGAGACAGAGTCTTGCCCAGGCTGGAGTGCAATGGCTTGATTTCTGCTCACTGCAACCTCCGCCTCCCAGGCTCAAGTGATTCTCCTGCCTCAGTTTCTGAAGTAGCTGGGATTACAGGTGCCTGCCACCACACCTGGCTAATTTTTGTATTTTTATTAGAGACGGGGTTCCCCCATGTTGGCCAGGCTGGTCTTGAACTTCTGACCTCAGGTGATCCACCTGCCTCTGCCTCCCAAAGTGCTGGGATTACAGACATGAGCCATTGTAGCCAGACACTATATAAGAAATGTTTGTTCCGAAAGAAAATATGATATTTCCAAAAAAAGTCTGGATTGTATTACCACGATATCTGTAATGTTAAATTTTGTCTAAGAATAGCTTGGCAGCTGGGTGCAGTGAAACATTTCACAATAAAAAATATTTTTTAAGGCCAGGTGCGGTGGCTCACGCCTGTAATCCCAGCATTTTGGGAGGCCAAGGTGGGTGGATCACAAGGTCAGGAGTTTGAGACCAGCCTGGCCAAAATGGTGAAACCCTGTCTCTACTAAAAATACAAAAATTAGCTGGGCGTGTTGGTGGGCGCCTGTAATCCCAGCTACTCGGGAGGCTGAGGCAGGAGAATCGCTTGAACCCAGGAGGTGGAGGTTGCAGTAAGCCGATGCTGCTGAACTCCAGCCTGGGCAGCAGAGTGAGACTCCATCTCAAAATATATATATATATTTTTAAGTCATTCCATGCTGAAGACATCCCTAGGGCAGGTAGCAGAATACCTAATTCAACCTAGAGAGGCACAGGCTGCACGAGAGTCTCTCAGATAAAGCCCCATTGAAAATAAATTTACAATCTAAAATTTAAAAACCCGTTAAAAAAGCAGCACAGCATGAGGAGTCAGTAGATACACTGAAAGCAAGATTAGATCTTCAAGACTTTCAAACTATAAAATTTAGAAAATTATAATAAATTATGAAATAGAGGCCCTTTCATGTCAAAAAGTCATGAAAGAAAGAAAACAAAAAGAAGGAAAACAAAAAAGGCACTTAAAAGATTATGTAGGAAAGAGAGAAGATTACTAAGCAGATTTGAAAAATAACAACAAATAGAACTTTTAAATAAAAAGACATAGAAATTAACTCAACAGACAGATTGAAAAGTAGATTAGAAAGAATTGAATAAAGAATGTGGTAACTGAAACACTGGGGAAATTTCCAAAAGATAGCAGAGAGAGGCAAGGAGATAGCAAATACAAAATAAGTTGTATTTTAAAAATGTATGTGTAAAATATATAAAAGTACTTAAAAGTATTAAAAAGTACTTAAAAAGATATGTGTAAAGTATATAAAAGTACTTAAAAACCATTAAAATGTACCTGCATATATCCAATACCAGGTTAACAATAGAACAATATTTTTACTTGGAATCTCTTTTTCTTTGCTAAAACAATTATCTTTATTCTAACTTTGTTTTGTTTTGTTTTTTTGAGAAAGCATCTTGCCCTGTCACCCAGACTGGGGTGCTGTGGCATGATCATAGCTCACTGCAGCTTTGAACTCCTGGGCTCAGGCAGTCCTCTTGCCTCAGCTTCCTGAGTAGCTTGGACTATTGGCATGTGCCACCTGCCAGGCTATTTTTTTTTTTTTTTAAGAGACCAGGTCTTGCTATGTTGCCCAGCCTGGTCTTGAACTCCTGGGCTCAAGCAGTCCTCCTGCCTCAGCCTCCCAAAGTACTGAGATTACAGGCATAAGCCACTATGCCCAGCTCTTTTGCTAACTTTGATGTGAGTCATTCCTTTGTTTGTTTTTTTTTTTAAGTTTATTATCTACGTATATATTCCTCAGCAATATATTGTTCTTTTTGGAAAAACTGAGTACCAATCACAAACCTATTTTTTGACATTGAAGTTTTTATTTTTATGGATTTAGGGGTATAAGTTCAGTGTGTTACCTTGATATATTGAGTTATGGTGAAGTCTGGCCTGTTAGTGTACCCATCACCTGAATAGTGCACATTGTACCCAATAGGTGATATTTCACCCTCACCTCCTTTCCATTATTTGGAGTCTCCAGTGTCTATTATTTCACTCTGTATGTCTGTGTGTATCCATTCCGCAAACCTCTTTCTCTAAGGAGAGTACGGTGTTGTAGGAAGGTCTGGGTGAAGATAAGCTGAACAGAGTCTCTGGGTCGTGGTTTGGCTTTTCTAAGAGTTCTTGACAATGCTTACTGGGGAATTTAGTGGGTAACATCAAAAATAAACCTTGGGAGATGTTGGGATGTATTAGTTTGTTAGGGCTGTGTAATAAAGTACTAGAAATTAGGTTGCTGAAACAATGGAAATTTATTCCCTCAGTTCTGTGGGCTAGAAGTCTAAGATAAGTGTGTTGGCATGGTTGGTTCTGAGAATTGTGAGAATCTGTTTCATGTTTCTTTCCTGACTTCTGGTGATTTGCTGGCAATCTTTGACATTCTTTGGCATATAGAAGTATCACTGTAATCTCTATCTTCATTTTCACATGATATTTTCTCTGTGTACATGTGTCGAGCACAAATTTTCCCTCTTTATAAGGGTAACAGTCATATTGGATTAAGACCCACCCTAATGACCTCATCTTAACTAATTACATCTGTAGCAATCCTATTTCCAAATAAGATCACATTTTGAAGCACTGGAGGTTAAGAATTGAACATATGTCCTCTTGGAGAACACAATTCAACCTGTAATGGGGCATCTGGCAAAGTGTCATAGTGGCACAGTAGTGTAGAGCATATATGAAGCTATCCAGTAAGAATATAGTCAGGGAATAGGCTGTTCTGTGGTTTCTCAACTTACCAGGGCACATAACCAACTATCAAAAGTAGGTCAAAAAAGACACTTTTGGTGAACTAACACCTGCTATGGTATAAGAATGGGGAATAAGGATACATCATTTGAGATAGTTATAGATAATATATATTTTTTAATTTCTGAGAAAATGCAGTGAATAGCATCTATATTAGTCAGAATATAGGCTTTTAACTGATAGAACAGAGAGGCCCAAATTAACAGTGGTTTCTGCAAAACAGAAATGTATTTGTCCTTCAGGTGAAAGTCTGGGTAGCGGGCTAGTGTGGCAGTTCTATGATTGCCAGGATCCATAGATCGATTTGCTCTTTTATCTTCAACATAAGACACCTTCAATTCCAGGATGGCTACTGTAGCTCTTGCCACTATTCTGCATCTTAAGCAGTAGGAAGGAGCGTAGCTGGAAAAAGGGGTCAGGTTTCTTTCTTTAAAGAATAATACCTAGAGGTTGCACGTATTTACTGCCTGTTGGTCAGAACTTGGTCACATGGCTGATCAGGAATGCTTTTCATTCAAGAAAAGCTGGAGAGTGAGATCTTTTTCCTGGGCTCTGTGTGCCAAACTAGAAACTCTTTATTATTATGGAAGAAGGAAATATAACCTGGGAGTCAGTGCAGTCTGTGTCACAGCTTTGTAATTTTCCCTCAACTTCTCCTTATTAGTAAGTTTCCAGTGGCTGTAAACATATACAAGGTAACATTCACTTAGGAAAGGATTCCTGGAGAAAAATTGGATATCTTGAGGTTGACACTTTTAAAACCTGAATATGTTTCTGAAGGATGCAGATAAATAAAAGAAGCTTACTCTTAGTTAATTTTATAAATAAATAGGTTCAGAGAAAAAAGCAATTTTGACATTTTTAGACAGGTGTTAACTACACCTGTCATAATAGATAGGTCACAAGAAAGTATCTAGTTAGGGTCAGAAGCTGTGATTACACCCTGTCCTTTTTTTTTTTTTTTTTAAACTATACCATACTCCTGCCCCACCTTTGAGGAAAAATTTAGCAAGTTTCCAGTGAGTTGTCCAGGGAGAACAGAGCTTTACTTTGAAGTATTTGAATTTTCTGTGAGTCACACAGTATTCCAGTTGTATTAATCTTTTGAAGAGAAGATAATTATTTTTGATCTCCATGTTTGGTCTTTAGATTTTCCGAATATACAGGTAATTTAGATTAGTGACTAATGTCAGCTTAAAGTATTTTATTAGTATCACTATTGAGAAGAAAAATAATCATGCTCAATTAAAGTCCTCATACAAAACTTATAAAGGTTTATTTGAATTCTTCGAATAAGTTGCTTTAAAATTTCTATAACCTTATGCATTAAAGTATAACCTATAGAAAGCATGTTATGCCACCCTGAAGGCTGCTATAAAAATTGTTTATGAAGTTCAGGCCAAGACTAAAATATGTTGAAATGGAGAGTTTTGAAAAATGTTCTATATAGCAAAGGAGACCAAATCATGCTAAAATGTAGAAAAAGACTATACATCAGTTTCCATGCTACATTATTCAAAAAAATACAACCATAAAAAAGGTAATAAGATTACATTTTCACATTTCATGGCTAGTAAAGTGCATTAGGCTGCTCAGATATTCATAACTTACTGTGACATTTGGGAAGATTACATTTTGTAGTGCAGAGCCATTACTACAGCTCAGATAATAACTAGCCAATGCCTGTACCTGGATTATGATCCCTGTCATTGGAAACAAATTTGTGTTTTGAAGGTTGATCAGCTTCAAATAACTATTAGAAAGGGTTAACATGACATACTGTAGACCCTGTGCATGTTTTTTAGGTATAATAGATATGCATACATATAGTATATCAAATATGCCACACATTTGTATGTACAAATTTCTGCCATCAATTTCTCCTTGAAAGGCATATTTTATAGTATTTAAAGCAATGGAGGAATATTTAAAACACCTGTCTGGATATTGCTCTCACCATTATAATCTCAGTTTAAAAGCTGGTGAAATATTTGGGGCTTTTTTTGGAAATTACTTTCAAAAATCTATAGCTTCTTGAAAGGGTGGTTACTTATAGGAATGATTGATGTAAGTAATATTAAGATGAAGGTAAGGTCTCTTATGTTAGTTGTAACGAGGTTTTTGACCAATTTAGATCGCATGGAGGATATGTAATTGTTAGAAGAAAATTTCACACTATTAAAACTCTCTCCAGACATTATCTTCTTGGCAGTAAATTGTTTCAGATTTATTGGTTGGTTTCCCTTATATGAAATGATGTACAATTGTATGTGGGTGTTGTAAGAAGTACTTTATTGTATTCAGTGGACAAGGTTTAGTTTCTGTCTTCTAGAAAATACTGTTGAAGAGTTTGTCTTTTTTATTGTTGTATCTAGATGATTTTCATAAAATATTTTCTCTTTGAGCTTTCCTTTCACTAAAAAGTTATTTTGAAGTTATAATCATTATATAATTATGGAATTACTAGTTTTGTATGGCCTTAGAGATTTTTGTTTTTTTCTGCTACTTTTCTGAATCACTGCAATTCTTTTCCACAAGAAGGTTTTCTTGTGTCTGAAGATTCTGTCACTCCTTAATTTTACATTCTTCTGTGTGGATTCTTTTAAATTATCTTCCTGAGAATACTGGTGTTCTTGGACCTGGACCAGACCTTTCTACTGCTAAAATTGATTAAAAATTATCTTTACCAAATTTACAGGTTGAAGTTCATGGAATTAATTTTCTCAGTTTTGAATTTTTCCTCTTAATTTTTCTTAATCATTGGCATCTGCTGCTGATTGTTATTCCTCACATTTAATAAAAGATTGTCTTGACTTAACACAATTATATGTTTAGTTAGTATTACCATATTGCTTTCTGGAAATATTTCAACAGGAGTGTATGAAAGTATCTGTTTAATCTTGTTCTCACCTACTTTGAGCATTAATAATTTCAAACAAAGTTAAATTCATTTAGTATTTTTTTTTTGCAAGTGTCATTTGGATTTTTTTTTTGTGAATTGACTGTTCATGTCTTCCTAAACATTTTTTTCACCAAATTGAAAATACTTTATTTCTGTACCACTTTTTATTTCTACAGCTTAATGAGTTTTGTACTCTTTGAGAATTTCTTATATTTGTGGCTTCTAATTTAACTTTTGATATTTTAAGTTATCTAGAATTTATTTTGGCATATTTTGTAAGATAAGGATTCAGTCTTAATTTTTTAAAATGAAAATTTCATAGCTCCATTTAATGCTTGTGATGACACTCTAATCCTATATTGAAGTTATTTGTACCAACCTTTTATTTTAATTAGATTATTTTCTGTCTAGTACCATACAGTTTTAATAATTATGTTATACCATTTGTTTAATGATTCTAGTATTCTTTTTGTATAGAATTTCCCTTCACTTTTTTCATATATTTAATTCCCAGATAGAAATTAGAATCACTATAAGTTTCAGAAAAAAATCATATTGGAATTTTAATGGTAATGTGCTGAATTTATAGATTAATTTGTGAAAAGTTAACAACTTGAACTGATTTAATATTCCCATCCAGAAACAGGTCTGTTCATTTATCAAAAGTGGAAAAAAATTTCTTTACTTTCAAGTCTTGTGTATGTTTTAATACACTCCTAGATACTTTATACTTATAGTTGGTATCAGAAATGTTGTTTTAAAACTCTTGTATTTTCTGTTAGATATTATAGGTATTTAGGAAAACTTATGAATGTTATATATTTTATATTTATACAAAATGACATTTTGAGCTGAAGTTACTACTTGGTGTCATTCCTATATTATATATTTTCATGGAGAAAGAGATTTCCAGTTTGGAAACCAGAAGTCTAGTATTTTCTTTTCTTCTTTTTTTTTTTTTTCGTGAGACGGAGTTTTGCTTTGTTGACCAGGCTGGAGTGCAATGGGGCAATCTCGGCTCACTGCAGCTTCCACCTCCTGGGTTCAAGCGATTCTCCTGCCTCAACCTCCTGAGTAGCTGGAACCACAGACATGCACCACCACACCTGGCTAATTTTTTTTTTTTTTTTCTGAGATGGAGATTTACTCTTGTTGCCCAGGCTAGAGTGCAATGGCGCGATCTCGGCTCACCGCATCCTCCACCTCCCAGGTTCAAGCGATTCTCCTGCCTCAGCTTCCCGAGTAGCTGGGATTACAGGCATGTGTCACCATGCCCGGCTAATTTTGTATTTTTAGTAGAGACGGGGTTTCGCCGTGTTGCCCAGGCTGATCTCAAACTCCTGACCTCAGGTAATTTGCCCGCCTCGGCCTCCCAAAGTGCTGGGATTACAGGCGTGAGCCACTGTGCCCGGCCTAATTTTTGTATTTTTAACGGAGCTGGGGTTTCACCATGTTGGCCACACTGGTCTCGGAACTACTGACCTCAGGTGATCCACCCACCTTTGCCTCCCAAAGTGCTGGGATTACAGATGTGAGCCACCGCACCCAGCCATTTTCTAAATAAGCAATTAAAAAAGATTTCTGTAGGATATAAGACACAGTGTTCCTGCAAATACGGGTAGGCTATTTCTGTCTTATTGATCACTGTTCCACTATTTCCTCAGGGCCTGGCATACTGTAGGCATTCAGTAAAAGTGTGTTGAATGAGTTTATAAATTTATTATATAGTAGAGGTTTGTATTTTGTGATTGTTTTCTGCAGATGTGTTGTATCTGTTATTTTTTACTTAAGTATGTTCTATGAAGGCCAATAGCTAGCCAATGTGCCTCAATATGTAAGTATGAGATTTTTACAGCTTGAGCCCATCTTGATAGGTTTTGTATGTGTTCTGATTGCATGGTGCCTGCACTGTGCCAGTTGTTAAATATTTGAATAATGCCTCTGCAATGTCATTGTTATATTGTGCTGAATTATTTTTGACTCAGTGAGTAATTTGTTAGAAATAGGTTACTTGAGAAATCCCAAACGTTTGTATTAATACCATTTGTATTTATGATGATTTCATAAGCTCTACAGTTCACATCAGTGGTGTTTTGTGCATTTGCTTTTTTTTTTTTGAGACAGGGTCTTGCCCTGTCGCCCAGGCTGGAGTGCAGTGGCACAATCTTGGGCTGCTGCAACCTCTGCCTTTCGGACTCAAGCCATTCTCCCACCTCAGCCTCCAAGCAGCTGGGACTACAGCCACATGCCACCACACCCAGCTAATTTTTTGTTTTATTTTTGGTAGAGATGGGGTCTCGCCATGTTGGTTCAAGACCCCAGGCTGGTCTTGAACTCTCTGAGTGCAACTGATCTGCTCTCTCGGTTTCCCAAAGTGCTGGGATTACAGGCATAAGCCACCCTACCTGGCTGCATTTGCTTCTTTTTAAATTGTTTTTTTTGAAATAAGTAATATGTGTTCATGGCACAAAATTCAAATTGTTCAAAAGTGTATGTACTAAAATCTTTTTTTTGCCTTCTATGCAATAGATCTTTTCCAGAGACAATCGATATTTAGTTCATTCTTAGACATATTTAGCACATGCATAGGTCTATGTGTAAATGATTTACACTCAAATTGTAGCCTACTGTTCACACTTTTCTCCACCTTGATTTTCTCACAGTATCTTAGAGATCTTTTCATATCATGTGGAGTGGCCTCATTCTTTTCTATATGTACATCATATTTCATTGTATAGTTGTATACAACTTCATTAACTTTTTTTTTTTTTTTTTGAGACAGAGTCTTGCTCTGTTGCCCAGGTGACTCACTGCAACCTCCGCTTCCTGGGATCAAGCAATTCTTGTGCCTCAGCCTCCCAAGTAGTTGGGATTACAGGCACGTGTCACCATGCCTGGCTAATTTTTGTATTTTTAGTAGAGACGGGGTTTCACCATGTTGACCAGGCTGGTCTTGAACTCCTGACCTCAAGTGATCCACCCACCTTGGCCTCCCAGAGTGCTGGGATTACAGGAGTGATCCATCATGCCAGGCTGTCATTAACCTTTATCTTGTAATTTAAAAAGAGTCAATACAATGAAGTTCTTGTATCTAACATCATTATGTTAGATACATAAATGTGTCTATAATATACATTTCTAGTAGTTTGATTGCTGTTTCAAAAATAAAAAATTTTGATAGATATTACCAAATTGCTATTTTTTTGTTTTTCTTTTTTTTGTTTTGAGACAAGGTCTCACTCTGTCACCCAGTCTAGAGTGCAGTGATGCGATCTTGGCTAACTGCAACCTCTGCCTCGTGGGTTCAAGTGATTCTTGTGTCTCAGCCTCCCAAGTAGATGGGGCTAAAGGTGTCTGCCACCACGCCTGGCTAATTTTTGTATTTTTAGTAGAGATGGGATTTTGCTATGTTGCCTTGGCTCATCTTAAACTCCTGCGCTCAAGGGATCCACCTGCCTCGGCCTCCCAAAGTCCCGGGATTACAGGTGTGCGCCAACGTACCCAGCCCCAAATTGCTCTTAATAAGTCATATTGTACCTGTTTCCTCAACAACAGTAATGTATGACAGTACCTGTTTCCTCATGTTCTTGCACATACTATGTATTATTTTTATATGTTGTTAGAGATTTGGAATTTGTCAATCAAATATGTAAAAATGGTATATTAGTGTATTTTTAATATTCATTTTGTAAGCAAAGTTGGGTTTCATGTTTTAGTGCCACTTTTATTTACCTTTTTGTTCATTGCCTTTGCCTAAATTTTCTTTTTTTTTTTTTTAACACCCTAGTTCCCACAAGCAGATATATTTTCTTTTAAAAATTTTTTTTCAGGAAGCTATTTGTGCTTATGTAATGATATGGGTTGCAAATGATTTTTCTAAGTGTTTAATTTACTTTTTGATTTTTTTTTGCATATAGAGTTTCTGATTATTATGTAGTTAAATATGTCAATATGAAGTCCAGAAATCTTAAAAACTCTTAGTTAGAAAAGCTTTTACCACTTGAAGTGATAAAATGTTTTTTGTATCATTTCATTCAGTGCTTTTATTTAATTAATTTTTATTTTTAGAGACATGTCCTGCTCTGTCACCCAGGCTAGGGCTCAGTGGCATGATCATAGCTCACTGTAGCCTTGAAGTCCTGCACTCACATGACTCTCCCGCCTTGGTCTCCCAGAAGTGCTGGGATTACAGGCATGAGCCACCACGCCTAACCCATTTAGTGCTTTTATAAGTTTTATTTTAGACTCATTTTATGACTTCAGTTTTACATTTAAATCTTAGACTCATTTGGAAATTTTTTTATGGTATGAGGGATTGATTGATGATTTTTTTTCCCCCAGATATTTGAATATAGCTATCCCTAAACTTATTTTTTTTTTAGACAGGATCTTGCACTGTCACCCAGGCTGGAGTGCAGTGGTGTGATCTCACTTTAGTCTTGAACTCCTGGGCTCAAGCAATCTTCCCACCTCAGCCTCCTGAGTACTAGGGCTGCATGTACCCACCACCATACCTGGGTAATTTTTTTTTTTTTTTTTTGAATATGGAGACAGAGTCTGGCTGTGTTGCCAGACTGGTCTCAAACTCCAGGCCTCAAGTGATCCTCCTGTCTTAGCCTCCCAAAGTTTTGGGATTATAGGTGTGAACCACCATGCCCAGCCACTAACCTTTTGATGAAATGATCTTTGTTCTATTTGCATGTCACTTTTATCATATAATAATATATAAATATAGATATGTAATTATAAAATTATAAAACTTATAATAACAATAACCACCACCGTCAGCCAAGCATTATTAATAATAAGCACCTTATTCATATACATGCCTTTTTTTAAATCTTTTTATGAGTGATATCTGTAGATTGGTTAATGGTATTGTAAATGTTAATTTCCTGGTTTAAATAACTGTACTATGATTATGTAATATATATACATTGGGGAAGCTGGATGAAGAGTATAAAGGAATTCTGTACTTTTTTTGAATGTTCGAAATTATTTCAAAATAAAAAGTTACAGACAATATTAGGAAATAATACAAACAAAACCAAAACAGCTATATTAAAGTTCTTATTTGAATTGTGTATTTTTAAAATTTACAAACAACATATTTACAGACAATATAATCTAATTCAACCAGTTCAAGTAGAATGGAATATTTCATAGTATAATAGATAGCTTATAGCGTTTATCCAGGAGGACTAGGGAACCAAGCACGTATACTTTTTAGCTACGGCCATGTAACTAGGAGAATTGACTCCATCACAAGGAGAGACTGTTTTAGCAAAATCCCAGCTGTCATCTCCTAACACTGCTTGGTAGTGATGATACAAAGCATTGTATGCTGAGATCTCTACCAGAGCTTTCTGAGAAAGATGAAATGTCTTTATCACTGTGCTTGCCAGGAGTTCTTGTCTCTCTGCATGCAGGTACAGATCCTCACATTGTTCATTTCCATTTTTTTCAGTCTCATGCCTGTGTATATTTTTGTCAGAACCTGGGATACATGTTGTTGATCCTGCTGAATGGAATTTTAATTTATTTCCTAGTTTTGAACCTTCCTTGCTTTCCTGGACTAAACTCCACTTGGTCATGTCTGTTATTCTTTATAAGAGCCATTGGATTTATTTTTATTTTTATTTTTTTTTGAGATGGAGTCTTGGTCTGTTGCCTAGGCTGGAGCTCAATGGCATGATCTTGACTCATTGCAACCTCTGCCTCCCAGGTTTAAGTGATTCTCCTGCCTCAGCCTCCCAAGTAACTGGGACTACAGGCACATGCCACCATGCCTGGCTAAGTTTTTGTATTTTTTTGTTTTTTTTTTTTGAGACGGAGTCTCGCTCAGTTGCCCAGGCTACAGTGCAGTGGCACAATCTCAGCTCACTGCAATCTCTGCCACTCAGGTTCAAGTGATTCTCCTACCTCAACCTCCTGAGTAGCTGGGATTACAGGCGCATGCCACCACGCCCAGCTAATTTTTGTATTTTTAGTAGAGATGGGGTTTCACCGTGTTGGCCAGGCTGGTCTTGAACTCCTGACCTCAGGTGGTCCGCCTGCCTCGGTCTCCCAAAGTGCTGGGATTACAGGCATGAGCCACCACGCCCTGCCGGATTTGTTTTTTAAAGTTCACTTTCTTCTAATTATTGCATACCTTTTGGGTATGCAGTTTGGAAATGCATAATGAAAAATCAAGAAGTATTCAGAAAGAAGCGTAGGTGAATCATGTGTGTAGCTATTTCTGACAGAGATCTTTAAAAAATCTAGTTGATAGCATTATTGTATACCTTAAATATATGTATTTTTAAATTAAAAAAATTTAAATTTAAAAAAATTTATTTAAAAAATCTAGTTAAATGAGATAGCTCTACAAAGGTAATTCTAAAAGTATTTTAATTCCTTTACACAATTACGATTTATTTAAAATTTACGAACCTTCCCTCTGTATGGGGAGGCTCTGGGTGAGATGACAAGGCCTGTATAGCTATAGCGTTCTGATAGTAATATCAGTGAAATACATTTTCTTGGTTACTGACTTTGGATATGTGACTAATTATATGTAAGTTATACTGATTATCTACAGAGGAGAGGTAAAATGAATAGGCTTAATAAACCAAAAATTTGACTAATATAAACTCCAATGTGTGACCACTCTGAGCCTTTTTCAGCTTTTCAGTTTTACCGTGAGCTCATAAGTTGTTTGGGTAACAAAGGACCTTTAGATTATTCAGTGTAGTTCACAGATTTGATACTTCATAAATGAAAGACTGGATGAGAAGCAATTGTAGAGTTGATTTAGATCTTTATTGGTAACAGGTTAGTAGATAGCAATTTACCTAAGACATCCTATATTTGTTTTTGTTGAAAAATATTTTAATTTTTATATTCTCTTACTTTGCTGTCTAAATTTGGAGATTACTTCAGAAACTTCAGTTTTTTGAGCTGCATGTTTTTTAATGAACCTTTTGATGTGGAGGAAGAATGTGAGTAGTTATTGTTAATCTAATGTTTAGGAACATGCTATAGTGATATTGAGGATACTAATGCTTTTAATGTGTTTTTTTTTTTTCCTTGTAAGTTGGTAGGAGGACAGTTTGATCTGGAAATGAATTTCATTATCCAAGAAGGTGAGAGTATTAACTGCATGGTGGACCTACTGGAAAAATGTGACATTACGTGCCAAGCAGAAGTCTGGAGCATGTTTACAGCCATTCTGAAGAAAAGCATACGGAATCTTCAAGTCTGCACTGAAGTAGGCCTTGTTGAAAAAGTGCTTGGGAAAATTGAAAAAGTTGACAATATGATAGCAGGTATGATTTTTTCTATAGTACAATATATGCAAAGAAATAAAGTTTGATTTTCAAATACATATTTTTCTTATTCCATTTAGCAATATTTAAGAAATATTTGAGCATGTAGCATGCACCTAGAACTTTAGTGTCCAAGCCCTTAAATAAGCACAGTTTATTTTAAATATTCGAGAAATATAACTAGCTGAGTTATTTTATCGTTTTCTTTTGTTTCCAGATCTTTTGGTTGACATGTTGGGAGTGCTGGCTAGCTATAATTTGACAGTTCGCGAGCTAAAGCTTTTCTTCAGTAAACTTCAAGGAGATAAAGGACGATGGGTAAAAAAACTTAAGTACTCTTTGGTATTTTAAAGTATGCTCCTCCCAAACACATTCGTAGCTTGTAAAGTAACTGATATTATTATACATGGGATAATTGTCAAATTGAATAGATTAATTAAAATAGCATTGAGATCCCTGTGGCTACTCGTGCCATACTTGGACACTAAGAGTATGCACTAAGATAATGGTGTTTCAGGCAAACTGGTAATTTAATTCTTCTTCAAAATGTTGTTCTTTAAATGTACATTCAATATTTATTAGAAAAAAAGATAAATGTAGAGAAAGAAAAGTATTAGGTAGTAGTACCTACCTTTTCTTCTTTTTGATCTAGTTTTATCTGAGTGGCTTAAACTTGAGTAACTCACTCCGTGAACAAAACCTCTGCAGTTAATTGGATCTACCCTCTTGAGATGCAACTTAGGAGTCATTTGCAATGGGTAGTGATGGGGGTGAACTTATTTTGAACCCCAGGTGCCTTATCAAACTGTTTCTTCCACCATATAGTTATCTGTCCCATTGAAGAGGAGTAGTAAATATTTTCTCCATTTTTGTTGCATTTCCAATCTTATTTTAGTGCCCTTTAGAGATCATTGCCCACAGCAACAGCTCAGCCAGCTGATCCTTAATCTAGCTTTCATTAAATGTATCTAAAACTGTGCCCTACAATTACTCTTTTTCATTATGTTAAAATTTAGATTCTTTAGCATATTTCTCTCAAACTCCAGTTTACTGTCTAATTTTAGTTTTTTTTACTAATTTTCATTGAATTTGATTATATTTCTGGTTCTAGCTTACCTTGTGTTTATCTTCTTAGAGTTTTTGCTTCTGTGGGGGTATAAGATAATTGTCACAAAATTTGGAAACATTTTAGTCATTGTTTCTTCAAATACTGTCTTCTTGTCCCCGCTTCCTGTCTTTTCTGGGACTCCAATTACAGATATATTAGACCTCTTGATATTTTCTCACAGGTTACTGGGATCTGTTAACTCTTTTTTTAATCTTTTTGTGCTTTATTTTAGATAGTTTTTATTGCTGTAGTCTCAAGTTAACTGATCTTTTCTTCAGCAGTGTGTTAATTCCATCCACTGAAATTTCAGATAGTATATTTTTCTTTCTGTAAATTTTTTTTTTTTTTTTTTTAAGGCAGAGTCTCGCTCTGTTGCCCAGCCTGGAGTGCAGTGCCATGATCTCGGCTCACTGCAAGCTCTGCCTCCCGGGTTCATGCCATCCTCCTGCCTCAGCCTCCCAAGTAGCTGGGACTACAGGCGTATGCCACCAAGTGCGGCTAATTTTTGTATTTTTAGTAGAGACGGGGTTTTGCCATGTTAGCCAGGATGGTCTCGATCTCCTAACCTTGTGATCTGCCCGCCTTGGCCTCCCAGAGTGCTGAGATTACAGGTGTGAGCCACCGCGCCTGGCCTTTTTTTTTTTTTTCTTTCTTTTGAGACGGAGTCTTGCTCTGTCGCCAGGCTAACGTCCAGTGGTGCGATCTCTGCTCACTGCAACCTCCACCTCCTGGGTTCAAGCAATTCTCCTACCTCAGCCTCCTGAGTTGCTGGGATTACAGGCGCACACCACCACGCCTGGCTAACTTTTCTATTTTTAGTAGAGACAGGGTTTCACAGTGTTGGTCAGGATGGTCTCGAACTCCTGACCTTGTGATCCACCCGTCTTGGCCTCCCAAAGTGCTGGGATTACAGGCATAAGCCACCATGCCTGGTCTCTTTCTGTAAATTCTATTTGGTTCTTTTAAATATTTTCCATTTTTTCCCTCATTTAATTCCTTTAAATCCTTGACAATATTTAGCATATGAATAGTTGCTTTAATGCTCTTGGTTTTTCATTCTAGAATGTCATTTTCTAGGTCAGTTTTTTACTCATTGATTTTGCTCCTTTATGTAGGTCACATTTTTCTGCTGCTTATGGCTACTGAATTTAGACAATATATCAGACATAGCAAATTTTATGTTGCTGAGTGTTGGATTTTGTCATATTCCTTTTAAGATTGTTAGACTGGTTTTGTAGGCAGATAAGTTATTTGTGGATCAACTTTATCCTTCAAAACTAGTTTAAAAGTTTTTTTTCCAGTAAGGTTTAGAGTGGCTGTTACGCTACGGCTAGTTTAGTTTTACTATTCAGGCGTGTCTCTTAGAGGGTCTCTATTGAATAACTCTCAAGTCTCAGACATAGGACAGGAGGTAGCAAGACTGTGGTCTCTCCGAAGTGTCTAGTAGGGTCTCAACAATTCCTAGCTCTGTATTAGTTTTGGGAATTCTTTAACTTAAAGCTCTTACTATCTTAGCCCCACCATGTTGAGTTTTATCATAAGCATGATCAGTCTGGTATTAAGTCAAAGAGTCAATGCAGATTTCTGGAGCTTCTTGTCTGTTCAGTTCTTTCCTCCCTAGTATTCTTCTCTGAAACTTCTATCTTCTGTGGACTCCACTTTCTTTCCAACTCACTGAGACTTTCGGGTTCTGTTTGGTTTCCCTGTGCAATGATATGGAAATTGACTCCAGGTTTAAGTCATTTTGTTTTCTCAGGGAACACAGTCTTGAGCTACCTCTTCCTGCATACTGAAAACTGTTTTTGTTTGATACATTTTGCCCACTTTTCTAGTTGTTTATGGTAGGTTGGTAAGTCCAGGTCCTATTAATATGTCGTGTCCAGAAGAGAAAGTATATATTTGATTTTGGTTTTTATTTATATTCACATTATTTATTCTGAATATGTAATGTATTTTTATTATATTCATAAGCATAGAAAATTATAGGTAAGAAAATAGCAAATAATATGAACTAATATTTATTTACAGAGGTAGAAACCCCACAACCAAATGAACACAAAATCATTAATAATTAGAGACATTCACATTAAAACAGTATTGATATTGTCACCTTCCATCTGTAGTTTCTCAAGAATTTTAAAGTTGGAAAATGGCAAGTATAGTTTGGGATATAGGGTTATTTTATACTTGGTGCGCTTTTCATTAGAATGAACACCAGTGGAGCCAACCTCAAGAGGAGTCTAGTGCTACTTAGTCATGTTAATTTTACCTGTATCCAGTGATTTAATAATTCACTTCTGAGTGCGTATTCCAAGAAATTCTCACATAGATCCATAAAATACATGAGGATGTTCACTGAAGCATTATTTTTGATGGCAGTGAATGTTAACATGGATGTTCATCATTAAGAGAGTGGATTGGTAAAATGTATAGAAGGTAGATTGTTCTATAACAGAATCAGTACATGGAGTAATAGGAATAGATGTAAAATATATAGGAAAGAAAGCAATGATAAGTGTAAGCACATAAAAACCTTTTTTTCTTTTCTTTTTTTTTTTTTTAAAGACAGGGTCTCACTCTCATCCAGGCTGGAGTGCAATGGTGTGATCATGGCTCACTGCATTCTCAGCTTCCTGGTATCAAGAGATCCACCTCAGCCTCCCAAGTAGCTGGGACCACGGACATGTGCCACCATGCCAGGCTAATTTTTGCATTTCTTTTAGAGGCTGGGTTTTGCCATGTTGTCCAAGCTGGTGTCAAACTCCTGAGCTCAAGCAGTCCTCCCAGAGTGCTAGGATTACAGGCATGAGCCACCACACTCAGCCCCAAACATTATTTTTGAAGGAATAATCTACATAAAAAAGATTAAACATGTTAATATAGTTGCCTATGGGGAGGGGGAGGAGAATGAGAATAGTTTTAGATGATAAAGGGAAAAAATAATGAACTATTTATAAAATGAGAGCAAGGCCTTGCTCAGATACTCATTACGTTTATTTAGTTATTTAATATTAGGCATATTATTTCTATCGTTTGCTGTTATAGCAGTGCAGTGAAAAAATCCCTATATCTAAATCTCTGTCTGCCCTTGTGGTGATTACTTTAGCATAGATTTTTACATGTGGAAATATTGCATTGGTGGACATGAACGTCTTTACGGACTCTTGAAATATGACTACTACATCTTTTTCTTTTCCTCTTTCTTTTTCTTTTTCAGACAGAGTCTTGCTCTGTTACCCAGGTTGGAGTACAGTGGTGCTATCTCGGCTGCCTGCAACCTCTGCCTCCTGGGTCAAGCAATCCTCCCACCTCAGCTTTCCAAGCAGCTGGGACCACAGGCACTTGCCACCATTCTTGGCTAATTTTTGTATTGTTTTCTAGAGATGGAGTTTCTCCATGTTGCCCAGGCTGGTCTCAAACCCCTAGGCTCAAGCGATCCCTCCACCTTGGCCTCCTAAAGTGTTGAGATTACAGATGTGAACCACTGTGCCTGGTCTACTAAATTTTTTTCTGAAAGGCTTTACCAGTACAGTATACACTCCCCCAGCAATGTCTGTCAAGTAAAGTGCTTATCTTAATGTATTCTTTTGTTGACTGATTTATAGGAAAGGAAATTTGGAGGAATGATGTTTCTAGATGGACATGCTATAATACTGTATTTTTATTTTTAACTGCAGAGTTATTTTTGGTTACTTTATTTTACTTTGGAATTTATTTTAAAAAATCACTGTGATTGTAGTTACTTGTTATTATGCTTTTACAATTGAGCAGTATGGTTAATTGAAAATTTCTTGTTCACTTAAGAATGAAGCTTCCACTTAATATTTAGGTGAAAGGTTGCCAAACTCTTTTACACAGGTAGTAATTATAATTTATATCATCTATAAAAATAAGATGAAGGCAAACCAATGATTTCATTTGTAGTTTGACCCTGTTTTGAACTTTTACATTTTTAACAAGGAGGAATGCCCCACACTTTTCTTATTTGGTTATAAACTGATTAAAATGAGATAGTATGTCTGATTATCTTTTGTTTTTCCTTGTAACTGCAAATGAGATTTTTCATTTTTATTGTTGGTTGTTTCATGTATTAGAGACTTGTGGACCAAGGAAACATTAATCAAATAAACTCAGCGTTGCAGCTTTTATATGTATATGCTATGCGTATACATATATTTATATGCTATGCGGTAAAGGTATATTGTAGAATGAAATATGATAGGGAAGTTTAATCCACTCTCAGTTTCAAGGAAGGCTACCCTGAGGAAGTGACTGTTAAGATGAGCTCTAAAGGCTGGGTAAGATTGACTTGGATAAGAGGGGAGTACAGGGGTCCTTTTGAGAACATTTTAAGCATAAGGAATAGCTTTTGCTGAGGCCCTGTTGTGGGAAGAAGACTGAAAAAAGGATGGAGTGCAGGGAGAAGGGGAGAGTAAGAAGCAAAATGAGGCTAAAGAAGTAGATAAAGTATCTTATAGTCCATGTTAAAGGTTTTGGTCCCTATTTTAATGGTGAAAGTATAGTTGTTTTTTTTTTTTTTTGACTTTACGATGGTGTGAAAGTGATATGCATTCAGTATACTCCTTCACTTAGGATGGGGCTACCTCCGGCTAAACCCATCTTAAGTTGACAATATTTTGGATCAAAAACATACTTTCGATTTACATTCTTTTCAACTTACTGTGGGTTTATCAGGATGTAACCCTATCGTAAGTTGAGGAGCATCTGTATAGTTGTTTAAAAGCATGGACTCTGGAGTCAAGATTGAGTTCTCATCCTGACCTTGACAGTTATTACCCATGTGACTTTGGAAATGTTCCCCTGCCTCAGATTCTTCTTCTGTAAACTGCGGATAATCATAATAATACCATCCCATAGGGTGGTTATGAGGTTAAAATATTTTAGTGTTTTTGAAGTACCATTTTTTGAAATGTTTATTTTTATTTTTTAATTTTATTTTTCCATAAGTTATTGGGGTACAGGTAGTATTTGGTTACATGAGTAAGTTCTTTAGTGGTGATTTGTGAGATTTTGGTGCACCCGTCACCTGAGCAGTATACACCACACCATATTTGTAGACTTTTATCTCTCACCCGCCTCCCACTCTTACCCCAAGTCCCCAAAGTCCATTGTATCTTTCTTTTTCCTTTGTGTCCTCATAGCTTAGCTCCCACATATCAGTGAGAACATACACTGTTTGGTTTTCCATTCCTGAGTTACTTCACTTAGAATAATAGTTTCCAGTCTTATCCAGGTCACTGCAAATGCTGATAATTTATTTCTTTTAATGGCTGAGTAGTATTCCATCATATATATATATATATATATATACCACAGTTTCTTTATCCACTCGTTGATTGATGGGCATTTGGGTAGGTTCCATGATTTTGCAATTGTGAATTGTGCTGCTATAAACATGCATGTGCAAGTATCTTTTTGAAGTACCTTTAACAGTGGAATATAGTAAGCATTATTTAAGTATTTGTTAAATTATTAAGTATTTTTAATTTTAAAGAAGGGTGGGTGGGGGATTGATGTAGTTTATATTTTTAAAAGATCGTTTTTGGCCAGGTGTGGTGGCTCATGCCTGTAATCCCAGCACTTTGTGAGGCTGAGGCAGGTGGATCACTTGAAGTCAGGAGTTTGAGACCAGTCTGGCCAACGTGGTGAAACCCTGTCTCTACTAAAAATACAAAAAATATAGGCCGGGCACAGTGGCTTACGCCTGTAATCCCACCACTTTGGGAGGCCCAGGCAGGTGGATCACCTGAGGTTGGTTCGAGACCAGCCTGACCAACATGGAGAAACCCCGTCTCTACTAAAAGTACAAAAGTTAGCCGGGTGTGGTGGCGTGCACCTGTAATCCCAGCTACTTGGGAGGGTGAGGCAGGAGAATCGCTTGAACCTGGGAGGCGGAGGTTGCGGTGAGCCGAGATCATGCCATTGCACTCTAGCCTGAGTGACAGAGCGAGACTCCATCTCGAAAGAAAAAAAAATTAGCTGGGTGTGGTGGCACACACCTGTAATCCCAGCTACTCAGCTGGTGAATCACTTGAATCTGGGAGGCAGAGTTTATGGTGAGCCGAGATGGCGCCACTGCACATGGACTCCAGCCTGGGTGGCAGAGTGAGACTCCATCTCAAAAAAGAAAAAAAAAAGATCATTTTTGCTGCAGCTTGGAGAAGAGTTTCAGGTGTCTAATGATACTGGCTCATATTTATTGAATACCTAATAGGCCCTACAGCATTACAAAAACTGGTGTAGAGTACATTATTTCTTTAAGATATTTGAAAATAACTTAGAAATTATTTTCTATGCTTTTAACCTTATAGCATTATTCCTGTATATATTACAGCAAGACTATATTAAAGATGTGTTTTTTTTATCTTATGGTAAATAATGTGGTTAATGAATTGTTAATTATCTTCATAGCCTCCACATGCTGGGAAGTTGCTGTCTGTGTTAAAGCATATGCCTCAGAAGTATGGTCCTGATGCCTTTTTTAACTTTCCAGGAAAGAGTGCTGCAGTAAGTAAATATTAATGAGGAAATCACTCCCAGTTCTTCTTTCCTTTGCTCCCTGAAAGTACAGCCCTGTGAACACCCCTGACAGGTTCTGTGCTAGGTAGAAACTTCTGCTCAACATACTTTAATCCTTATGATAGTCGTGCATGTTACTTTTTTGTAATTGCTTTAGAGGTGAAGAAATAGAGGCTTAAATTAGTTGAGAAAATGCCCAGTCACAGCTTGGGTCAGCAATGGAATAAGAACCTCATTCTTTTAAACATAGCCATGTTGTCTTAAGTAGCTATTTGTGTGTAACACCTTCATGTCTATCTTTGTGAACATCTTTCTCTTGCCTTTCATTACTCTACCTGTCTTTTTTTTTGTACCTTGTGTATAGAATGATAGTGAAGAAATAGAGGCTCTGAAACTTACTACGCAAGTTTTCCTTGACTTGTGAGTTTCCAAATTATGTTGGTCTCAGTGTTCCTGTAAGCCGTTAATCAGTTTATACATAAGACAATTATGTATAATAGTGATATCTGTAATGTTTCGTAATGTTATAGAAGCACATTCTATAATGTATATATGTTATTTATGGAAGTTTCTAAAATCTCCTCATTATTACATTGGTCAGTCTGTTACAAGCAAAACAAACTTTTTTTTTATTTTGAGATGGAGTTTTGCTCTTGTTGCCCAGGCTGGAGTGCAGTGGTGCGATCTCGGCTCACTGCAACCTCTGCCTCCTGGTTTCAAGCGATTCTTCTGCCTCAGCCTCCTGAGTAGCTGCGATTACAAGTGCCCACGACCACGCCTGACTAATTTTTGTATTTTTAGTAGAGACGGGGTTTTGCCATGTTGGCCAGGCTTGTCTCGAATTCCTGACCTCAGGTGATCCACCCACCTCAGCCTCCCGAAGTGCTGGGATTACAGGCATGAGTCACCACGCCCGGCCCAAGACAAACTTTTAAAAAAGATATTTCAGTCTATTCTTTTCCTGAGCTTATCTTTCATTCTTTTTTTTATGTTAGTTCTCATAAAATCTTATATTAGGCCCTGTGTAGCCTGGCAGTATCTGCAGAAAGATAAGAATATGTTTTAATATGACATTTGTGATATTTAAATGTTATATACACAATATACAACTTTCTTTGAAAAGTTTTATTGCCCAATTTTTTCCTTTACAGTTTTTCCTTACAGTCGATTTTAGATTTGTAGCTTTTCAGAATAATTTTACTTTCTTATCATAGCCTATCATTGCCTCTAACATTAAAAAAAGTGTTCTTATGAGATTAACCTTTTTCATGCCTCATGTTATAATTTTATTATTTACAGTTCTGAGATTGCAGTGCATGCATTTATCTTGAAAGTAGGGCAGGTGAGCTGAACAGCTTTTGAAACTTGAAGAGAATAGATGTTTTAAATATGTTTAGTGACTTCCTTTCCTTAAACATAGCTTTTACTGGGAATTTAAAGTAGTCATGAATAAAGTATTTTTGCAAAGCTTTTACATCTTTGCTATCGTTTTTGGTGAGAGAGAACATGTGTACGCACTGAATATATGTTTTTCTCCTAAAATTTTTTTTTGTCAGTCTGTGAGTTGTAATTATTCTTTTCCTTTTTTCTTAATGCAACGTTCATTTTTGCATTAATGCAACGTTTAATGCAACGTTCACTCTTGAAGTCTCAATAGTGTTATTACTGAAGTTTGGCTCTATGATGTCTTTCATGTTTTATGTCTTATCTAATACATATAAAAGAATATATGTATAATATGTATACATAAATGCATATGTAAGTTACAATAAAACAGACACTTGTGCAGTTTGAATTTTTTACAAAACAGCTTTATTGAGATATAATCCACATACCACACAATTAACTCATTTAAAGTATATAGTATAGTAGGTAAATGTGTTCACAGAGTTGTCAACCATCACCACAGTCAATTTTGGGACATTCTCATCACACCCAAAAGAAACCCCATACTGATTAGCAGCCACTCCCCATATTCCCCAGCCCTATTCTGGACCATTCATATTAGTGGAATCATACAACATCTGGTCTTTTGTGACTGGCTTTTTTCACTTATCATAATGTTTTCAAGGTCCATCCATGGTACAGCATGTATCAGTACTTCATTCCTTTTTATGGCTGGTATTATATTGTATGGATATACCATACTTTATTTAATCATTTGTCAACTAGTGAATATTTGGGATTTTCACTTCTTGGGCTAGTATGAATAATGCTGTTATGGACATTAGTGTACAATTTTATGTGTGGACATATGTTTTAATTTGTCCCAATCTCTAGATTAGGTCATATGGTCTTTGTTTAACATTTTGATGAACTTCCAGACTGTTTTCCAAAGTAGCTGTAACATTTTACGATCCCACAGCAATGTATAAGGGTCAAATTTCTCTACATCCTTGCTAAGATGGTTAATGTCTATTTTTGTTTGTTTGTTTTTGAGATGAAGTCTTGCTCTGTCACCCAGGCTGGAATGCAGTGGTGTGATCTTGGCTCCCTGCAACCTCTGCCTCCCGGTTCAAGCGATTCTTGTGTCTCAGCTTCCTGAGTAGCTGGGATTACAGATGTGTACCACCATGCCCAGCTAACTTTTGTATTTTTTAGTAGAGACAGGGTTTCACCATGTTGGCCAGGCTGGTCTTCAACTCCTGACCTGAAGTGATCCACCTGCCTCAGCCTCCCAAAGTGCTGGGATTATAGGCGTGAGCCACCGTGCCCGGCCAGTATCTGTCTTTGTGATTGTATTAGTAGCTATCCTAGTTGGTATGAAGTGATATCTCATTGTAGTTTTGATTTGCATTTCCTTTATGACTAATGATATTGAGCATCTTTTTATATTTTTATTGGCTATTTGTATATCTTCTTTGGAGATATGTATATTTAGATCTTTTGCCCATTTTAAAATTTTACTTGTCCTTTTATTATTGAGTTATAAGAGTACTTTATATATTTTGGTTACAAGTCCTTTATCAGGTATTCAGTTTGCAGATGTTTACTTCCATTCTTGTGGCTTGTCTTTTCACTTTTTTGATGGTGTTCCTTAAAGCACAGGTTTTAATTTTAATAAAGTCCAATGTATATATTTTTTTCTTTTGTCACTTGTCCTTTTGGTGACATAATAAGAAGGATTTGCCTAACCAAAGGACACCAGGGCCTTATGCTAATACCACAGTCTTCATCACTGTTGCTTTATATTAATGGTAGGTTTTGAAATGGTAGTATGAGTCTTCTAACTTTGTTCTTCTTCATTTTTTTTTTTGAGACAGATTTTTGTTCTTGTCACCCTGGCTGGAGTGCAATGGCATGATCTCGGCTCACTGCAACCTCTGCCTCCTGGGTTCAAGCAATTCTCCTGCCTCACCCTCCTGAGTAGCTGGGATTACAGGCACCCACCACCACGCATGGCTAATTTTTGTATTTTTTTAGTAGAGGCAGGGTTTCACCATGTTGGCCAGGCTGGTCTCGAACTCCTGACCGCAGATGATCTGCCTGCCTTGGCCTCCCAAAGTGCTGGGATTACAGGTGTGAGCCACCGTATCTGGCCTGTTCTTTTTAAAAGATTGTTTTGGCTATACAAGATCCTTTTATTATGTAGTATGATCTTTTAAATAAAAATCTAAACCAAGCGGTAAAGCCATTTGTATATTGACTTCTGAATATAATTTAAAAATATTATGAACTAATCCTCTTCAGTTTTATATTTGTAGTTTTATAAAAGCAGCATATACCCAGTTTTTCTCTTCTCTCTTTCCATTCCTGTCCATCTTTCTCTATTCTAATACCTTAAAATTTCATCAAATTTCCAATTTGTTATCACTTCCTATCTCTTTTAATTAGAATCTCTGTGGATACGTTCATTTTAAGAAATGAAGAATACAAGATTCATGTGTCCAGGTTACACTGAATTTTTTTTTCATTTAATTAACATTACTATGTATTAGGGAAAATTAAAAAGTTACTAAAAGTCTTCTTCCTGATAAAGAGTCTTCTTCCAGATAAAGAGTCTTCTTTCAGATATATATATATTTTTTTTTTTGAGATGGAGTCTTGCTCTTTCGCCCAGGCTGTAGTGCAGTGGTGTGGTCTCGGCTCACTGCAAACTCTGCCTCCTGGGTTCACGCCGTTCTCCTGTCTCAGCCTCCCGAGTAGCTGGGACTACAGGCACCCACCACCGTACCCGGCTAATTTTTTGTATTTTTAGTAGAGACGGGGTTTCACCGTGTTAGCCAGGATGGTCTCAATCTCCTGACCTTGTGATGCACCTGCCTCGGCCTCCCAAAGTGCTGGGATTACAGGCGTGAGCCACCGCGCCCGGCCTCAGATATTTTAATTGTGACATAAAGTAATGTGATGTAGTACAAATATATGTAGCATTGCAAAGTCTTATTTTCATGATTTTAATAAGACAGGTTTTCACGTGAGTTAATAACTCAAAGTTTCTTTCCTTTAGGCTATTGCATTACCTCCTATAGCCAAATGGCCATACCAGAATGGTTTTACATTTCATACATGGCTTAGAATGGATCCTGTAAATAACATCAATGTAGATAAGGATAAACCATATTTGTATTGGTATGTATTTCTGTAACTGATTAGTGTTAAAACCTTACTTTGAAACTGAGAAGAATATTTAGAGGTAAAATGAAAACTATTCTTTATAGTTTCAGAACCAGCAAAGGTCTTGGCTATTCTGCTCATTTTGTTGGAGGCTGTTTGATTGTAACATCAATAAAGTCAAAAGGAAAAGGCTTTCAACACTGTGTGAAATTTGATTTCAAGCCACAAAAGGTACATGATCTTCTTGAGTCATAGTTATGTTAACAAGCTATGCTAGTCATCAAAATGCTTTGTTTTAATGTTATTCATATAATAACATGCTAAAGCACAACTTCGTTTTTACTGTTTAAAAAGATGAAGCGTAAATCACTGAATAATTGACCTCTCTGATTTGGATATGAAAAAGATTGCAAATTTAGTTATTTATGGAGATTAAGGGAGATACAAGTAGGAAATATCTACGGCATTTATTTTAGTATTGCAAATTTAATATGTGTTTGCTTTTGTACCTTAAAATTTAGAGGTTAATAAATGGTTCATCAACAAAATGTATAAGTAGATAGGTAGTCAGATAGATTAAGCAAATATGGCAAAAAATTGACAATTATGGAATCTAGTTGGTGGAAAAAGGGGGTGTTTGTACTTGATTTTCAGATTTTTGGGGTATGTTTGAAAATTTCCATAATAAAAAGCTGGAAAAATGATCTAGTGATTAAGTTCTTATCAGTTGAAAGGCCCATGAATAGATATTGTTCCAGAAAGTAAATATTGAATTTAACAAAGGTAGTCTTGTTTTATTTTTAGGTTGAATTACAACTTATCATTTAACTTTTACTCATCAGTATGGTTGCGTTATTGGGATAATTGTTATCTTTGTATTTTTAACTGTTTTTTGCTTCTGCAGTGGTATATGGTTACCATAGTACACATCTATAACCGATGGAAGAATAGTGAACTTCGATGTTATGTGAATGGTGAGCTGGCTTCCTATGGAGAGATAACATGGTTTGTCAACACTAGCGATGTAAGTAGTTTCAAAATGTTGCAATGAAAAAAGTGATTTTAAAAGCATGAGCTTTTTAAACAAGAAAAAGTTTTACAACTTGAATATAAAATTCAAAGTATTACAATGGTAGATTTTTATAAACATAATTTGGCTAGCATGTTAATAGAACTTAATATGTCACTGAAATATTAGTCCTTGTTATAAAATCATTCCATATAGGTAGAAATAAGGATTTATAGCTAACAGTGGCTATATCTGGGGAGTGGGTCATTGGTTCATTTATCAAAATGAACAAGAGCTCCACTATAGGGTTCTGATCATTTTTCTGAATGAGTTAAATGATGCATGCTTATAAATCTTGCATATAATTCTAACTGCTATAGTTAACTAGTATGTTGTTAACGTTTACAGGTTTCAAAAATAAATCTATAGGTTAGAATGAAATTTAAAATGTTTTTCCTGTAATTATGTTCTTTTTATAAAAACTTGAAAAATACCAGGAAAATGAACATAAAGTACACTACCCACACACCATTAACTCCTCTTTTCATATCCTTTGCTACACATATATACATATTTTGTAATGCTAACCTCAAGAGATCAGGGTCTTGAATCAGACAGACTTAGGTTTGAATCTCAGCTCTGTCATTTATTGACTGCATGACCTTACCTAATCTATTAGGCCTTAGCATTTTTCCTCCTGAAAATGGACATAAAATATTCATACCTCAGAAAGTTGTCATCTGATTAAATGAGATAATATCCATAAATCTATTAGCAGCGCGCCTTATACAGAATGAGTGCTCAATGTTAGCTCTTTTTTAGTACAAAAAAGGGCTCATATGTAAGTATTGTTTTGTAACCTGTTTTTTCTTACATTAACTTTTACTGAGTGCTTTTTGTATTCCAGGCATTGTAATAAATAGCTTTATTTTCAAAAAGCTCCAGCAACCTTGCAAGATAAGCATTATTATAATCTTCATTTTACAGATAGGTGAAGTACAAAGAGGTTAAGTAACTTGCCATACTCAGTGGCATAGGATGCAGGGATTTGATCTAGGTTGTTTGGCTTGAGAACACATGTGTTTCAAACTTTTCTATATCCCCTAATGTCATTACATACACATTTTTCAACATTCTTTCTAATGGTTTTATGGTATAAATTATGTTAGTCTATTTAGATACAGTTTAGAATGGACAAAACATTTATGATAATATAGGTTTTTATTATTTCTGGAGTTTTTTTTTGTTTTTTCCTAATTCCTTTTTTTTTTTCTTTTACAGACCTTTGACAAATGTTTCCTGGGCTCATCAGAAACAGCAGATGCTAATAGAGTATTCTGTGGTCAGATGACTGCAGTTTACCTTTTCAGTGAAGCTCTAAATGCAGCTCAGATATTTGCTATTTATCAGTTGGGCCTGGGATACAAGGTAGTTTGCTTACTGTTTTGTGCTTAACCAATGTTAGTTCAGCTTGATTTGAAGGTGGGTTATACATGGAGAGTTTGGTTAATGGATACAAAAAAAAAAAAGAAAAATGAGACCTACTATTTGATACCACAGCAGGGTGACTATAGTCAATAATAACTGTACATTTTGAAATAGTGTAATTGGATGGTTTTCAACTAAATTGGTAAATGCTTGAAGGGATGGATATCTGTTCTCCATGATGTGCTTATTTCACGTTGCATGACTGTATTAAAACATTTTATGGGCCCCATAAATATATACACCTAAAATGTACCCACAAATAAAGAGATGTGTGCAAATGGTAACCAGAGAAGAGTAGGAGTAGCTTACTTAAATTAGACAAAATAGACTTTAAGTCAAAAACTGTCAAAAGAGACAAAGAAGGACATTTTATGATGATAGGGTCAGTTCACCAGAAAGATAGAACAAATATATGTACTTAACATCAGAGCTCTCAAATATATGAAGCAAACTTTGATAGAATTAAAAGAAGTAGATAGCAACACCATTATAGTAGGACACTTCAGTATTCAGCTTTCAATAATGAATAGAACAACCAGACAGAAGATCAATAAGTAAACAGAAGACTTGAACAGCAATGCAGCCCAATGTATTTAGCAGTAGTATACATAACACTCGATGAAACAACAGTAGAATGTGCATTGTTCTTCTTCTTCTTCTTTTTTTTGAGGTGGAGTTTTGCTCTTGTTGCCCAGGCTGGAGTGCAATGGCATGATCTTGGCTCATTGCAACCTCCACCTCCTGGGTTCAAGCAATTCTCCTGCCTCAGCCTCCCAAGTACCTGGGATTACAGGCATGTGGCACTGCACCCAGCTAATTTTGTAATTTTAATAGAGATGGGGTTTTGCCATTTTGGTCAGGCTGGTCTCAAACTCCTGACCTCAGGTGATCCGCCCGCCTCGGCTTCCCAAAGTGCTGGGATTACAGGCGTGAGCCACTGCACCTGACCTGCATTTTTCTTAAGCACACACAGAACATTCTCCAGGATAGACATGTGTTATGCCACAAAACAAGTGTCAACAAAGTTAAGATTGAAATTATACCAAGTATCTTTTTTGACCACAATAAAATGAAACTAGAAACCAGTTGCCAAAGAAAAACTGGAAAGTCCACCAAGTTTTTAATGTAGAAAATGTTTAATGTAGAAATTAAACAACACACTTAAAACAGCCTTTGGGTCAAAGATAAATCACAAGGAAAATTAGAAAATATCTTGAGAGAAATCAAAATGTAAGCACAACCTACCAAAACTTACGAGATTCAGTGACCTCAGTCTAAGAGAGAAGATTATGGTGATAATGACTGATCATTATCACCAAAAGAAAGATCTCAGATCAGCAACCTAATTTATACAACATGGAACTGGAAAAAGAACAACAAATAAAGTTAACGTTAGCAGATAGAAGGAAATGATAAAAATCCGAGCAGAAATAAATGAAATAGAGCAGCAGTCCCCAACCTTTTTGGTCCCAGGGACCAGTTTCATGGAAGACAGTTTTTCCATGGACCACGGGTGGTGGGGGCGCAGCAGGGATGGTTTCGGGATGATTCAAGTGCATTACATTTATTGTGCACTTTATTTCTGTTATTATTACATTGTAATATATAATGAAATAATTATACGACTCACCATAATGTAGAATCAGTGGGAAACAAAGCAGAGCTTGTTTTCTGCAACTAGACGGTTCCATCCGGGGGTGATGGGAGACAGTGACAGATTATCAGGTATTATATTCTCATAAGGAGCACACAATCTAGATCCCTTGCATGTGCAGTTCACAATAGGGTTCACCCTTCTATAAAAATCTGATCTGACAGGAGGTGGAGCTCAGGCAGTAATGTGAGTGGTAGGGAGTGGCTGTAAATACAGATGAAGCTTTGCTTGCTTGCCCACCGCTCACTTCTTGCTGTTGTTCCTAACAGGTCATATACCTGGTTAGGGACCCCTGGAATAGAAAATAGAAAAGCAGTGAGAAAAAAATCAGTGAAACTAACAGTTTTTTTTTTAATTAAACATCAGCAAAATTGACAAATTCTTACATAGGCTAAGGAAAAAAGAAGAGCACATAAATAAGTAAAATCAGAAATTAAGGAGGAGGCATTATAACTTGCCACAGAAATAGAAAGAATTATAAGAGAATGCTATGAAAAGTATATGCCAACAAATCGGATAATTTAGAAGAAATGGACAATTTTCTAGAAATATACATCCTACTGAGACTGAATCAAAAATAAATTTAAAAAATCCGAAAAGACCTATAGCTAGTAAGGAGATTGAATCAATAATAAAAAACTTTTCAACAAAGAAAGCCAGGGACTAGATGGCTTCACTGGAGAATGCTCTCAGTCATCTAAAGAAGAATTAATGCCAATTCTCCTCAAATTTACAAAAATTTTAAGAGTAGGGAACATTTTCAAACTGATTTTATGAGGCCAGTGTTACCCTGATACCAAAGCCAGATCAAGATAGTACAAGAAAGAAAACTATAGACTAATATCCCTGATGAATATTGATGGAAAAATCTTCAATAAAATACTAAGAAATTGAATTTAACAGCACATTAAAAGAATTATACACAATGTCAAATTACGATTTATTTCTGGAATGCAAAGATGGTTCAACATGGAAATCAGTCAATGCAATGTACCACACTAACAGTGAATTACAAAATCCATATGATCATATATCAACTGATACAGAAAAGGATTTGACAAAATTCAACACTCTTTCTTGATTTAAAAAAAACCTAAAACACTCAACAATCTATGAATAGAAGGAAACTACCTCAACATAATAAAATATTGTATATGAAAAGCCCATGACTGACACAATACTGAACAGTGAAAAACTGACAGTTTTTCCTCTAAAATCAGGAACAAAGCAAGGATGCTTATTCTTTCCATTTCTATTCAACATAGTATTTGGAAATCCAGTTAGAGCAATTTGGCAAGAAAAAGAAAAGGCATCTAAATTGGAAGGGAAGAGGTAAAATCATCTGTTGGCGTATGGCATGACCTTATATCTAAAAATCCTTAAAGATTTCACTGAAAACTGTTAGGACTAGTAAATGAATTCTGCAGAGTTCCAAGGCACAAAATCAATACACACAAATCAATTGTGTTTCTATTAGTAATAATGAAGTAGTAATGAACAGTTTGAAAATTACGCAAACAATTTCTTTTACAATAGCATCAACAAGGATAAAATACTTAGAAATAAACTCAACCAAGGTGGCAAAAGAGCTGTACCCTGACTCCACCAAGGAGGCAAAAGAGTTGTACATTGAAAAGTACAAAATGTTGCTGACAAAATTTAAGAGACCGAAACAAATGTAAAGACATCCCTTGGAAGATTTAATATGCTAAAAATCCATACTACCTAAAGCAATCTACAGATTCAGTACAGTTCTTATCAAAATCCCAATGGCATTTTTTGCATAAATAGAAGCACAATTCTAAAATTAATGTGGAATCTCAAGGGATTCTCAGAAGCCAAAACAGTATTTAAAAAGGGGAACAAAGTTGCAGGCTTTACACTTCAGGGTTTCAAAATTTATTACAAGGCTATGATACATAATGAAAACAACGTTAGACTTGCTTAGACACATAGGCCAAGGGAACACAATAGAGTGTCCGGAAATAAACTTTTGCATATACGGTCAAATGATCTTTGACAAGTGAGGCAAGGCCACATACTGGGGAAAGGACAATGTGTTCAACACATGATGTTGGGAAAACTGGATATCCAGATGCGAAAAATAAGAAAGAAAAGTTTTATACTTAATTCATATTGTACATTGTATATAAAAATGAGCTGAAAATGGATTAAAGACCTAAAAGTAAGATGTAAAACTATAAAACTCCTAAAAGAATACACAAGGGAAAAGCTTTACGACATTGAATTTGGCAGTGATTTCTTGACTGTGATACCGAAAGTACAGGCAACCAAAGCCAAAACAGACAAATAAGATGTTGTCAAAGTTATAAAGTTCTGCGCATCAGAGGAAATATCCAGCAGAGTGGAAAGGTAACCTACAGAGTGAGAGAAAATATTTAGCAATCATATATCTGATAAGGAGTTAATATCCAGAATATATGAATCCTGTAACTCAACAACAACAACAATAACAAAACAATTAAAAATGCATAAAAGAGTTGAGTAGACATTTCTTTAAAGAAGATATAAAAATAGCCAATGAACATATGAAAAGATGCTCAATATCACTAGACATTAGAAAAATGCTAATTTAAACTACAGCGAGCTATTGCCTCATCATTTAGGATGACTACTTAAAAAAGAAAACAAAATAACAAGTGTTGGTGAGAATGTGGAGAAATTGGTACCTTTGTGCACTGTTGAGGGGAATGAAAAATGGTGCAGCTGCTATGGACAACAATATGAGGTTCCTCAAAAAATTAAAAATAGAACTTCCATGTGATCCAGTAATCTCACTTATGGGATATATACAAAATAATTGAAAAGAGGATCACAGAGACGTATTTGCACACAAAAAATAGGGTCACAAGGAGATATTTGCCCATCCATGTTCATAGTAATATTCTCGATAACCCAGAGATAGAAGTAACCCACATGTCCAGTAGCAGATGAATGGATAAAGAAAATGTGACAGACAACACACATAAACACACGGGACCATATTCAACCTTAAAAAACAAGGAAATCCTGTCATCAGCTAAAACATGGAGGAACTGTGAAGACATTGTGCTAAATGAAATGCTTGGGTCACAAAAAGACAAATACTGTATGATTCCACTTATACGAGGTATCTAAGAGTCCAACTCATAGAAACAGAAAGTAGAATTGTGATAGTCGGGCTGGTGGGGAGCAGGAAATGGGGAGTTGTTAAATGGCTACAGAGTTTCAGTTTTGCAAGATATAAAAGTTCTAGAGATTTGCTGTTGAACAATATGAATACAGTTAATGTTTCTCAATTATACACTTAAAAATACTTAAGATGGTAAGTTGTATATTATATGCTTTTGATCACAATTTTAAAAAAAGAATATACGAAAAAAGATAAAATATGATCTATTGGTCACTTCTACATTTTTAAGGTAAGGTTTTAATGTCAAGTTGACTTGATTTCCATTATATCTTTAAATTCAGCCAATTTTAGAAGTAAACGAGGGGTCCTCTTATATAATACTGTTAAAAGATTATCAATGGTCTGTCTCCTTAAAGTTTTACACCTGTGTTGATTTGTACTTAGATTCTCTTTGTGGCATACTATTTAACTGTTTTTAATTAATTCTTAGGGTACATTTAAATTCAAAGCAGAAAGCGACCTTTTCCTTGCTGAGCATCACAAACTTTTATTGTACGATGGGAAACTCTCTAGTGCCATTGCATTCACGTACAATCCACGGGCTACAGATGCCCAGCTTTGTCTTGAATCATCTCCTAAGGACAACCCTTCAATTTTTGTTCATTCACCACATGCACTCATGCTCCAGGTACTAACTGTGATCTTTTAAGAACATTTATAATGGTAATTTTTGATGTGTTATTGAGATGTATTTGGTAGCTTCTGTTAAACACATGGAATGTCACGTTTATAGTGTTTCTGCATTTATTGTTGTGCCTTATTTTTAATTGTTTTGGAAAAAAAATCATTGAACTCTTTACTGTGTTTTTGATCTTACAAGGATGTAAAGGCAGTTTTAACACATTCCATCCAAAGTGCAATGCATTCAATTGGAGGAGTACAAGTACTATTTCCACTTTTTGCACAGTTGGATTACAGGCAATATTTGTCTGATGAGATTGATTTGACTATATGGTGAGTGCCTTTATTTGTTTCTTTAATTGGCTGTGAGGGTTAATTTCATCACTGTTGAGCTATACAATATTTTGCCTTTCAGGTTTTGTTGTGTCAAAATAATTTAAACTTGTGAACTATAAACTGTATTACAAGTCCATATTAATTATGTCAGTATTAACTTAAGTTCTTGTTTATCAGTAGGAAATATGGAAGCTGTAAGAAACACAATAAATTGGTTTTAGAATAACATTATAAATGGCAATAATGGGTTACTCAAAAATAAATACATTTTTTTGTCTAAATTAAAAATTTTTTTTACTACCCATTACTCAGAATGCAATAAGAAATTTTTAATTTCTGAAATATTTAAAATTATTTGGTAATGATTTATTATGGAACTTAACTTTTCATATTTTAATTATTTATTACTGATTGCATTTATGTAATTGGAAGTCAAAATTTTAATAGTGTTATCGAAGTGAATTAGTCTTTTTGAAAAAAATTAGATTGTACATTTAGCACATTTTTGTCTCTTGTGTTGTAGTCCTGAGTCTAAAAAAGAAAGGGATATAAGTTATAGGGTAAGTCATAAAATGTAGGAAAGGAGTCTCAATTTCTCATGGCTATATATTCTAGTGAAACAATGTATAGTGAAATTATTGTTTCATTTGTATTGAAATTATTGTTTCATTTGTTACTTGAGAAATTTAAATACTTTTACATTCTCTCATTTTGAAATTCTCCCTTTGATTTTTGCTTTTATACATAACTTGATGTCTGCCACCAGTGTGTATAATAATGGTAATTGTCCTCATTATTTTCAGGCAACAATTTTTTTAAAAATAAAAAGTTATCAAATCTAGTATTTGTCAACTTATATTTTAAAAAATATAAAATTAAATTACCCTGACATATTAATACTTTATGGAATTGTTTTGTGCTGTGTTCTAACAGGGTTTACTTACAGTTTTCCTCCCTCCCTCCCTTCCTTCCCTCCCCCTTCCCCTTCCTCCCCTCTCTGCCCCCTCCCTCCCTTCCCCCTCTCCCCCACTTCTCTCCTCCCTCCCTCCCCTCTCCCCCCCTTCTCTCTTCCCTCCCTCCCCTCTCCCTCTCCCTCCCCCCTCCCCCCGTATTGAAATTGCTGGCAGTGAAAGCACTGATGTGGAGGAGGAGATTGGCTGCTGGTCATGCTTTCTCTCTCTCTCTCTTTTTTTTTGTTTTGTGGGACTTCTCTCTGAGAAGGCAGTAACAACTGATCTTTTTCCTTTCCTTTCCGGGGATCTTTAAAAATTGTAGGTAGTAGAGCATGGCTGTAGCCCCTATTCAGTTTTAAAAGTGTTCGAGACTGACTGGAGAATTACAATTTTGTTGTTGGGATAATGAACAAACTTCTTAAATTAGTGTTCAAGGAGCTCAAGTTTGCCTCCAAGTTAACTGTCTCATCTTTCTCTTCATGTGCCCTCTGCTCCATTCAGACTATGCAAGTCTGGAGCCCTAACACATTTTGAGGATTTACACCTTACTCTGTTTGCTCCACTGTCTTTTCTCACCTTTTGGCCCCTAACGCTTCAAAGTTGAATATACTTGCTTATCTAAGTTATATCTGTTCTTTAAGGCCTTAGTGTATTTTTAATAAGTATTTGTTATTGGTTGTTTTTGGAAGTTGCTCATTTTTCTCTATATCATGAACATTTGTCATTGTTTCTAAGTAATTCACCTATCAATGTGTTTGAGATAAAGTATATGAAATAAATATCTGAGTAACTCCTAATCCTACATTAAAAATCTAGTTCTGATGTAATGTTGGAAGCAGTTTTAGTGGAGCTTCAATTTCTTTGAAATGGAGAACTTTTTATTAAGGTGAATGGAAGGGTTACATCTATCTAACCTAATTTAAAAAAAATAGAATATGTTTTTTTAATCATCGCCTTTTTAAAAAATTCTAGTTCAACCTTGCTGGCCTTTATCATGGAATTGTTGAAGAACTCAATTGCTATGCAGGAACAGATGCTTGCCTGTAAGGGCTTCTTGGTAATAGGATATAGCCTTGAAAAGGTAAAGTATGAAATATTTTATGTTTTTGATTCTTAATTTACAGGCCATACATTTGTTCTCTAAGTGGCTAAGGAATTCTGTCTGCAAGAATGTCTCCTTGGTTACAGAAAATTACCTAAACTAAAATAACATTTTGTTGTTTTACCTTGCCTCCATTCCTCTATCAAACAAATGTGATAGTGAGCTTCATGGCATCTTTAACTTTGAGCATAATTTGTGGGCCAGTTTTTTTCCTGGTAGGGACAGCCTGTAATTCACTTACTTTGACTTGAATTTGTGGTAACATTTGAACTACTTTTTTTGCAGTCTTCCAAATCTCATGTTAGCAGAGCAGTACTTGAACTTTGCCTTGCATTTTCAAAATATCTGAGTAATCTGCAGAATGGGATGCCCCTGCTCAAGCAATTGTGTGATCACGTTCTTCTTAATCCTGCCATATGGATTCATACCCCAGCCAAGGTAATATATATCTATATATTGATATTGTTTTACTATCTTTGCTGTTTTTGTGCGTGAGGAGAGTGATAATTAAGAGGATTTTCTTTTTTTTATGTACTATTATGCAAGACTTCAGTGGATTGCTTTTTTTGACTAAGCATCCTTTTTTACTCTTCAGGAAAAATTGCAAATTGTGTGTGTGTGTGTATGAATATATACAAATAATATATACATACATACAAAGAATATATTCTTTGTAAACAATATCATTATTTTAAAAGATACAGGTATAGTCTTTGTTTTCTGAAATTAAATGAAATAAAGTTTTATTTGGGAGAGACTTCATTTACTAAATATAAATCAAAGTTAGACAGTTTTAATGTAATTATTAATGTTTCCTAGTAACTGTAGCTTTGTTCCATTGTAAATATCCATATATATTTTTTCTTTTTTTTTTATTTCTTAAGAACTCACCCTGCTCCTGCTCTCTCTCTTTTTTACTTCACACTTTTGCCTTCCAACATGATGAACTACTGAGTTTCATTCTTATAGGTACCACTGAAATGTCACTTTTTCTTTGAAGGCATGATATACTAGTCTCGTAATCATTTTAATTTCACGTTAATTCAAATTATGAAAACATTTGTACAAATTTTTTTTTTCAGTTTTGTAACAACAAACCAATTAGTTCTATGTGAATGTAAATGAATTTGTGGTAAGGTATATGAACAAAATCTTTAATAAATCCTAGTGTTGTAATACATTGTCCTAAAAATTCAGTAGTGGCAGTATTAAGCATAACTTGAAACAGATCATTTTATTAAATTGCATAATTGTATCCGTCTTATCTACAATTTTTGTTAGAAGTCGTGTTATTTCAAGCCCAGTTTTCCTCTCTCCCCTTCTGCCTTTTGGCCCACTTGCAGTGTTTATCATTGTTTAAGTTGGAATAGCACCTACTTATTCTAGTTGTCAGAAAAAAGTCTGCAGACTTTTTTGCTTTTCTAGAGTCTTAATATTTTATTTTCAGCTGGTCTTTTCAAATGTTAAAGAGAAAAACAGCTGCTGACTCTGATTGCCATTTGGAAATAATCGAAACAGGCAGTTGGAGGTTGTAGCTTTTTATCTCCAGGTCAAATTTGACCTCATTTTCTTCCATGACCCTCAGTCTTACTTCTTTTTGAGGATTGTTTCAAGTTACTTTTAAAATCTTTTACTAGATACTTTTTTGTCTTACTAATCAGCATATTTGTAAGGCTTTGTGTCTCTTTTGATGTGGTCAGAAAGCCTCTTATTAGATACTTAGTTGGAGGGGAATTAAAAAAAATTCATCTTATGATTTTCTTAGTTTCCTAGTATTATTATACTCTATTTCTTATCTTCTACTTTTTAATAACTTTTCTCAATTTCCTTTTTAGAATTTGCAGTTGAGTTGATAATATTAGCATTTTCTCCTGTTTTAGCCATCTGCTTTATGTATCCACAAGGGGTTTTATCTGCTTTTATTTTATTGTAAAGACAGTCATAAAAAAGGGCAGATCCAAATTTTGTTTGACTTGAAGGTCAAATGTTTATCATGTGGGAAATTTTTTAAGAAGAAGAATACAATATAATGCATACAAAATTAGGTTTAGGGTCTTGGAAGAAACATTTATAGATCAGTGGTCATAAAGTTGAAGCTTTATCAGCTTCGTGGTCAATCCACCTCTGGTTAAAAGTTGAAGGTCTGGATGTGTGGATGTGAAAAGCTTTGCTTTTGGAAAAGGGAGCTACCAGCGATTTATAATTTCCATTTATCTTAGATCTGTTCAGAGAACATCTTTTTAATGACCTAGCAGGAGAGATGAATTTTCTTGTCTACCATGGTCCTTCATTTACTCAACAAATATTTGTTGAGTGACTACTTTATGGTGGGCACTGTGGATATGGTGATGAACAAGATAGACTTGATACTTGCCCTCATAGAATTTAGATTTAGTGGGAAAGACAGATGTTAACACACAATTTGTGTGGCTATTGGAGTACATAATGAGTGAATGAGGGAAGGTTTATTCATAATTAGCATATGAGTAATCTTGAGGTCTTTCATTCATCTCTATACGTTGCTACTAAATTCTGTTTACTTATTTTTTTGACGCAGGGTCTCACTGTGTCACTAAGGTGGGATCTCAGCTCACTGTAACTTCTGCCTCCCCAGCTCAGGTGATCCTCCCATCTCAGCCTCCTGAGTAGTTGGGACTGTAGCTGTGTACCACCACACACAGCTAATTTTTGTATTTTTTTGTAGAGATGATGTTTTGCCATGTTGCCCAGGCTGGTCTCGAACTCCTGGGCTCAAGTGATCTACCTGCCTCAGCCCCCCAAGAGTGCTGGGATCACAGGTGTGAGCCATCAGGCCCAGCCTCTGTTCATTTTTCTTTTACCACAGTATCATTCTCAATAGACTGACTTTCTCCAGTTTTCCATTTCTTTGTCTAACTTATAACTATTCTGCCAGAATTCCAACATGTTCTTTTCATGGCCATGGCTCAGTGCGACCTTAAACTCCTGGGCTCAATCAGTCCTCCTGCCTCAGCCTCCTGAGTAGCTGATACTGCAGGTGTGCGCCACCATTCCCAGCTAACTCTTTAAATTTTTTTGTAGAGACTAGGGTCTTGCTTTGTTGTTTAGGCTGGTCTCGAACTTCCGGCCTCAAGCAATCCTCCTCTCTCAGCCCCAGAAAGTGTTGGGATTACAGTCTTGAGCTACCATGCCCAACGCCAATATTTTCCTAACATATGACTCTTATAATTTCTTAGCCCCAGCAGTTTTAATGGTTTCCCATTGTTCTCAGAACGAAGTAGTTAGTCCTTTATCTAAGGATTTCATGTCAATTCTTATTTCTAGATTTTCTAGCTTAAAAATGGAAATATCCTCAGTGGATAGGGAGGTACCAAAAGGTTTCCCTACAGTGGTGGTTCTCAGTCTTGACTGCTGATAGAATCAGTTGGGGTAGGTTTTTAAAAACAAGCAAAAATAGAATCCCACCACTTCCACTGCAGATTCTGATTTCATCAATCTGGTGTTATCCGTGGAGAGTGTCCAGGTTCTTGGTGTCTTGAACAAAGGATTGGACAAAATGCACAAAGCAAGGGAAGAATGAAGGAACAAAAGCAGAAGTTTATTGAAAATGAAAGTACACTCCACACTGTGGGAGCAGGCCTGAGCGTAGGGGCTCAAGAGCCCTGTTACAGAATTTTCTGGGGTTTAAATAACCTTTAGAGGTTTCCATTGGTTGCTTGGTGTATGCCCTATGTAAATGAAGAGGATACAGTAAAGTTACAAAGTCATTTACTCGGTGTATGCCCTATGTAAATGGAGAGGATATTTCCTGTCATAGCTGTAGCATTTCCATTTGATTTAGTTCTAGGAAGTCCTTAGGTTCGCTGCCTCCAGACCCTATTCTCCTGCCTCACTGGGATGGGACTCAGGCATCAGTATTAAAAAAAAAGAAAAGTTTTTCAGTTATTTTAATGTGCAGTCAAGATTGAGAACTGTTGTTCTAACTCTAGGGAAACCTTTATTTCAACCATCATTTTTCTAGCTTGAAATTTCCTCTTGTATTCTGTCTGTCTATTCTACTACTCATCTTCAAAGCCTATCTTAATGCCTACTTTATTAGTGAAGCTTTTCTTTACTATTTCAGTTTATCCTATAATAATTTATCTGTCCTCTGAATTAATAATATTTCATAGCTCTATGTCACTCAATTACATATTGCTTCATGACTTTTTTCATGTTTTGGTAGGCATATTTATTGTCTTTGATTTGTTTTGCTTAAATATAAGTGTTTTTTTAATCTTTTCAACTGTATTTCAGCTACTTAGGGACAGCATATGTGCCACTGTATTTCCATGATACAGTGTTATGCATATAGTTAGATGTAAATATTTGCTAAGAGACTGAAATAACATGGTTAAGAATTTGAGGCATGTCGTATTGTCTCAATGACAAGTGGATTGGGCCTATCAATTTGAACAGCAGTAGCTACATCAAAATAACATTTTGCGGCAGGTCAGTAGATCACAATGTATTGTATGTGTATAGATACATATATGGTTTTGTGAATTATAATGATCTTCCAAGCCCTGCTTTTAAGTGGTTCAGAACCTGCCACTTTTTAGCATGTTAGATTTATTCACTGACACTCTAATTCATTTAGCCTTGATTGTTTATTTGCAGGGCACCTGGAAGATAGGTACCTACTTTTTGCTCTCTAAAGAAATCCCTAGGTGACACTGAGGTACCTTGCAGGTTTGAAAAGGAAAATGCCCTCATTGTCCAGGAAGGTAACATAAAGGTTCAGTTATAAATGATCAGTAGTTTGGTCTATGGTCAAGGGAAGAATATATATCCTATACTTACAGTTGTTCAGCTTATAAAATATACCCTCTAGCAATAAAATGAATTGATTTCAACATGAGAGTAGAGCAAAAGCAGTCGTTATTTTTGCTGCTTTAAGTAATGGATTATAGTTGATGAGTTTCAGACCCATAATTTCACTGAAAAAAAATTTGTTTTTTTTGAGGCAGGGTCTCTGTTGCCCAGGCTGGAGTGCAGTGGTGCTCTCTCGGCTTACTGCACTCTCTACCTCCTGGGTTCAAGCGATTCTCTTGCCTCAGTCTCCTGAGTACCTGGGACTACAGGTGTGTACCATCACGCCCGGCTAATTTTTGTATTTTTTGGTAGAGACGAAGTTTCACGATGTTGGCCAGGCTGGTTTTAAACTCCTGACCTCAAGTGATCTGCCCGCCTCAGCCTCCTAACATGCTGAAATTACAGGCGTGAATCACTGGGGTGGGCCAATTTTTTGTTAAGATGAAATGTGCAGTGGTGGGGTAGCACTTGTATTATTTCTTTCTCTTACATATGAAGAGGAGATATTTCGAAGTTAATATAAACATATATAACTTCTTATGTATTTTTTTAGACTATTTACTTTCAATGAGATTAGTAGAATCCTTTCCTAATTGGGGGACATGATATACATGTTGAGAGATTATAATGTTATGATTAAAATGCTAGATTGGAATGTTTCTTGTAATGAGCTACTGTAATAGAATTCTGTTTTTCTAATATTCTTCAAGGTAAACTCTATATCTTTTTCTGTGGTTTTCTTTCTTTTGGTTTTGTTCTATTTATTTTTTCCTTTTGAGTTACTAGTACTTTTTCTTTTGAGTCATTTTAGCTCCTGATTTTCTGCAAATGTTGTATTTGAAAGAAATTCTAGCTTTTTCAAACAACTATGCATAGATAGCATAAGTAATAAGTCTATTATAAAGAAGTTACACATGCTTAGGAATAATTGCTGATTGCTAAATAGGAATCACAAAGTTATTTTCATGGAATAATGCAGCAAAAAGTTTCCATATTTGATAATGCTGCTATAAAAGAAGAAATTACCTGGTTTGGTTTTATAAGGAGTGTGTGTGCATGTGCTTGTGTGTCAGTGAGTATGTGTTGTCTAATATGGATATTATTATCAGGCTCAGCATCTTACTTTTTGGAAGAAGCGTGGTGAAAATAAAACAGCCTGGAAGTGTTACTGGAAACAGATAAAATGCTGGTGGGGTTCTCTAAGTTCTTCATTTTTATTCTGTAGGTTCAACTGATGCTCTATACTTATCTGTCCACGGAATTCATTGGTACAGTCAACATATATAACACCATTCGGAGAGTTGGAACAGTGCTTCTCATCATGCACACGCTGAAGTACTACTACTGGGCAGTGAATCCTCAGGATCGAAGTGGTATCACCCCAAAAGGATTAGGTATATAATTTCTGTCTGTATATTACTTTACACAAATGCAAATCAGGATTTAATTTTTCTTTTTGTTTTAACCAGTACTATCATATATTTGGGCAGTTTTTCTATATTCCATTATGGCAAAATTTTATTTTAATCTCATTGATAATGTTAATAGTTTGTCCTAAATTGTGGTTTCTAGAGTTTAATAACTTGCTACTTGTGTGGAAGAATACTACTTGTGCTGGTGTGAGTTGTTTGGGGAGCTAATATGACTAGGATGGTTGTTGTAAGACACTGAAAATGCCAAGAAATTCTTAATTAGTTTTTAGTAATTGATGCTGAGATGGATTGTCACAATGAGATTCCTTGAAAATGGTGTTTTGGGAATATGGTGGTTTCTTGCAGAAGTAGGAGTTATCTGCTTCTCTTAAAGAGATAATGAAATTACAAAATGTTAGCAATTATTTTCTTACATAATGAGGACTAACTTGCTGAAAGGGTAATATTCATTCATCATGTCTAGCAGTTCATATAAGGGGTCAAAATAAAACTTTTGACATATAGTGGCTCTTTTGGTTGTAACTATAACAGTCTCCTTGGAACTGGCTTACATCAAAAAGGGAGGTAATCAGCTCATATAAACTGGCAGTTCCAGATACAACTTGATAAAGGTATTCTGAGTATGACCATAGGACTGAATTTGTCTCACTGCACTTGCCAATTCTTCTGTGTTGGCTGTTTTCACATATTCGCTTCCTTTGTAGTAGCAAGCAGCCGGTCCCCTTTCACATCCGTAACAACTTAAATTCAGTGTAAGAGCATCTGCCTATATAATGTATTTCCAGTGAAAGTCTCTTTTAGTCTCTCTGTTGCTCATTGGCTTTGATTGTATCATGTGCCCATTTTTGTGGTTGTAGTTGCCCTGATTGCTTAGAAATGGAGGCATCCCCTAAGTTGAAAGACATTGTCTGAAAGTGAAGATGACTTCAGTCACTTGGTAAAAATTAAGAGCTGTTGCTTGAAATTAAGAAATAGATGCTGGGGAGTCAATAACATACATTCTGATTGCAGTAAGAGGCTTTGGTTGTTTAGTGATTTACAAAGATTTTCAATTTGCATACTACTTTTTATATCACTTTCAAAATAAGCTTGGTTTAGCCTCAGAGAATCTGGTACCTATAATTTAGCAAGCTATGAACTTTTTAAGCTGGCAAGGTTGTGGCAGATCCAGAACCGGGTCAGAATTTTCTCATGACTATTTCATGGTGCTGTAGGTGTATCATGTACTGTCCTAGGTGCTAGTTTTGTATTCTCGCCTGCCTTTTATAACTGATTAGTGACCTTGGGAAAGTCTCATTCTTCAAATGAGAGAGCTGGACAAATTTTGTGATCCTCTTCTAACTCTAGTCTTATTATTTTTTTTTGTCTAGGAATCACATGGAACAAATTTTAAACAATTTTCTTCCTATTTTCATTGATCTGTTCAAAGTCATGGTGGTCCTATGCTTTGGTGGTCTAAGAACTATCTATAAATAGTGATTAGTGGTGGAAAAATTATAAAATATATGAGAAAACAGGTCCCTAACTTAGGATCTTAGAACAATGAGTGTTTGGTTTCAAAAGCTTTCTACTTGGGAATTATATGTTTGAGACATGAAAATTGATTTAATGTGAGCCATGTGTGACCAAGGACTTTTCTAAGCAGAGAAGGAGATGTCAGAGGCAGTTAACATAATATTTCCCTTCTTCATGAATGATATCGTGTAGTGAGGCATTCTTTTTGAGATTTCTGTATTAGCTTATATAATGATAACAGTAGAAAAATTTTGTCATACTGAATTCACATATAATAATAATGTTGAAAGTTTAGATTTTCCTTTGTTTTTTTCTTTGTAAACTTCTGTTACCTTACTAATACTCTCAGAGTCTTAAAATACGTATATTATTATTGAATACAAATTTTATTTGTTACCTCATTTTTATGTTTTGGACATTCTTTGACCTATTCAAAGTACAAACTTCTTCATAGTAGTTTCAACATAACCTGTTTGTATGTTTGAAATATTGTGTATACAGTGCATGTAAGATTAAACACTTGTCTTTCTAGAGGCATAAAAGGTCATTCTGTAGGAGACCTACCTTTATATTTCTTACAAACACATGGAAAAGCTGTTGGGAATGAGAATTTTATACTTTGACAGCTTTGAGGTCCTTTAAATACTAAATGTGTATGTGTATATTTTTTTAAAAGATGGACCGCGACCTAATCAAAAAGAAATGCTTTCTCTACGAGCATTCTTGTTGATGTTCATTAAGCAATTAGTGATGAAGGTGAGTTCACGTTGCTTATTCCATAGCATACCGTGTATTGAAGGTTATAATTTCACATGAAATACAATCTTGGTTTTTTTATTCTTTGCTTGGTTACTGTGGTTACACATTGGAAAATACTTTGAAAGATATTTCCATGTTTGTTTTGGTTCTTTTTTGGAGCCTATATGGATGTAAATTATTGCAGAATTAGGGATTGGTAGTTGTATTTTATGTTATATAAATTTGTATAGTAGCTCAAGTGTGTTCACTCATTCAGCAAATATTTACTATGTTTCTGTTAGTATTTGGCACTAAACTCCTGAAGGAGGTTTCATTTTTAGCAGGCTCCTTGTAACTGACATTCAGATTTTGAGAAATAGTATTTCTGTATAAATGTACCAGGTAGGTGTATGAGCCTTTAGAAGTGGTCACATTTTGTCCCTTTTCATTCTATTACAGGTAAAGTAAAATTTAATATTCTAAAAAAGGCATTTTGGTTTTATAAGATAGCAATATATAAATGTAATTGTTACCAATATTTTTTCAGTATTTTCCTATATGATTTTATAATGCTTTATTAGTTGTCACATAAGATTATGGCAAGTGAACCTAACTTTTAGTATACCTTTCAGATTCAGATACCTTATTTCCATGTATTAAAAAAAGTGTCCTTTGAATTGTCTTTGTTTTGTTGCTCGTTCCTGATGCATACTGTTTTTTGTTTTCCAATTTCTTTTCTTCTTGTGGTGTTTTTTTTTTTTTAGATTGCAGCTTTTTTAGTGATTAATATACTGATAGAGTAGGTTGAAAATTTTCATAACGAGCTCATATTTAGAAGTGCAGTGTGTTTTTCTTTTCCCGAGTGAGATTACTATTTAATTTTTAGGTACTTGACATTTTAACTTGATAATTTCAGAAACTGTTCATTGTATTCTCCACATTTAATTTCAGTCGAAAAGATGTCTTCTGTATTTAGAGGAGTAGTAGGTGTGGATATTACTTTTTAAGTTATCATTACTTATTATTTTTGCTGACTTCAGGATTCTGTAGCTTTAGTAAGTAGGCTGTCATATTATATAAGGTGTTGAAAACAGGAAGCTGATGTTAATTGACCTCTACATGTTCTGGAGTACTGATGTCTTTAGTGCTTCCCCAAATTTTTGTTTTAAATTTAGATTGTCTATTACATTATATTTTTATATTTATAGTAGCTGACCAACTTGACAAATCTATGTGTATAATTTCTCTTTAAACATTTTTTTACATGTAAACGTAAGATACCTGTATTATGTTTTTGAAGGATTCTGGAGTAAAGGAAGATGAATTACAGGCCATTCTTAATTACCTACTGACTATGCATGAGGTAATATATGAATTTTATATTTTGAAATTTTAATTTTTGAAGCTACATTAGACTTTTTTAAAAGTAAAAATTTAAAGAAATCTTCAGTAATTATGTAACTGTAATGGGGAGTAAATGTGTCTACTTAGGAACTAAGCCCTAGCAATCTTTATTTAAATATCCTTTATTACCACAAGATGAATCTTGAGAATCATCATGAAAGGCTTTAAAAAGTACTAACATTAGATTTCATTGAATTAATAATAAAGTATACCAAAGCATACTTTCAGTGTATTTCCAGAAACCAGTGTAACAAATGAAAAAATAGATTACGAAAATGACTAAAAATGATTAGGTTTTAAAAATTCATAACACAATCTTCCTACTGACTTTACATGTTCAGATATTAAACAGCTCATTTATAATGGTATTTAAAATTATGTGTTTGAAAAGGAGGTTGAAAATTAAATAGGTGCTGGAGAGGATGTGGAGAAATAGGAACACTTTTACACTGTTGGTGGGACTGTAAAGTAGTTCAACCATTGTGGAAGTCGGTGTGGCGATTCCTCAGGGATCTAGAACTAGAAATACCATTTGACCCAGCCATCCCATTACTGGGTATATACCCAAAGGATTATAAATCATGCTACCATAAAGACACATGCACACGTATGTTTATTGCGGCACTATTCACAATAGCAAACACTTGGAACCAACCCAAATGTCCAACAGTGATAGACTGGATTAAGAAAATGTGGCACATATACACCATGGAATACTATGCAGCCATAAAAAAGGATGAGTTCATGTCCTTTGTAGGGACATGGATGAAGCTGGAAACCATCATTCTCAGCAAACTATTGCAAGGACAAAAAACCAAACACCACATGTTCTCACTCATAGGTGGGAATTGAACAATGAGAACACATGGACACAGGAAGGGGAACATCACACACCGGGGCCTGTTGTGGGGTGGGGGTAGCGGGGAGGGATAGCATTTGGAGATATACCTAATGTTAAATGACGAGTTAATGGGTGCAGCACACCAACATGGCACATGTATACATATGTAACAAACCTGCACATTGTGCACATGTACCCTAAAACTTGAAGTGTAATTAAAAAAAAATAAAAAGAAAATTAAATAGGTTGAAATATCTGTTTTTATTTTTTAGCACCAGGAAAATGCAATATATGTCAGTTGCAATCTAACTAAATCATCTATTTTTAGTTAGATTTTTACCTATAATTAGTAAAACTTAGGAATTGATGGAATATAATACATCACAGCATTTTAAATGATAATTTATACTCCTATATTATAATTAATACCTTGTGAATTAATAAATATATTTTAGAATGGAGTAGTGCCTTCTTTAATTTTTAAATGAGGGATAATGATTGGATCTCTTTGTTAATTCAGGTATAAAAGAATGGCTTAAATTTTGTGATTGAGTAATATTTGACTTAAAATCATTAATGATTATGATATTTTTTCCTCTTGAATAGGCAATTCTATTAATTTTTAGATTTTTCTGACCAAATATAATATTTGAAGTTTTCAGGTGAATTTCATAGTGATCTATATATGTGATTTTGTTTTTATTAACCCTAAGGGACTGAATAAAGTACTTTATATGAGATAAACTGGAAGTCACAGTGATTCCTTATTGTTAGGAAAGTTTCAGGTCCTCTAAATAACACTTTCAATGATTCAGTGTCCTAGCTCCAGATCATCTGTTTAACTTAATGAAAATTCGGTATACAAGTAGCTTCCACAGCAAAAATTCCAAAGCAGTGAAGGAAAACTAGAGTCAGGGCAACCAAGTTAACTAAACTCTGTTAGCTGTTTGCCTTTTCCTTTTTGGGTCAGTATTGTCCAAGTTGGCTCTAATGATATGCATACATATTGGTATATGCAACAAAGGTAGTGAAGGATTTTCATGAAGTTTTTTTGGGGGTCTAGAACTCGTTTCTTGTGCTGGTATTCTGTAAATGTTATCAAATACTACCACATATTAGTGGTATGTTGACCGAGTAAACATTTATTGGTTATCTTTATCTTTATAGGGACAATAGATAATACCGTATATGAAAATGATCCGGTTATCATTTCCCACAAAGTGTTCTTTTAGAACTAGTTTCTGGAGAGGCACAGTGAATAAAACATTCCAGATCAGATAAGTTTAAGAAATGATACATAATATCTTAGCCCTACCACTACCACCAGATTTGCAACATTTAGTAGCATTTTAGAAGCTCTAATATATTTTTCTGTAATAGAGAATAACCCTTCCCCACAATTTCTTGATATATAAGCCTTCCTTAAAAAAAAGTCATGTTGGATATACTGTTTCTAAAGGTTATGTTTTACAAAATCTTGATTCAATATAACATAAAAGGTATTTTATTTCTTTGATGAAGAAATTGTTTCGAGGCCGGGCGCGGTGGCTCACTCACGCCTGTAATCCCAGCACTTTGGAAGGCCAAGGCGGGTGGATCACGAGGTCAGGAGATCGAGACCATCCTGGCTAATATGGTGAAACCCCGTCTCTAATAAAAATACAAAAAATTAGCCGGGCGTGGTGGTGGCCACCTGTAGTCCCAGCTACTTGGGAAGCTGAGGCAGGAGAATGGCATGAACCCGGGATGCAGAGCTTGCAGTGAGCCGAGATTGTGCCACTGAACTCCAGCCTGGGCGACACAGCAAGACTCTGTCTCAAAAAACAAAAAACAAAAAACAAAAAAACAAAGAAATTGTTTTGAGGTCAGGTGCGGTGGCTCAACTTGTAATCCCAGCACTTTGGGAGGCTGAGGTAGGCAGATCACTTAAGGCCAAGAGTTCGAGACCAGCCTGGCCAACATGGTGAAACCTTGTCTCTACCAAAAATACAAAAATTAGCCAGATGTGGTGGTGCACTCCTGTAGTCCCAGCTACTAGGGAGGCTATGCACAAGAATTGCTTCAACCTGGGAGGCAGAGGTTGCAGTGAGCTGAGATCACACCACTGTGCTCCAGCCTGAGTGAGAGAGCGAGACTCTGCCCCCCCGCACAAAAAAAGAAATTGGTTTGCTATTTTATGTATATTTGGAGTTACAGAGGTGAATGTTTACATTTAAAGAACATAATTTGTTAAAAATAAGTATATATCACACATATGTCTACTTATATTTCTAATGTTGAAATTTCTATTTCAGAAGTATTCATTATTCAACTAAGTTGTTTTTTCCTCATTTTTTAAAAAAAATTTCTAAAATGATTATAGGATGACAATCTAATGGATGTCCTACAGCTGCTTGTTGCATTAATGTCAGAACACCCTAACTCTATGATTCCTGCTTTTGACCAAAGGAATGGGTTACGGTAAGAGTTTTTAATCTATTTCATATAAGGGATTAGTTTGGAAATATTTGAAAGCTTCTTAAATATGAAAAGGATTATTTAAACTTACATATGAAATGAGTTTATAGCATGAAATGAGTTAAGATTTAAGACCCATTTATAATCATGCATTTTTTTTCAATGAATCTTTAATTATAGAGGCTGTGTTACTATTTGTTACTATTTGATTTGTGAAGACAGATAAATGATTCCAATATTTTGTATGGTGAGTGCTATTATAGAGCTACTGTATTGTTGACTTCTTTAGCAGAATTATCTTTAGGTCCTAGATAGTATTAAATAGTGTTCAATTGAAATCCAAGACAAGCTCTCTATCCTTCCTTTAAAATGTCACTTCCTCCACCTCCCACTTCTGACTCAACATTGTATTTGTGTGCTTAGGCTGCCATAATCAAATACCGTAGATTGGATGGCTTACACAACAAAAATTGGTTTCTCACAGTTCTGGAGGTGGGAAGTCTAAGATCAAGATGCCAGTCGGGTTGGTGTTTGGTGAAGACTCTCCTCTTGGGTTGCCTACATCCTCTTCCTTGCTGTGTTGTCATGTAGCAGAGAGAGAAAGAGAGCATGAGTGAGCTCTCTCGTGTCTCTTCTTACAATGACGTTACTCCTATTGGATTAGGGACCCACTCTTAGGACCGCATTTAACCTTAATTACTTCCTTAGAGGCTCCCTCTCCAAATACTAATGATAGGGCTTCAACATAAGAATTTTGGGTGTATGCAAACATTTGGTCCATTACAGTCATCAACAACAAAAACAGAATACCTCTATTTTACGTATAAGGAAGTTTAAAATCTTTTGTTTAATGAGAAAGTGGGCAAGAAAAGTTTAGCAACTAGTTTTGCTTAATCATCAGCTACAGAAACTAATTTAATTATCTAGTTATAATAAATTCACACAGGGATTTTTGTTTGTTTTTGAGACAGTTCTCACTCTGTCACCCAGACTGGAGTGCAGTGGTATGATCACGGGTCACTGCAGCCTTGACCTCCTGGGCTCAAGGGATCCTCCTTCCTCAGTCTCCTGAGTAGCTGGGACTACAGGCGTGTGCCACCATGCCCAGCTTATTTTAAAAGTTTTTTGTAGAGACAAAGTCTCACCATGTTGCCTAGGCTGGTCTTGAACTCCTAGGCTCAAACACACATTGATCTTCTATAACAGATTCTTTATTTGGTATTTTTTAATGTTCATTCTCTATAAGATAAAAAGTGTCTTTATTCATTATACTTAAGGGGTTTATTTTCAGAGTTCTCCAGGGAAACAGAACCAATAGTGTGTGCGTGGGTGTCCATGCACACACTCACGAGAGAGATTTATTTTAAGCAACTGTTTTACACAATTGTGGAAGCTGGCAAATCCAAAATCCATAGGATAGGCAGGCTGACTGGAGACCCAGGGAAGGGTTGATGTTGCAGTTCAAGTCCAAAGGCAGTCTGCTGAGTGAATTTTCTCTTTCTCCAAGGCAGTTAGGCTTTTTTCTGTTAGGCTTTCAGCTGGATAAGGTCCACATACAAAAAATCTGCTTATTTAAATGTTAATCTCATCCAAAAAATACCTTCAAAGAAACATCTAGAAAAATATTTGACCAACTATCTTGATACCATGGCCTAGCCCAGTTGACACATAAAGTTAAGCATTGTAAGAGGTAAATTTACAGTTTGTTATTTATTTATAGTTTTGCTGTCAAACAAAGTACTCTTTATTTTCCCTCACCACTGTCTAATAATTATTACTTTGAACAAGCTTGCTATGAACATTCATGTACAAGTATTTGTATGGACATATGTTTTCATTTATCTTGAGTATATACCATACTTAGGAATGTAATGGATAGGTCGTATGATAGCCATATTAACACAAAACAAACGAGGCTTATAAATACTTGTTTGTTTCTTTGTACACATTTCCTATCTAATAACTGAATTTCAGAAAAAAGATTTAAGGGTTTATGTAAAGGCTTGGCAGATTTTTTTCTTTTTGGTGCCAGAGTATCTAATTTTATAACCTTATTTTCTGTGGATATAACCTGTATTTGTGTGGATGTGCTTTAGTGTATTTTGTGATTTACTGTATAGGATTTTACCACTTTTAAAAAAAAAAATAATTGCAAGATAGTATCATAGACATTTAAAAACTAGTAAGAAGAATTATTCTATTGAAAGTCTGGGCAAGGAAAGTCTATACTTTATACTTTTAGTCTTAGTGTGTGAATTTTTGGTTCACAGTCTTATCTCAGTTTCACTACATGTGAATAACTTCATTGTCCTTGTGACTAACTCATCTTAACATTCACATTTTGTAATTTTTTAATTCCTTAACTTTGCTACCCTTACTGCCATTCTTTGTAATTTATCCATTCCTGTTTTAAAAACCTAGACCTTTTTATCACTGGCATGTTTTCACATCATAAATTTTAAATTCCAATCTTACTCTTTAATCAAAACCATCTATCTCCTCTTTTTCTAATATCGCCCTTTCCAATGCTCTTCAGCCTCATAGTTACCTTCTGTCCTGTGATCTTGCTTTTTTTTAATCCTAGTGTGTCATACTATATCTGCCATTGTTTACTTCCTTCTTAGCCTGGCTATTTGCTGGAAGTGGTTTCTAACAAAAACTCCCGTCTGCCCTTGTCCTGTTAGATTTGCTTTTGAGAATTCTGATCCTAGATTAGTCTAGGTAGGCACACTCTAAGCTAAACCTTGGCTGGTGGGGAAATGTCATGCAGTGTTGTATGTTGAAATTATTATAAATTCATGATCTATACTTCTATCATTGTTAAACATTTCTTTGTTCCTTCAGATACAATTCTAAATTTTTACAACTCTTCCTGTCAGCAGTGACAGCCTCATCTACTTCATTAGACCTATTAGGAGGGAATTATTTCAACTTCCATCTTTTTTCCCCAAAGGTGTATTTTAGAGCACGTTCTTGTTTACTTACTTCTAGTACAGTAGTAGTAGATAAGGTCTTCTTCCCGTTTATGGCTGCCCTTCCATTATTGCTCTCGATCATATTCATTTTTATTTTTTCTATTTTATTTTTATTGCTTTCTTTGGCTGACTCTTCTATAATGATTTGTCTTTATAAATAAAATTTTGTTGTGGCACTGTCATTCTCATTATTTTAAATATTGTCTGTGGTTACTTTCCTGCTATAACCACAGCCACTCTCATTCTCTTAAATATTGCCTATGGTTAGTTTCCTGCTATAACAACAGAGTCAAAGAGTTGTAACAGAGATGATATGGCCCATAAATTCTAAAACAGAGGTCCCCAGCCTTTTTGGCACCAGGGACTGGTTTTGTGGAAGACAGTTTTTCCACAAACTGGGGTTGGGGGTGGTTTCAGGATGATTGAAGTGCATTATATTTATCATTTGATTCTCATAGGGAACATGTAACCTAGATACCTCGTATGCACAGTTTACAATAGGGTTCTACTCCTATGAGAATCTAATGCCACAGCTGATATGACAGGAGGCAGAGCTCAGGCAGTAATGCTTGCTGGCCTGGTGCTCACCGCCTGCTGTGTGGCCTGGTTCCCAACTAATTTTTGTTGGCCAGGATGGTCTCGATCACCTGACCTCATGATCTGCCCGCCTTGGCCTCCTAAAGTGAGGGGATTATAGGCAGGAGCCACTGCACCTGGCCTGAAAGTGTTTTTTTGATGAGATTAACATTTAAGCCATTTATGCCAGAGGTTGCAATTTTTTTTTTTTTTGTGGAAAATCAAATCTTGGCAATGACCTTGAGCAGTAGGATATAAATAACTCCCACAAGCTTAGTGTTCCAATAATGGAACACTAGACATAAATAGGTTAAATTGGTGGACTTTGAGTAAAACAGATTATCCACTGTAATATGTCTGGACCTCATCTAATCAGTTGAAGGCCTTAATAAAACAAAGTCTGACCTGCCCCAGGGATGAAGGAAATTAGGCTGGCTGACTGCCTTTGTACTGAGAATACAGTTCTTTCCTACATCTTCAGCTTGCTGGTCTACTCTTCTGAGTTGAGACATACCAAGCCTCCATAATTGCATGAATAAACTTCTTGAAATCAATCTCTGTCTCTCTCTCTATCTGCACATCCTCTTGGTTCTGTTTCTCTGGAAAAACCTAGCTAATACACACAGAATAGTTGTAGGTTTTATTTATTTTAATCCAGTCTGACAAAGTCAGGTTTTTTACAGTATGTTTAGACCATTTATGTTTAATGTAATTATTGATATTGTAATTATTTTCATCTACCATTTTATTTGTTTTCTATTTATCCCAGTGTAATATATTCCTTGTTTCTCTTTTTCTATGTTGTTTTTATTTGAATTTTAAAAATATTCTCAAAATTTATATTTTGAGTTTGGAGTTTATCTCTTTGTGTAACTTTTTTGGTGGTTGCTCTAGAGATGCCAGTGTATGTAATTTCACAGTCTACCTAGTGTTAATATTTTACCTCTTCAAATAAAGTATAGAACCCTTGGAACTGCTCAGATCCCTTTAACTGCCTCAATTGTCCTTATTATGTCTGTATATACATAAGCGCCTCCAGACAGTTAATAAGTTTTACTTTTACTAGTTATATATAGCTTAAAGTTTTACTTTCACTAGTTATATATAGCTTAAAGAATTGAAGAGAGAAAAAAGTTTCTACTTTTATCCAGGTATTTACAGTTTCTTTTGCTGTTTATTCTTGAAGAACTTCCTTTAGAAGAACTTCTGCTGAAAAAGAACTTGTTGAGCAGTTTTGACAGAAACAATTTTTAATTATTTCTTCTGAAAATATATTTATTTGACCTTCACTCTCCAAGGATATTTTTGTTGTATGTAGAATTCTGTGTTTGTAATCATTTTTTTCCTTTCCTTTTTCCTTACCTTTTTCCTTTCCTTTCTTTCCTGTGTTTTTCTTCTGTTGGCTGGTGTCCATGGTTTCCAATGAGAAATCTGTGGTTATTGAAATCTTTCTTTGTTAAATATAATGTTCTAGATTTCTGCACTTGCTTTCAAGACATTTTCTTTAGGTTTTTGTTTTTTAGAATTGGGGTCTTACTATGTTGCCCAGGAACTCCTGGGCTTAAGCAGTTCTCTTGCCTCAGTCTCCTCAGTAGCTGGGACTACAGGCACACTTGACTGCATCCATCTCTCTCTTCCTCCTTTCATAGGTTCATTATGGTTTTCTTTGTGATTACTACCAAATTTGAGAAGTTGTAGGTTCTTTTTTTTTTCTTTCTTTTTTTTTTTTTTTTTTGAGACGGAGTCGTGCTCTGTTGCCCAGACTGGAGTGCAGTGGCCCGATCTTGGCTCACTGTAAGCTCCGCCTCCTGGGTTCATGCCATTCTCCTGCCTCAGCCTCCTGAGTAGCTGTGACTACAGGCGCCCGCCAGCATGCCTGACTAATTTTTTTGTATTTTTAGTAGAGACAGGGTTTCACCGTATTAGCCAGGATGGTCTCGATCTCCTGACCATCTGCCTGCCTCGGCCTCCCAAAGTGCTGGGATTACAGACGTGAGCCACCACACCCGGCCCGTGAGCCACTGCTCCCGGCCGGTTCTTATTTTTTCAATTTTTGCTTCACTTATATCTTTCTCCTTTCACTTTGGGTCTCCAAAGAAATAAGTATTAGATCTTCTGATAGAGTCAGGCAACTCCTTAAGCATTTGTTTAGTTTGTTTCAGTCTTGTTTTTTTTCAGATTGTAGTTTGTGCATAGAAACTTGATATGTATAATAAACTTGATCTTCAAATTTATGGACTTTTTCTTTGTGTTTTACATTTTGATATTGAACCCATCTCTTGCATATTTTGTTTCAGATAGTATGCATTTCAAGTCTAAAATTTCAATATGGTTCACTTTTATGCTTTCATTTTTGGATGAGAACTCTATTTTCTTTAATATTTTAAATTGACAATAATTGTACATATTATATGCAATATTGTGATATATTAATACATGCATATAACATATAATATTCAAATCAGGGTAGTTAGCATCTCCATCACCTCAAACATTTATTATTTCTTTTTGGAGAACTTTTTCAATTCATTTAGACTTTGTTAACCTTTATTTTCTAAAGCATAATTATAGTATCTCCTTTAAAGTCTTTGTGTGATAAGTCCAACATTTTGCTCATCTCATTGACATCTGTTGTTTGTGTTTTCCTATGAGAAACAGTCACATTTTCTTGGCTCTTTGTATGTTGCGTAATCTTCTAATGTGTCTTGAATATTGTGGGTCCTGGATGCATTAGAGCATAACTCTGGGCCCTGTTATAATCCTCTAACACATGTTTTGTTGTTGTTGTTTAGCAAATAGACAACCTGGTAAGGGTGGGGCTGCAAGTTCCACCTCTTCTCTGTGCATGATGTTTCCAGTGTCCCTTCATTTTTCAAACCTCTCTTACCCTACTTTGGGTTTTCTTTCATTCTTTGGTTTTTCCCCTTCGATCCAGGGAGACAGACTAGTTTGCCTTGTATTTTCCTCACATACATATGCTTCATTCAGGAATTAGGCTGAGAATTGGATGGTAATTAAATTTAGAAAGGTGTCTATTCTGATTTGGGTTTGTCCCACACCCATGCGTCTCTTGGGTGAGTTTGGGGTTATCACAGGTTTTTACACAGATTTAGAGAACCCTTTTCTCTTACTCTCTGCTATTTAGGATTCTTCCCCACACTTCTCCTATCTAGGACCTAATTTCTAGATTTCTCTAACTGGAAGCATAGTTTTTCTTAGAATTTTGCCACCCGAGCTTCTGACATCCAGCCCTGAAACAGGGGCAGATTCAGAAGAGAGAAAGGAAAAAAATGATTCTTCTATCCATATGAGTAATTCTCCAAGTTTTAACTCCCCTACACAATGCACCTGCTTTTGTTTAGTCTTCAGAGTACTTGGGAAGTTGATTTTTGTGTTTTTTTCCCCTATAATTTTATTAATATTTGGGACAGAGAGGCTTTATTGGGCTGACTCCATTTGGTTGGATCAAAATTCCCCTGTTGATTTTAGTTTTCTTCTTAAAGGTTATCTTTTATTAGTGGTTTTACAGTATATTCTTTCATCTTGGTGGGCTTTATTATTTCTTACAAGGCATATTTGCTAGCAATGAATTTTCTCAGTCTTTGTTCATCTCAGAATACTTTTATTTGCTTCCATTTTTAGAGGATACTTATCCTGGATATAAGAACTTAAATTGCAGTTTTCTTTCTGTTAGCACTTGACTGTCATCTCCCTGACCTGTGGACTCCATTGTTTCTGATGAGATGACAGCAATGAATTGCATTGTTGTTGCTCTGTATGTCATCAGTCATTTTTCTCTTGATGCTTTTAAGGTTTTTTTCATTGTCTTTGGATTTCAGCAATTTGACTGTGGTTTGTTTAGTTGTGATTCACTTTTTTTTTTGAGACAGAGTCTCCCTCTGTCACCCAGGATGGAGTACAGTGGCATGGTCTTGGCTCACTACAACCTCTGTCTCCTGGGTTCAGGTGATTCTCGTGCCTCAGCCTCCCAAGTAGCTGGGACTACAGGCATGTACCACTGTGCTCAGCTAATTTTTGTATTTTTAGTAGAGATGGGGTTTCACTGTGTGGGTCAGGCTGGTCTCGAATGCCTGGCCTCAAATTACCCGCCCATCTCAGCCTAAGTGCTGGGATTACAGGCATGAGCCACTGTGCCCGGCCTAGTGGTGACTCACTTTGTTACTTTCACTTCGGTGGTTTATTGAGTTTGAATCTGTAAGTAAATGTTTCGTCATTAAATTTTGGAAGATTTTATCCCTATTTCTTCAGATGTTTCTTTTCTGTGCCTTTTTTTTTTTTTTTTGGAACTCTTGTTACATCTATGTTGGAACACTGTATTGTCCTACAGTGTCTAAAGGTTGAATAATTTGTGTTCCCATTTTTTTCTCTGTTTTTTAGACTATATAATTTATATTGATTTATCTTTGAATTCACAGATTCTTTATTTGCCATCTGAGTCTCCTGTTGAATGCCTATAGTGAATTCCTTGATTTTTAAATGGTACTTTTTTATCTCTAGAATTTCCATTTGGTCTTTTTATACTTTTTTGAGAACTCATTGTTAATCTGTTTCATTCAATTATTTGAACATACTATTTTTTCATTTATTGAATATAATTTATTACAAGTCCTTAAAAATATTTGCTGAATCTAACATTTGGACCTTACAAGTTATTTTTGATTATTGCTCTTTTACTGATTATGGGTTATACTCTTTTTTGTTTTTTTGCATATATAGTAATTTTTGTTGAAAACTGGGCAACTCTAGACTTTTTTTGTTTTTCTATGGTTGTTGGTTTTTGTTTGGTTTTAAATAATTTGCCTCATTTAGTTTGCAGATTGTGTTTTCTCCACGGTCTACAGCTCTGACTTTTCTCTGCCCAGTATTTTTACTTTTTCCCTTTTTCTTTCCATAGCACTCTTAGGGTTTTCCATGTTTCTATATATCTTAGAGTTCAGTCAATGATTTAGCTACAGGTTCTGATAAAATTCCTTCAGCCCTTAGGCCCACTGTGTTGATCTGTATATTTTTAGGGATTGCATTCAAAGTTGTGGCTACTTATCTAGTCTCTCTTGCCTTCCCTTTTTCAGTTAGTGACCCAGGTGTCTCCTGGATATAGGTACTTTCTCAATCAGCTATGTCTGTGTGGAGTACTTATCTCAATCTTTCTATGGTTCTCTTTTAATATCTCCCTAGTAAATATCTAACTGGTCTGCTGTTCCCCCTGAATTGTGCCTGTATCTCTGATCTAGCAAAGCTGCTGGTTTCTCCCATTGATTCGTAACCAAGTCTGCCACTTTTAGCTGGAGAACTGCAGTTTTCATTTCTTACCCTGAATAGGTTTGCCCTGTTTGAAAGCAACAGTGCTACTTTTTACTGCCAGCCCCCAAATGGTAAAACTACAGTTCTTACCAACTAAACTGGGGTGGTAATGACAGGAGTAGTCTCATTAATAAGGCCACTGACTCCTGATATTCTTACCTGAATTTCTAGCAATTTCTCAACAATAAATATTTTTCAGTGAAAATTTTTTTCGGTTTTATTCCTGTCTTTTTTCATGGAGGGAAAATGCTGACTTCCATGTTAGCATCATTATTCCCCCTATTTTGCTTTTATAGTATGTTTTAATTTTTGCTACTTTCTCAGTCTTTTATTTATTACTGTGAAGAAATAAAAAATTTCTAATTTGGACTAGTATATAGAAATGTGAAGATTTAGTCCCATTTAAATTCAGTTCAGTTACTTAAACTGGGTAGAAATATTTATTAAATGTTTATATTAGTTATGTAGTTTAAAATGATTTTTGAATGATGGATAGTTCCCTTCAATCTAATTGGAGTTCTTTGAAAGTATTCTTTGGGTCCAAAAATTCAGTATTTACATTTTTTAAATTATGGATTTTTGTTTTCGATGATTTAAAAAGAGAGATGGTGGAAGGTCGGGGAGAGACAGAAAATTCAAACTAGACATTGATACATAATTTCAGTACCTGTTTATGATTACCTTGGTACTTAGTATACAGTAACATAATTTTTTTGTTTTTTGAGACAGCGTCTCACTCTGTCGCCCAGGCTGGAGTGCAGTGGTGCAATCTCGGCTCACTTCAACCTCCACCTCCCAGGTTCAAGTGATTGTCCTGCCTCAGCCTCCTGAGTAGCTGGTATTACAGGCGCCCACCCCCATGCCTGGCTAATTTTTGTATTTTTAGTAGAGACACGTTTCACCATGTTGCCCAGGCTGGTCTTGATCTCCTGACCTCAAGTGATCTGCCCATCTTGGCCTCCCAAAGTGCTGGGATTACATGCGTGAGCCACCACTCCCGGCCTAGAACCATAATTTTTGAAGGCCACCATGAAAAAAACAGAGGTGAATTAAGAAAAGGTTTCATATTAACTGAAAGTTAAATGGGGGTGTAAGCACAGTCTCAAGTGGAGAAAATTGGAGGGGGGATGGTCTTTATTGGTGACAGATAATATAGGCATGCCAAACTGTGTCATAGTCATCAGTAACATTTCCAAATTGGAATGACAATTTAATTTTCATCAAATGACAGAAATTTTCACATTCAGTTATTTAATATAAATTTTTCTCTACCATGAAATCATTTAAACATTAGCTCTGATATTGAACTTAGGTCAACAGCTTGGAAGACTTATCCTTCCTTAGAAGTGACTGTGTTTTCTGACTCAGTGTCAGTCTCATCATATGCCCTGCTTAAATTGTTATAAATTTTTAATATTTGAGTCTAGTTAATGATCTGTTATCATATTTTTAATATCTGTGAGCAGATTGAAATCATGTTACTATTCAGATTATCTTTTTGGGCGTTTCTCTTGCCTGAATTATATTTTCTGCATTGAAAATATACTGTACATACCATAGTATATTTCAATTCAAAAATATCCATATCTATTTCTTTAAACATGTAAGCATAGTCAAATAGATTGCATGAAAATATTTCCAGATTTGAATATTGTTCTTCATGGGTTATTTTTGTTATCTCCCTTACACTTTTCTTTATTTCCAAATAGAGAATAAACATTTATTTATTGTTTTATGATTAGATAAATATATAAATTTCATTGAAGCACTACAGGATTTTTCCTCCCTTTAATGTGTAAAGTATTTTTTTGTGCATTAAATAAGAACAAAACTATGGTCAAAAAGCAAAATAGGCCCATTTAACTTTTACAAAATTTACTGCTGATGTTTAGCAGATAAACTAGTTTGATTCTGCTTTGGTTAGAAGTGTTCAAAATTTAAAAATTTTTTGTAGGATAACTATTAGGTTCATAGAATAATTTCAGGTTCTTTTGATCTTCTTGTGTTATTAATCCTAATAAAACATTATTTGAAAGTACATAGACAATGTCTAGAGTTTATCTTTTGAAAAAATTATTGTGATTTTTTTTTTTTTGAGACAGAGTTTTGCTCTTGTTGCCCAGGCTGGAGTGCAATGGCTCCATCTCAGCTCACTGCAACTTCTGCCTCTCGGGTTGAAGCGATTCTCCTGCCTCAGCCTCCAGAGTAGCTGGGATTACAGGCATGTGCCACCACACCCAACTAATTTTGTATTTTTAATAGAGACAGGGTTTTGCCATGTTGGTCTGGCTGGTCTCGAGCTCCTGACCTCAGGTGATCCGCCCACCTCGGCCTCCCAAAATGCTGGGATTACAGGTGTGAGCCACCGCGCCCAGCCCTATTGTGATTTTTAACCGTAGATATTTGTGAGTTAAGCTATAGCAAGGATAGTTTTTTGATACGTTAAAATATCTTAGTGTGTTACAGTTTTTATTTTTATTTATTATGTATTTATGTTAATAATTCCCACCTTTATCTTAGATTCAGGGGGTACATGTGCAGGTTTGTTACATGGGTATATTGTATGATGCTGAGGTTTGAGGTATGATTGATCCTGTCACCCAAGTACTGAGTATAGCACTCAATAGTTAAGTTTTTCAACCTTTTCCCCCTTCCTTCTCTCCTTCTTGTAGTCCTCATTGTCTATTATTGCCATTTTTATGTCTATGAGTGCCCATTATTTAGCTCCTAGTTATAACTGAGAAGATGTGATATTTGGCATTTTGTTCCTGCATTAATTCACTTAGGATAATGACCTCCAGCTGCATCCATGTTTCTGCAAAGGACATGATTTTGGTTTATTTTTATGGCTGTGTAGTATTCTTTGGTGTATATGTATTACATTTTCTCTATCCAATCTACCGTTGATAGAAACCTAGGTTGATTTCATGTCTTTGCTGTTGTGATTAGTGCTGTAATACACATACGAGTGCATGTGTTGTTGGTAGAATGATTTATTTTATTTTGGATATGTACCCGGTAATAAAATTGCTGAGTTGAATGGTAGTTCAAAGTTTTTTGAGAAATCTCCAAGCTGCTTTCCACAGAGGCTGAACTAACTTACATTCCCACCAACCTTTTCTCTGCAGCTTTGCCAGAATCAGTTGTTTTTTGACTTTTTAGTAATAGCTATTCTGACTGGTCTGAGATGGTATCTCATTATTTTGATTTGCATTTTGCTGATGATTAGCGATGTTAATTAAGCATTTTTTCATATGTTTGTTGCCTGCTTGTATGTCTTCTTTTAAGAAGTGTCTGTTTGTGGCGTTTCCCATTTTTTAATGGGATTGTTTTTAGCTTGTATAATTGTTTAAGTTCCTTATAGATTCTGGATATTAGACCTTTGTCAAATGCACAGTTTGTCAGTATTTTCCCATTCTGTAGATTGTCTGTTTACTCTCTTGACAGTTTCTTTGTACCTAAGCGCTTAGTTTAATTGGGTCCCACTTGTCAATTTTTGTTTGTATTGCAATTGCTTTTGAGGACTTAGTGATAAATTCTTTCCCAAGGCTGATGTCCAGAATGGTGTTTTCTCGTTTTTCTTCTAGGATTGTTCTAATTCGATGGCTTACATTTAAACCTTTAATCCATCTTGAGCTAAAAGGTTTTTTTTTTTTTTTTTGGAGACAGGGTATTGCTCTGTTTCCCAGGTTGGAGTGCAGTGGCACGATCACAGCTCACTACAGCCTCTGCCTCTGCATCTGAAGCGATCTTCCCACCTTGGCCTCCCAGGTAGCTGGGATTACAGGCATGTGCCACCATGCCCAGATGATTTTTGCGTTTTTTGTAGAGACAGAGTTTCACCACGTTGCCTAGGCTGGTCTCAAATTCCTGGGCTCACGTGATCCACCCACCTCAGACTCCCAAAGTGTTGGGATACAGGTGTCAACCACCACACTTGGCCAAGTTTTGTATGGTGAAAGGTAAGGGTCCAGTTTCATTCTTCTGCATATGGCTAACCAGCTATTCCAATACTATTTATTGAATAGGGAGTCCTTTCCCCATTGCTTATTTTTCTCTACTTTGTCAAAGATCAGAGGGCTGTAGGTAGGTGGCTTTGTTTCTGGGTTCTCTATTTTGTTCCATTGACACATGTGTCTGTTTTTATACCAGTACCATGCTGTTTTGGTCACTGTAGCCTTATAGTATAGTTTGAAGTTGGGTATTGTGATGACTCCAGCTTTGTTCTTTTTGTTTAGGATTGCTTTGCCTATTTGGGCTCTTGTTTTGGTTCCGTATGTATTTTAGTATAGTTTTTTTCTAGTTCTGTGAAAAATCACATTCGTAGTTTTGTAGGAATAGTATGGAATCTGTGGATTGCTTTGGGCAGTATGGCCATTAAAATAATATTGATTCTTCCAATCCTTGAGCATGGATATTGTAAAAGGAATTGCTTTCTTGATTTGGATATGAACTTGAAGGTTGTTGTTTGGAAATGCTACTGATTTTTATACATCAATTTTATATCCCGAAACTGTACTGAAGTCATTTAATCAGTCACAGGAGCCTTTTGGAGGAGTCTTTAGGGTTTTCTAGTTGTAGAATTATATTGTCATGAAGAGAGAGAGTTTGAATTTTTTTTGTCCTATTTGGATGCCTTTTGTTCCCTTTTCTTGCCTGATTGCTCTGGCAAGGACTTCCAGTGCTATGTTGAATAAGAGTGGTAAGAGTAGGCACCCTTTTCTTGCTCCAGTTCTCAAAGGAATGCTTCCTGTTTTTGTCTGTTTAATATGATGTTAGCTGTGGGTTTACCCTAGATGGCTCTCATTATTTTGATGTATGTTCCTTCTATGCCTGGTTTCTTGAGGATTTTTATGATGAAGAGATGCTGGATTTTATTGAAAGTTTTTTCCACATCTATTGGGATAAATGTATGGTTTTGTTTTTAATTCTGTTTGTATTGAATCATATTTATTGATTTGTGTATGTTGAACCAACCTCGCATTCCAGAAATGAAGCCTACTTGATCATCGTGAATTAACTTTTTGATGTGTTGCTGGATTTGGTTTGCTAGTATTTTGTTGGGGACTTTTGCAGCTGTGTTCATCAGGGATATTGGCCTGTAGTTTTCTTTTTCGTTGTGTCTCTGCTGGGTTTTGGTATCAGGGTGATGCCGGCTTTGTAAAATAAGTTAGGGTGGAGTTCCTTGTACTCAAGTTTTTTGAATATTTTTAGTAGGATTGCTACCACCTCTTCTTTGTATATCTGCTAGAATTTGGCAGTGAATTTACCTCATCTAGGATTTTTTTGGTTAGTAGGTAACCAAAAAAAAAAAAAAAATTCCTGGACCAGAAAAATTCACTGCCAAATTTAAGCAGGTATACAGTTTCGGAGCTCAATCCTGGTCTGTTCAGGGTTTTAATTTCTTCCTGATTTTGTGTTTCTATGAATTTATCCATTTCCTATAGATTTTCTAGTTTGTGTGCATAGAGGTGTTCATAATTGTCTCTGAGGATCTTTTGTATTTCTATGAGATTGGTTGTATCATCAACTTTGTCATTTCTGATTGTGCTTGTATGTGGATTTTTTTTTTTTAATCTAGCTAGTGGTCTATCAGTCTTCTTTATCCATTCAAATAACCAGCTTTTCGTTTTGCTGGTTCTTTGTATGGATTTTTTTTGGTCTCAGTTTTGTTTAGTTCTGCTCTGATTTTTGTTATTTTTTATTTTCTTCTGGTAGCTTTGGGGTTAATAGTTTGTGTTTTTCTAGTTCCTCTAGGTGTGATGTTAGATTGTTAATTTTAGATCTTTCTAGCTTTTTGACTTAGGCCATTAGTGCTATGTGCTATAAAATTTCCTTTTTTTTTGAGACAGTCCTGCTCTGTCACCCAGGCTGGAGTGCAGTGGCTCAGTCTCAGCTCACTACAACCTCTGCCTCCCAGGTTCAAGTGACTCTCCTGCCTCAGCCTCCTGAGTAGCTGGGATTACAGGTGCCCACCATCATGCCTAGCTATTTTTTTTTTTTGTATTTTTGGAAAAGACAGGGTTTCACCATGTTGGCCAGGCTGGTCCAGAACTCCTGCTCTCAAGTGATCTGCCCACCTTGACCTCCTAAAGTGTTGGGATTACAGGCATGAGCCACTGTGCCTGGCCTAAAGTTTCGTCTTAACACTGCTTTGGCTGTATCCTAGAGTTTTGGTTATGTTGTGGCTTTGTTTTCATTTATTTCAAAAAATTTTTAAATTTCTGCCTTCATTTCATTGTTTACCCAAAAGTCATTCAGGAGCAAGTTGTTCAACTTCCATGTAATTGTATGGTTTTGAGAGATCATCTTGGTATTGATTTCTATTTTTATTTCACTGTGGTCTGAGAATATGGTTGGCATGATTTCAATTTTTTGAATTTATTGAGACTTTCTTTATGGCGAAGCATGTGGTTGATCTTGGAGTATGTTTTGTGTGCAGATGAGAAGAATGTGTATCCTGTGGCTGATGGGTGGAGTATCCCATAGATGTCTATTAGGTCCAATTAGTCAAGTGTTGAATTTATGTCCAGAATTTATTTGTTAGTTTTCTGCCTCCATGGCATGTCTAATGCCTGTCAGTGGGGTGTTGAAATCCACCACTAATATTGTGTGACTGTCTAAGTCTGTTCCTACGTCTCGTAGTCGTTGTTTTATATATCTGATTGCTCTACTATTGGGTGCATATATATTTAAGGTAATTAAGTTTTCTTGTTGAATTGAACTATTTTTCATTATGCAATGCCATTTTTTGTCCTTTTTAACTCTTGATAGTTTATCGTTTGTTTTATCTGATATAAGAATAGTGACACCTGCTCTTTTTCTCTGTTCTCTCTGTGTGGTAGATCTTTCCCCAACCCTGTACTATGAGCCTATGAGTGGTGTTATATGTGAAATAGGTCTCTCTTTTTTTTTTTTTTTTTTGATACGGAGTCTTGCTCTGTCATTCAGGCTGGAGTGCAGTGGCGCGATCTCTGCTCACTGCAAGCTCTGCCTCCCAGGTTCATGCCATTCTCCTGCCTTAGCCTCCTGAGTAGCTGGGAATACAGGCGCCCGCCACCATGGTTGGCTAATTTTTTTTTGTGTGTTTTTAGTAAAGACGGGGTTTCACTGTGTTAGCCAGGATGGTCTCGATCTCCTGACCTCGTGATCCTCCTGCCTCGGCCTCCCAAAGTGCTGGGATTACAGGCGTGAGCCACTGCGCCCAGCTGAAATAGGTCTCTTAAAGACAGTAGATGGATGAGTTTTGTTTTTTTTATCCAATATGCCATTCTGTGTCTTTTGAGTGGGGGCATTTAGACCATTTACACTCATAGTTAATATTGATATGTGAGATTTTGATCCTATCATGAAGTTGTTAGCTGGTTGCTTTGTAATTTCTTTTGTGTGGTTGTTTTATAAGGTTTGCAAGCTACGTACATGTATTTTTGTGGTAGTAAGTGTTGTTCTTACATTTCCGTGTTTAGAACTCCCTTAAGGATCTCTTGTAAGGTTGGTCTGTAGGTAACAAATTCCCTTGATGCTTGCTTGCCTGAAAAACATTTATTTCTCCTTTGCTTATTAAGCTTAGTTTGGGTGGATATGAAATTTCTTGGCTAAATTTATTTTCTTTTAAGGATACTGAAAATAAGCCCTCAATGTCTCCTGGCTTGTGTGGTTTCTGCCAAGAAGTCTGCTGTTAGGCTGATGGGGTTCTGTTTGTATGTGATCTGACCTTTTTCTCTGGCTACCTTTAAGATTTTTTCTTTAATATTGATCTTGGGCAGTCTGGTGACTATATGCTGTGGTGATGTTCATTTTGTATGGTATCTTGTGATGTTCTCTAGATTTCTTGTATTTGGATGTCTATATCTCTAGCAACTTGAATTATTTCCTCACATATATTTTCCAGGTTGTTTTCTTTTTATCCATCTCTCTCAGTAATGCCAGTAATTTATAGGTTTGGCTGCTTTGCATAGTCTTATATTTCTTGAAGACTTTTTTTCATTTTTCAACCTGTTTTTGAAAATTTTTGTTCAGGTAAATTTGAAAGATCGGTCTTCAGGCTTTGAAATTCTTTCTTTTGGTTTGTCCAGTCTGCTGATAAAACTTTCAGTCTTGTTTTGTAATTTCTTAAGTGAGTTTTTCAATTCCAGGATCTCTGATTGATTTCTTTTTAAGATGTTTAATCCCATTCATCTCCTGGATTGCTTTAGAAGTTTCTTTTAATTTTCAACATTGTCTTGGATATCATTGAGCTTCCTTGCAGTCCATGCTTTGAATTATTTATTTGTCAATTCTTCTGAGTTTCCATTTTGGTTATGGACCATGGTTGGAGAGCCAGTGTGATCCTTTGATGGTGTCACCACACTCAGATTTTTCATGGTGTCTGAAGTTTTGTGGTGGTTCCTTCTTTGGAGATGCTGACACTTGTAACTTTTGTAATAATTTTCATGCTTTTAAGATTTTTTTCTTTCTCTGTAATGTTATTATTATTTTTTTGTCTTCTTTCTCTTTCCCTGTCTTCATAGGGGGTGTGGCTATAGAGAATGCTGGGTAGGGCCTTTTGGCTTTGCTTCTGTAGCTTTATACACTTCCGTCAGCAGGTTTTATATTGGGCTGTGCAGTTCAACCTACAAGCCATTGGATGGCAGTTATGAGTAAGAGTGGGCTTTGGCCAATGTGGCTGGGTATATACTTGACCCTTGTTTAGTGGGAGAAGTTCTCTGTTGCCTCAGGCAATAAGCTGATGTGTGTAGTGCATGGTGGTCTGAGCTCCCTTCTATGCTCTGGAGAAGGGCACAAAAAATAGTGATGGGAAACCTCAGCCCCAAGTTCTCTGCATGGGAATGGGGATGGCCTAAACTCCTAATCCAGGAAAAATGGGTTTTCCAGATTCCTGGAGATCTACTGGCTGTGAAATGGAGAGGGTCTCCTACACCAGGATTTCTGCACCGGAATGGTGGGACACCTCAGGGTACTGAACCAGGCAAGCAGTTATTTTGAATCCCTGGAGATAGGCTTGGGTGTGAAACAGAGAGGGCCCCCTGTACCAGGATCTCTACATAGGAATGGTGCAGAGGGTGCTGTTCCAGGTGACTGAGTAGTCTGAATGCCTGGAAATCTGCCTGGCCATGGAGCAGAGAGGTTCCCCCTTGCACCAAGATCTTTGCACAGAGGGGTGAGGTGACTCAGGCTGCTGGAGTAGCCAAGCAGCTGCTCTGAATGCCTGGAGATCTCCCTGAGCATGAAGCATAGAGGACCCCTCTGAACCTGGATCTCTGCAAAGGAAGAGTGGGGTGGCTCAGGCTGCCAATCTGGGCAAGCAAGTGCATTTAATGCCTGGAGATCTGCCTGTGCATCTTGCTGCACCACGTGGAATAGGGCTCAGGTTGCTAGTCCGTGGGAGTGGGTGCGTCAGTTGCCTGGAGATCTGCCTGGGCATGGAGCAAAGAGGGTCCAGTGCTATGATCTGTGTCTACGAAGGGTGGGGTGGCTTGAATGTCTGGATTTCTGCCTGAGAGTGGAGCAGAGAGGGCCCTGCTGCACCACAGTGTCAGGGTAGCAGGCTGGAGCACCCAGCAATGACACATGCAGACTGGTTCCAGGTCACCAAGCTGCCTCTGCCTGCCAAGTCTTGTTGTCCAGGAGATATTGCAGCTGTAGCAGCTTTCCTCCCACCCCAGGCCTGCGACGGGGTAGAGTACAATTATAACACCTACTGCTGAGGCAGTTTTCACAATTCTGGCTCCAAAGCAGGGACTCTAATCTCTGGCATGCCTGCACAGCCACACTGCCAGATTTCCAGTTTGAATTGTGTGTGCTTGAATTCAAAATGGCATCCTGCTGTTGGTCCCTGCAACTTTTCCTGGTGTCTTTCCCTCACAGTATCTCCATACCTCTTTCCCAGTTAGCTCCAGGTCTTGGGAGAAACAAAGTGCTCTCGGGAACTAGGGTGCCTTTCATGATTCTGGTGGAGTCCTGCTTTTCTTCCTGAATTAAAGCTCACAGTTGATTTTTATATACTATCTTGCTATTTCTAAGTGGCTGAGAAATGCTAAAGCCCTCAAATCTGCCATCTTTGGGGAAAAAAACTCAAAAAACTATTGTGATTTTAAACTGGTATTATATTAATATTTCTTTTAAAAGGTTTAATTTTTATTTGGCTGAATTTAAATCCTTGAAGAAAAGAAACATACAACATATTAGTATTTTCCTAATGATTGACTGTTAAGTTTTTGTACTAAGATTTGAATTAAAATTATGCAGTTACAATGTGATATGGACCTGGATGCCTTTAGTTCATGTTTTAAAAGGAATCAAACTTCTTTTTTATATACCTGCTTTTCTATTGATCACTAGAGGTTGAAGATATTTCCTTTTTGTTCAGAATGTTTTCTAACTTACTAAACACCAAAATTTTGATCTAGGAGGATACTGATATCCTTAATTTTTATAAGTAATTATAAGAGTTTCTAATTACTGTTCTTGTTCTAAATGTTTATGAGGAAGGGAATGCTGTAATGAATCAGTTTAATTTCAGTTGCATTATACTTTACTTATACTAAAATCAGAAGGCCTTCCTAGATCTTTGTTTGTTTGTTTTTTTTTTTGAGACAGAGTCTCACTGTGTTGCTCAGGCTGGAGTGCAGTGGCATGATCTCGGCTCCCTGCAACCTCCACCTCCCAGGTTCAAGCGATTCTCCTGCCTCAGCCTCCCGAGAAGCTGGATTAGAGGCACATGCCACCACACCCAGCTAATTTTTGTATTTTTAGTAGAGATGGGGTCTCACCATGTTGGCTAGGCTGGTCTCGAACTCCTGACTTCAGGTGATCTGCCTGCCTTGGCCTCCCAAACTGCTGGGATTACAGACGTGAGCCACTGCATCCAGCTGCCTCATAGATCTTTAAAAATTAAATTAGATTACTATATAATTTTTGAGAATTGAATGAGAAATTTATTTTTAGCAGTTCTTTGGTTGTAAATCTTTTTACTTTTGTAATTATTTCTGATAATCATTTATTATTAGCCTACTGTCTTGTTTTTCATGGCGACAATTATTTAGAAATTTAAATATGTGCTACCATTAGAAATGCTTTCTTTCTACTGACTTAAAATAACAAGTTGGTAACCTTCAGAACATTTACAAGCCTGTAGCAGAAGGAAAAAAGTATCTGAAAGCTAGCTTGATACACACGTTACATATAAGTATGTGCATGGAAAAGTCACCTCATTTCTTATATTCCAATTTCTTCTCATTTCTTAGTTTTCATTGAAAGGAACTCTAGCCTGAGATAAGCAGATTTTTTATATACAGAAATCTATATTAAATTTCCTTCCATATTATTTGAAATAGATTTATAATAATATGAAAAGTATATATTTTAAACCTTTCCATTTAAAAATTATACTCAAAATAGTTTGTTTTAAATTTTTATTCATTCAGTGTTATCTACAAACTTCTGGCATCGAAAAGTGAAGGAATCAGGGTACAAGCTCTTAAGGCAATGGGTTATTTTTTAAAACATCTGGCCCCAAAGTAAGTATGCCGAAATCTAAGATGGACTGTTGTATTCTACTTATTTATTTTATAAATCTTTGCAGTAGTAATTTTGTTCTATAGTCCTCTAGTTTTTCTTTTATTTTTATTCATAAATTGCTGTATAAATGTAATCCCACTAGTACATATTTTAAAAATTAAGTGAACAGGATTAATTTTTTTGTACATAAAATTATTTAAATTATTCATGTATTTAATGTGAATTATGAGAATTAGTTTGGACAGCTTGCATTCAAGAAGCTATGGAGACTTGATTTCAGGTGACTCACACCATTTTTGCTTTATCTGTATTATAAAGTAATACATAACCTGGATGTTTGTCACATAGTGTGTTCTGCTGTATGCGTAACTCAAAACTGAAACTTCCACGCTTATTTTCTTAGCTGAATACAGATATTCATGTTCTACCTCTTGTTCTTTGTACCAGAAGTAGTTTATTTTAAAAAGAAAATTTTGGGGGTAGAACAAGTGTTGGTAAACTGAAGTCTTTAGGAATCCAGTTAGCCACCTGTAAATAAAGTTTTATTGGAAAACAGCCACAATAATTTATTTGTGTATCATCTGTGGCTGCTTTCATGATACAAGGACAGTGTTGAGTTGTGACAGAAATCACCTGGTCCACAAATTCTAAAATATTTACCCCCTGGCCATTTGCAGAAAAGCTTTGCTGACCCCAAGGGTAAAATTAAAGTTTGTGATCCTTTAGTTTCTGAATTTATGCTTGGAAGGTTAATTTTGGTATATATGTTTTCATAGTATTTATTTTAAAAAATTATATTACATTTCTTCTACTTTTTCTCCACATTGTTTTTCTACTTAAGTATTTATTGTGCTTTAGATGATCATCCCCAGGGGAGACTAAGTTAGTGCTGGTAGATTGTAGCAACTTCGTTAAATAAATAACTGCTCTGAAGATTTTGGAGGAGGTTTTTGCTGTGCTGTAGCATAGGCACACTTGTCTTTTTTTTTTTTAATTTTTAACTTCGGCTATGCTTATATAGTTAGCATTTCTCTGCTTAAAGGTTTTGTGGCCTTAAAAGTTCTAGATTGAAGATAGTTGGGAGAGTAATTGAGTTGGGAATTGTTTGTAATGTGAAAAAGTATTTTGTGTTTCCTTCATCCAGCATGCATATTAAGTAGAGCACAGAAAAGCTCTACATTTGATGATTTCTTTTTGTGTAATTGCAGGAGGAAAGCAGAAGTCATGCTTGGACATGGATTGTTTTCATTGCTAGCTGAAAGGCTCATGCTTCAGACAAATTTAATCACAATGACCACATATAATGTGCTGTTTGAGGTAGGAATGTACTTAGGATTTACTCCTCTAAATTTCTTATTATAAAAATGCCTCTTAACATTGTGTAGGTAAATAAGATCATTTATTTTTATTTTATTTTTTGAGACAGAGTCTCACTCTGTCACCCAGGCTGGAGTGCAGTGGTACAGTCTTGGCTCACTGCAACCTCCACCTCCCGGGTTCAAGTGATTCTCCTGTCTCAGCCTCCCCAGTAGCTGGGATTACAGGTGCACACCACCTAACCCGGCTAATTTTTGTATTTTTAGTAGTGACGGGTTTTGCTGTGTTGGCTAGGCTGGTCTCGAACTCCTGACCTCAGGCGATCTACCCACTTCAGCCTCCCAAAGTGCTGGGATTACAGGCATGAGCCACCATGCTGACCAGACCATTTAAGTTTGTAATGTACAGCTTTGAAATGATATAAGGAGATGTGGCTGCATTTTTAGAAATCTATAATTAATCTGTGAATTTCTAAACAGTATCGTTATTTCTGTTTAAATGTTCCCTCCATTTTATTAACTATTTGATGTCTCATTTTATAATTAAGAAAACATAGAGTAATAATGCTGTAGTTATTTTAGAAGTATATTATTTAGCATGACAATATTGGACTAAAAATATACTATATTTTGATTAGTGTTGTACTTAAAGTTAATTAATAGTGATGCACTTAAAGTTCATTAATAGTGATGCTAATCCAGTGATTTGCTAATGTAATCCATTGTTTTACTTCTGTAGATTCTTATAGAACAGATTGGTACTCAGGTGATACATAAACAGCATCCAGATCCTGATTCTTCAGTGAAGATACAAAACCCTCGTATGTATTTTATATACTTTAACAAAAACTACCTTTTGCTACTTAAAAAGAAAGTCACTGTGAACAACCTAAAATTGATGTTGTTGAAACAGATTGTTAGATGAATGTTTCATTAAGGGTGATGATATTATACTAGTTTTGTTTGGGTTTTATATTGAGTATTCCTTCGAATCAACCTTAAGTTATGTGGAAATTCTTATATAAAGGTTTTGAAGAATTGTTTGCTTAAGGTCTTGATGTAATATATGTTCAGACTTTCAGCAAAATTTTGATTGTGCTATTTAGTGATGTCAGGCAGAATTACAAGAACCATTGGGGTAGTTTTATCTTAAATTACTGTGAATATAAAAATACCAAATTTGGAATAGAACAATATGTCTTCTTTATTGTTTATGAAGATAGTCTTGTTAAACAGTCTTTTCTTTTGATATTTAGAATTCTTAAGCACTTGTATAAAGTATACCTTTTTCATCTTGCTTTTTAAGATCATGTTATTAAAATTATTAGTTTGTAGAGTTTTAAAATTTAATTACATTTTATGTGGTTAGGTGTATTTGTGTGTTTGGTACTCCAGTGCTAATTTTCAAAGCACGTGGCTTTGAGGTTTAATTTTCCTCAGCTTTCAGAGAAACGTGATGTCATTATTTTGCCTATGTTGCCCAGGCTGGTCTAAAACTCCTGGGCTCAAGCAATCTTCCCACCTCAACCTCCCAAAGTGCTGGTATTACAGGCATGAGCCTACTGCACCTGGTCTAAGTGCATATTTTTAAAAGAATTTTTTTTTTTGTTTTAATTTAAGCTAAGAAGCTAAGTTCTGGAGATTATTTATTTATTTAGAGACCGAGTCTTGTGCTCTGTTGCCCAGACTAGAGTAGAGTGCCAGGATCTCAGCCACTGTAACCTCTGCCTCCTGGTTCAAGTGATTCTCCTGCCTCAGCCTCCCTGGTAGCTGGGATTACAGGTGCCTGCTACCAGGCCTGGCTAATTTTTGTATTTTTTGTGGAGATGGGATTTCGCCATGTTGGCCAGGGTGGTCTTGAACTCTTGACCTCAAATTATCCAACTGCCTCAGCCTCCCAAAGTTCTGGGATTACAGGCATGAGCCGCTGTGCCTGGCCTAATTTAAGCTAAATTCTGGAGATTTAAATAGCTTTATGCTAAGACCATTACAATAGTAGTTTAGTTTGCATTTTCTGGGGAGATGGGATGTTGAATAGGTTTTAATTTCCTTTGGGTTTTTTGTGTCTAATTTTACTTTTAAGATTATGAAAGAAAATCTTCACACCTTTAAAAATTCTCTATGGTAGGCCGGCCGTGGTGGCTCATGCCTGTAATCCCAGCACTTTGGGACGCCAAGGCAGGTGGATCACGAGGTCAGGAGTTCAAGACCACCCTGACCAAGACGGAGAAACGCTGTCTCTACTAAAAATACAAAAATTAGCTAGGCGTGGTGGCAGGTGCCTATAATCCCAGCTATGAAAGACTGTGTGTGCATACCATAAATTATGATGAGGAATCTAAGAATTTATTATATTTTTCTGAGATTTTGATTATAGTATTTTTTATTTTATTTCATTATTTTTTTTTGAGACAGAGTCTTGCTGTGTCGCTTAGGCTGGGGTGCAGTGGCACGATCTTGGCTCACTGCAGCCTCTGCCTCCTGGGTTCAAGCGATTCACCTGTCTCACCCTCCTGAGTAGCTGGGATTACAGGCACACGCCACCACACCTGGCTAATTTTTATATTTTTAGTAGAGATGGGGTTTTGCCATGTTGGCCAGGCCGCTCTCGAACTCCTGACCTCAAGTGATCCACCCACCTCAGCTTCCCAAAATGTTGGAATTACAGGCGTGAGCCACCTCGCCCGGCCTGCTTGTTTTTAAGATCAACTTTACTATTTGGTATATCTCAGAGAGAGTAAGCAGTTTCACTGACATTTAATTCATTTATAATTTAACTTGTTTTATTTTAACCTTTTAAAGTTCAGCTTTATTTTTGCACATTTGAATCATGAAAGAAATTTCCTTTCATATTTATAAATGCTTTCTAATGAATGTATTGTCATTTCTTTCCAGAGGTGATTTTTTTTAATAACAGAAGAGGATGTTTTTGGTAGACATTTGTGTTAGGGAAACTAAAGAAATTGCAATAGATGGATGACCTTCTATCATGAGTTTTTTGTTGAGTTTGGTTTTTACTTATTTATAAACTGTCTTACAGAGATACTAAAAGTAATTGCGACCCTACTTCGAAATTCTCCCCAGTGCCCAGAGAGCATGGAGGTTCGCAGAGCCTTTCTTTCTGACATGATTAAACTTTTTAATAACAGTAGAGAAAACAGGAGGTAAGCTGAATCAGAAAGCATTTATTTGCAGTATTCAAATGTACTTTTGTATAAGCCCATTTTATCTAAGAAAAATTGCTTTAAAAATACTGTGAAATGATTTTTCTATTTTTTTTATTAAGAGTATGTAAATAATGTACCACATAGTTAAGTTAGAATTTTTAGTACCACATTGTCGAATTGTTCTTAATGTATAACTAAATGTGTTTCTTTTTCGGGGGGAAAGGGAGGGGCAGGGTTATTTTGTTTTAAACCTTTAGATTTATTTTAGATAATTTTTTTTTCTTCAGTAATTTAGTACCCTCTCATAATTTTCAGGAGCTTGCTACAATGCTCTGTGTGGCAAGAATGGATGCTTTCTCTCTGCTATTTTAATCCTAAGAATTCAGATGAGCAAAAGATAACAGAAATGGTATACGCCATATTCAGAATCCTGCTTTACCATGCAGTCAAATATGAGTGGGGTGGCTGGCGTGTATGGGTAGACACTTTATCAATCACTCATTCAAAGGTAAGTTTCTTTATGAAAGCGTATTGTAGCATTTTAAATATCTATAATTTTTGAATTTTAGTCATTTAAAAAATTTCGATACTTAAAATCAAGGAAAAAAGGCAAGTTATCTTCTGAAAGTACAGCAAAATGAAAGCTCAAAAAGATTATCAATAGAAATAAAGCATTTGTAATTTCTTTAGAATCAAAATAATTTTTTCTAATGTTGTTTTTACATGTACTTATCTTTATAATGGTAAATCTATTGCCACAGCATAAAGGAATTTATACTAGGGTGCTGAAAAAGTAGTTGCGGCAAAAACTGCAATTATTTTTGCACCAACCTAATATTTTTTTTCGAGGAAGCCCTGTTTACAAACATGGGTCTCAGAATTTTATATGAGTTAAAAGCTTTTGAACACAAGGTGGCGCACTATATTCAAAGATGAACAGTTGTTTTAGCAACGTAAGGTGGATGAGTAAACAGAAAAGCTCTGGGTGATGTCTGCCCTGTGCTAATCTTACAGGTAGCTAAAAACTGGGTTTGGAAGAATGTAGTTTTTTTTTTTTTTTTTTTTTAAATTAAGCCAAAGTAAGTTTAGTTATTTATATATAGCTTAAATTCTTTTTTGAAATACTCTAAGCATACAAAAAGGATCACTGTTTATGAAATTGGGTTACTCCTCTATAATTGCTTTGTCTCCTCTTCTTCGCCTGACCCCCAACACCACTAGCTTTTATTTGGTGTTGTCTTTTGTCTTTTCTATACCTTTACTACGTGTATATAACTCTAAACAATAAAGAGTTTTATTTTTTATGTTTGCACTTAAGGTAAATGTGGCATACTGAATGCATTTTTTTGTTAATTACTGTTTGTGCTTATTACTGTTTGAGATTCATCCACATTGACCCATATAGTTTTGTTCATTTTCTCAATTGTAATGTATTGCATGACATGACTATTTATTTACCAATTAATTAGCATTTTCGTATACATTTTGTGCTTGTTCAAGAATTTTCTGCATATATTCCTAGAAGTAGAATTGCTGACTTATAAGGTGAAAATGTTGAACTTTACAAGATAATGCAAATTCTTTTCCAAAGTATCGTATTCCAATACAATACAGTATTCTAAAGTAGTGTATCAGTTTACATATCACCAGCAGTGTTTAAGTTCTCATTGCTTCACATCACCTAATCACGTGGTATGGCTGGAGTTTAAAAATTTGTCACTTTGATGAATTTAAAATGCTACATCACCATAATCTTGATCTGTGTTTTCTTGTTGTTTTGTGGGAGTTCTTTATGTAGTCTCATTCTTAATCCTTTGCTAGCTATGTTGTTTATGAACATCTTCTGCCAATATGTGGATTATCTAACTATTTTTGGAGTTTTATGTTTGTACCTTCTGAGGAAAATTTACATTTCAAGTAATTAATGCATTAAAATCTATTAGTTTCATTTACGGTGTATGTTTTTTGAATTTTAAGAACTTTTTCATTACTCAGAAGGAATACTGTATAATTATATAGCTATTTATTTAATAAAAAATTGACTAGAAGGAATAAATACCAAGAATGATAATTTCTCTATATCTTTAAGTGTTACATTTTACTGACTATCAAAGTTATTATTCTAAGATATTTTGTCATTCTGTAGAATATATTGCCATTTCTGGCCAGGTGTGGTGGCTCACGCCTGTAATCCCAGCACTTTGGGAGGCCAAGGCGGGTGGATCACCTGAGGTCAAAAGTTGGAGACTAGCCTGGCCAACATGGTGAAACGCCATCTCTACTAAAAATACAAACATTAGCCAGGCGTGGTGGCGTGCACCTGTAATCCCAGCTACTTGGGGGGCCGAGGCAGGAGAATTGCTTGAACCTGGGAGGCAGAGGTTGCAGTGAGCAGAGATAGAGCCATTGTACTCTAGCCTGGTGAGACAGTGAGACTCCATCTAAAAAAAAAAAAAAAAAAGAATATATTGCCCTTTCCTAATTACATGTTTCTAGGTATTTGAATAGCTTTTAATTATTGATTGAAAGTTCCTACAAATTATTCATTGTTCCTCCTCTTTCTTCATTGAGAGAAAGTATGCTTCTACAAGGGTTTACAAGGAGTAAAATCCATTTGTAAATAAGAAAAGAGATCTGATTTTATAAAATGGCTTTGTTTTAGTCACTGTATTGTTGAGGTTGATCAGTTTTGTTTAAAACAGAATTCAGCTAGCCATGGCCTAAGTGTCAGATCTAAATAAAATTGTGCTAGAATGTATCCACTACCATTCCTTTATATATTGTATATGGCTACTTTCACACTATAAGGATAATCATACATGTTACATCAACGACATGGCCCCTAAAATCTAAAATATTTACTATTTGGCTCATTACAGGAACTGTTTGCCATCCTTTCTGTAACTTTAGTTTGTGCTGATGCCCAGATATTCTCATTTCTATTGCAGTAGGCTGCTGCAATCTAGACTGATTTTTTTTCTCATACTATGTTGCCATTTACAAAAGATTATAAGAAAAATAGGGTTGACTTTGTGCCCCATATACATCTGGAGTAGATTTCAGAGATTTCTAGGGGAGATTATAGGTTAGGGAAGTGCCCAGTATAAAGCAGATTTTTCACGTTTCTAACAGATCTATGTCAGTTCACCTTAGTTTCTTCAAGTCCTTAGGAAAGATGGCTGGAGGAGTATAAACTTTAAAGCAATCGTTGTTAAAAGTATAACCTAAAGACCTTGGGAGGGAGGCCAGGCACGATGGCACATGCATGTAATCACAGGCTGAGGCGGCTGGATCACTTGAGGTCAGGAGTTCAGGACCAGCCTGGCCAACATGGTGAAACCCCATCTCTGCTAAAAATACAAAAATTAGCTGGGCACGGTGGTGCATGCCTGTAATCCCAGGTACTTGGGAGACTGAGGCAGGAGAATTGCCTGAACCCAGGAGGCAGAGGTTGCATTGAGCCAAGATCATACCACTATACTCCAGCCTGGGTGACAGAGTGAGACTCTGTCTCAAAAAAAAAAAAAAAAAAAAGAACGTGGGCCCATGAGAGCTTTTCATGGGGTCTGTGCAGTCCTCCTTTCCTACTGCATAGCTGTATGAGGGTGGATTTTCTTTATATACTTCAGCCAAACCAATATATGCAACAGATTGAATGCAAAAGCAAATATGAGAATGCAGTTGTCTTCTATGAAGCCAAACTTTAAAGAGATTGACAAAAATATGAAATAATGGCACTCTTCTTGTTATTGTTTGGTTTTGAAAAATAATCATTTTCAAAAAATGTTATTTATATTATATATTGAGTTTATTATTTTTAAGTGGGTTAATAGTTCTAAAAGGTCTCAGTTTTAATTCCTAATATAATAAGCAGTAGTAGATATAATCCACATAGATAAAGAGTCTTTGGGGACCTTAATACTTTTTAAGAATGTAAAGTGTTGCCCGGGCACGGTGGCTCACGCCTGTAATCCCAGCACTTTGGGAGGTTGAGGTGGGTGGATCATGAGGCCAAGAGATTGAGATCATCCTGGCCAACATGGTGAAACCCTGTCTCTACTAAAAATACAAAAATTAGCTGGGCGTGGTGGTGAGTGCCTGTAGTCCCAGCTACTTGTGAGGGTGAGACAGAAGAATCGCTTGAACCCAGGAGGTGGAGTTGCAGTGAGCCGAGATCGTACCACTGCACTCCAGCCTGCAACAGAGCGAGACTCTGTCTCAAAAAATAAAATAAATAAATAAATAAATAAAGTGTCATGAGACCAAAAAGTTTGAGAACTGCTATCTTAGAAAATAATAGGATATTTAGGATGAATAGATTAGTCTTTTTGAGTTCCCTATATACAAAATAAAGGAGTTGGATTAGGTGATATCTCAGGTGTTTTGAGCTTGTGAGCATTTATGACTAAGTATTTATATCCAGTTTTCAAATCCGTTTGTGTAAGTAATGAAAGAATGTGGACTTTGGAGACAGGGTGTGAATCCTGATTTATAGTAATTATTAGCTGTGTAAGCTCAGGAAAAAGAGTCTCCCTGTCACCCAGGCTAGAGTGCAGTGGCGCAATCTTGGCTCACTGTAAACTCCGCCTCCCAGGCTCAAATGATTGTTATGCCTCAGCCTCCCGAGTATCTGGGATTACAGTTGCCTGCCACTGCAACTGGCTAATTTTTGTATTTTTAGTAGAGACGGTGTTTCGCCATATTGGCCAGGCTGGTCTCGAACTCCTGACCTCAGGTGATCTGCCTGACTCAGCCTCCCAAAGTGCTGGGATTACAGGGGTGAGCCACCGGGACTGGCTTGTGTCTTAGTTTCTAACAAAAAAGTTTGAAAAATATATAATTTTAAAAAGAGAAAAAAGCTTTTAGAATAAGGATATAGAGAAAGGAAAAAAAATATTTTTTGAGACAGGTGAAGTGTAGTGGTGTGCTCATAGCTCACTGCAACTTCAAACTCCTGGGCTCAAGTGATCCTCTCACCTCAACCTCCTGAGTAGCTGGGACTACAGACTTGTGCTACCACACCTGGCTACTTTTTTAGTTTTTTTGTAGAGACGAGGTCTTACTGTGTTGCTCAGGCTGGTCTTCAACTCCTGGACTCAAGTGGCCCCCCGCCTGGGCCTCTGAAAGTGCTGGGATTATAAGCATGAGCCACACACCCGGTTAGAATGTGTGTGTGTGTGTGTGTGTGTCTTTTTTAAATGAGACAGAGTCTTGCTCTGTCACCCTGGCTGGAATGCAGTGGTGCAATCTTGGCTCACTGAAACCTCCACCTCCTGGGTTCAAGCGATTCTCCTGCCTCAGCCTGGCGAGTAGCTGGGACAACAGGTGTGCACCTCCACACTCAGCTAATTTTTTTGTATTTTTAGTAGAGACAGGGTTTCACCACGTTGCCCAGGCTAGTCTTGAATTCCGGAGCTCAGGGGATCCACCCACCTCCACCTCCTAAAGTGTTAGGATTACAGGCGTGCGTGACTGCACCTGGACTTTTTTTTTTTTTTTTAAATTATACTTTAAGTTCTAGGGTACATGTACACAACGTGCAGGTTTGTTACATATGTATACCTGTGCCATGTTGGTGTGCTGCACCCATTAACTTGTCATTTACATTAGGTATATCTCCTAATGCTACCCTTCCCTCTCCCCCACCCCATGACAGGCCCCAGTGTGTGATGTTCCCTTTCCTGTGTCCAAGTGTTCTCATTGTTCAATTCCCACCTATGAGTGAGAACATGCAGTGTTTGGTTTTCTGTCCTTGTGATAGTTTGCTGAGAATGATGGTTTCCAGTTTCATCCATGTCCCTACAAAGGACATGAACTCATCCTTTTTTATGGCTGCATAGTATTCCATGGTGTGCATGTGCCACATTTTCTTAATCCAGTCTATCATTGTTGGACATTTGGGTTGGCTGCAAGTGTTTGCTATTGTGAATAGTGCTGCAATAAACATACGTGTGCATGTGCTTTATAACAGCATGATTTATAATCCTTTGGGTATATACCCAGTAATGGGATGGCTGGGTCAAATGGTATTTCTAGTTCTAGAACCTTGAGGAATTGCCACACTGTCTTCCACAATGGTTGAACTAGTTTACAGTCCCACCAACAGTGTAAAAGTGTTCCTATTTCTCCACATCCTCTCCAGTACCTGTTGTTTCCTTATTTTTTAATGATCACCATTCTAACTTTTTTTTTTTTTTGGAGTCAGAGTCTTGCTCTGTTGCCCAGGCTGGAGTGCAGTGGTGTAATCTTGGCCCACTGCAACCTCCACCTCCCAGGTTCAAGCAATTCTCATGCCTCAGCCTCCCAAGTAGCTGGGATTACAGTTGTGAGCCACTGTGCCTGTCAGAAAATATCTTTTTACAACTGTACAATGTGTTTGTGTTTTAAGCTAAATTTGATTTCAAAAGAGTCAAAAAGTTTTAAAAATTAAAATGTTTAAAAAGTTAAAATGTTACAGTAAGCTGAGGTTAATTTCTTATTGAACAAAGAAAAGTAGTTTTTAAAAATAAATTTAGTGTAGCCTATATTTACAGTGTTTATAAAGTCTTCTGTAGTGTACTAGACCTGCACATTTACTCACCACTTACTCACTGATTGACCCAGGGCAACTTCTAGTTTTATAAGCTCCATTCATGGTAAATGCCTTATGTAGGTACCATTTTAAATCTTTTATATTGGATTTTTACTATACCTTTTCTATGTTTATATTTGTTTAGATACACATTTCTAAACCTTACGTACACACAATATAAGGGCTGGGAATGGTGGCTCACACCTCTAATCCCAGCACTTTGGGAGGCCAAGTCTGAAAGATGGCTTGAGGCCAGGAATTTGAGACCAGCCTGGGCAACATAGTGAGTCTCAATCTACACACACACACACACACACACACACACACACACACACACCATTAGCTGGGATGGTGGCATGCACCTGTATTTCTAGCTACTCAGGAGGCTGAGGTGGGAGGATCACTTGAGCCCAGGAGTTTGAAGTAACGTAACAGTGAACTATGATTGTGCCACTGGACTCCAGCCTGGGTCACAGAGCGAGACTCAGTCTTTTGTTAAAACAAAAATTAAAACATTAAAAAAAATAGATAACACAAATACATATATTGTGTTACAGTTGTCTGCAGTCTTCTGTACAGTAATAAGCTATACAGGTTTGTAGCCTAGGAGTAATAAGCTATACCATAGAGTCTAGGTATATAGTAGGTGATACAATCTAGGTTTGCTTAAGTACACTCTATGGTGTTCACATGATGAAATTGCTTAATGATGCATTTCTCAGAACATATCTTCATGATTAAGTGATGCATGACTATAGTTTTGTTTAGTTTATATATTTCTTTTTTTTTTTTGAGACGGAGTCTCGCTCTGTCGCCCTGTGGCACGATCTTGGCTCACTGCAAGCTCTGCCTCCTGGGTTCACGCCATTCTTCTGCCTCAGCCTCCCTGAGTAGCTGGGACTACAGGCGCCTGCCACCATGCCTGGCTAATTTTTTGTATTTTTAGTAGAGAAGAGGTTTCACCATGTTAGCCAGGATGGTCTCGATCTCCTGACCTCGTGATCCACGCGCCTCAGCCTCCCAAAATGCTGGGATTACAGGTGTGAACCACCGCGCCCGGCCTATATGTTTCTTTAGTCCAGTGACTTATGGCTTTAAACAGATCTTAAAATTTTTCTGAAGAAAATAGTTGCTTTAAGGAGAGGTCTCTAGTGCCTACTTTTGACCAAGAACCACACTGACTTAAGTTTTAGTATTCATTTATAAGATGGGATAATGCTAAGTTAATCATGGAGTCTTTTTATCTGAGTAAAACTAGACCTACCACTTTTTGCTGTCAAAGTATACTTTTAAAAATACATGCTAAAACATTACTTATGAGAGGGAAAACAAAAGTTTAAAGTTGTAAGTTGGTTCTTACATTTGTTCACCTTTTATTTTAGTGTTTCATACATGTCTTTTATTCCTTCGTGTGGATTTTCTTCATTTTTAAAAGGCTTTTCTGTTTCATGAGGCTTATACAAAGTAATTTATTTGAATGCTGTTAAGTTTTTTGGAATTTTAAATCTTTATAGCTATTTTTAAAATAAGACAGAAACTTATACCCTAAGGCTCTTCAAGTCATTATTTAATAAAGCTTAGAATAGAGCTGTAGTGATTCAGTAAGTAGGTGAACAATTTTTAGCAGCTATTAAAAATTCCACTGGAATTATTGGAACAAAATTTTCTTTTCTCTAAAAATATAAGTTCTGAAGATTTTATAATACTTTTATACATACAGTGTTAAAGTGATGCTTTTTCCTTTTTGCAGTCATTTTGAATCTCAATATCCCAAATTTATAACATGGTTCTTGATAAAGAACTGATGTGTAAAGAACTAATGTTGCAGAATTGGATAGCTTTTGCAGAGTTACATCAGGATACATGCTGCTGCTATAAAAAGCCAAAGAAACTCAATTGCAGTTTTATTGTCCAGTTTGATAGATTTCCTGCCACCTTTGTAGCAGGGAAGCTGTTTGTCACTATATGCCTCTCCTCCAGCAGCTGAACTGGGTTTTATAAGCAGTAATAGGCTCTTCTAGTATAACTGCACTATGTTGGTTACTTTGATCTCAGGGTTTTAAAGAGTGCACCTAGTAACGTTTGTGATTTCATTGTCTTATTTGTTGTCTAGGTTTTCATTTTTTTTTGTTTGTTTTTGGCTTCAAATTGAACATTTTTCTGTGCTTAAGTAATACTTTTTTTCACTTGGTATGATAAAATGCTTTTACTCATTAATTAAAATTTAAATTAAGGCATTTAAACTATTCTGAATTATGAGAATTTTGTAAACACATTCTTTTCTAAACACATAAAACTAACACCTTAGATACTGTATTTTGTCTAGACTCATATTGCCATAAGTTAGAATGGGTTTATGACTTAAAATGAATAAAGATTAGTCATGTTAGAGTTAAAAGTATAATATGAATTGGATTTCCTCCTAAATAGTGAATTTGAGGATAAAGTCCTTAATTATCTTGGATTTTTTGAAATATCTGAAGATTTTACTTGCTGTTTACTGATGAAATATCTGAAGTATAAATTTCAGTCACTGTACATAAGAAATGAAATATCTGAAGTATACATTTCAGTCACTGTACATAAGAAAAAACTACCATTTAGATTGGGTAAAAGCATGTGGAAATAAGATTTTTTTTTAAAGAATTCTCTAATTGGTTTATTAAAATTATTTTTTAAATCATAAGATATGAACTGGCATATACAAAAATGTATATGTGTTTATGGTGGCTGTATGATAAGATTAAAAGCGACTTGTTTGAAGAAATTTCAAAAGTTACAAAATTGGCTGGACATGGTGGCTCATGCCTCCCAGCACTTTGGGAGGCTGAGGCAGGTGGATCACTTGAGGCCAGAGTTTGAGACCAGCCTGGTCAACGTGGTGAAACCCTGTCTCTACTAAAAATACAAAAATTAGCCAGGAGTGGTGGTGCATGCCTGTGGTCCCAGCTACTGGGGACTAAGGCATGAAAATCACTTGAATACGGGATGCTGAAGCTGCAGTGAGCTGAGATTGTGCCACTGCACTTCAGTCTGGGTGATGAAAGGAGATATCTCACAAAAATTACAAAAATAAAAAAGTTACAAAATGTCCGCATTTCATGGATTATCAGCACTTTGCACCTTATTTAATTGCTAAATAATTCTTTAAAAATACCTGATTTCTGTGTGAGTGTTTGTGTGTGTGTTTTTATCAAATTTAAATGGCACTTAAAAAAAAAAAAGAAAAAGAGAGAGAGACAGACTGTTGCTGTGCTTCCCAGGCTAGAGTGCGGTGGTTCTTTACAGGTGCCATTATATATAACACACTACAGCTTCATACTCCTTGGCTCAAGTGATCCTCTCCCTTCAGCCTCTCCAGTAGCTGGGACTGCAGGCATGTACCTTTGTTCCTGGCTAAAAGTATTCTTAGCTTTAACATTTTGAAACCAAATAGCATTTATTACTTTAAAAAATTTAAAATAATAATAAGTTTTCATTACAGGAAATCTTGAACCCAGCAGAAATGCATACACACAGAAAACAAAAATTATCCATTATCCAAACACCTATGTATAACTTATTAACATTTTAGTGCGAGACCTTTTAGTCTTCTCTTCTATACATGAATCTATACATAACATATAATTATTTGCTAACAAAATGTGATCGTATTTTTACTATTTTAGAGTATTATTTAATGATATGCTTCTTACATGAATTTTAATGCCTGCATATTATATGACATTATGGAGAAGTAAAGAGCATAAGATTCAGCTTTGATATAACATTTGAATGTTATCAGACCACTTAAAATTCTAGGAAGGAGTGACCGTGTAAATGATTCAAGTTTTCTTTTTATATTCTGGCATTCTCCAAAATTGTATTTAGAAAAATTGATGGAAGAGAGATTTAAAAAATCTATTGATTTATATTATAATCATACTTTATCTGTTCCTTATCATTGACCAATGATGAGCCTGGTTCAATACTGTAACCCTTATTTTGTAGGATAAATTCCTGTAAGTGGAATTTCCAGAGGAAGGAGTCTGTACATGTTTTAAAAAGTTTTTAGTAGATATTGCTAAATTGCCCTCTAAAAATTTGTACCAGTTTATACGCTAGATTTGCATGAAAGCATCTGTTTAGACTGTTTTTAAGAAATTAAAATTGATCAAAATGACTGTTTTAAAAATGAAAAGATTAGAAGTTATTTGCTGCAATATTCTTTTGTCAGTGTTCTTCCTATCTTTATAAATGGGGATTGTACTACCAACCTTTAGAATTGCTCTTAATTATGTCAGTAATGCTTGATTTTACCATTATATCTGTTACCTATACCATTGTTATACATCAGAGTCTTTATAAAAGATCTCATTAATGTGGTGGCAATCATTTTGACTTATGCTCATTGATAATACATATGGGAAGATCCACCTGTTTTTAAAGATATATCTTATTTATCAAAGGTTGGTAACTTAATCAGAAGTTAACATCATATTTAGCTGGTATTTTCATATGAAAACAGACACTGAAAAAGATGCCTTTGCTTAAAAACAAAGTCAGTTGCTAAACATTGCCTAACAGTTTAAAATGTCTAAATTTTACAGGTTATACGGTTTTAATGTATAGATTAAAAAGATAATATTAACATCTGGATGTATTGTGTTTATCTTTTATCTACTAATTAGTAAATTTGAGTGCCAATTAAGTTGAAAATAATGGCAAAAGAAATGTTATAGTCATTAGCTCACAAGTATCTTTAACTAGTAGTTTATAGAAGTGCTTTCCAAACATTACAAACAGCTATAGATTAGCTATCAAATGATTGTGAAGATTAATGACTAGTCTTTTAGCTGGGTAATTTAGAACAATATCTGGCAATTAATTGGAAATTATCAGTTTTAAAGTCACAAATATCTTAAGGAAAACAGCATCCAAAAAGATAATACTGATAGTTGTTCAATTGCAATTTAGCTTTTAGACCATTGGATGAATTAAATTAAGGGCAAATTTAAAAACCAAATGACTTTAGAATTTTAAAAGCATTTCAGATTCTGAAGGTAAATGCTTTTCTATCTGTGGTTTTATACTCTGACTATTAATCAAGTATGAAGCGAGAATAAATACCTTTTCAGGATTTGAGATCTCAAAACATTTATATACATCCTTTCTTAAGAAGGCACTGCAGGATATTGCACAAAAGGAGAGAATAATACAAAGAGGAAGAAATGAAATATAAGAAACAAGAGACAACATAGAAGAGAGATGAAGGGGATCTCCAGGACTGTAGAAAGGGAGATCCCAATAGCAGCTATGTAGTAGGCAGATGACAGTCCATCTGGACTGGAGCAGTTTCACTCAGGAGAGGTGGACCTGTATTCTTATTAGGAGTACTTAGCTTGCTTGCCTTCATCATGTGCTGATTAAATTCCTGTTTTCCTGTCTAATGTGAATCACCTGAAGATTCTCACTTCACTCCACAAAGACATGCTGTGCTTCGACCTACTTCTTAGGGTAGAGGTTCACCATGGTGAGCTTAGAATTGAAAAATATAAAGTATTTCATGCCAATACACTCTACCTGGCACACACTGCCTCTGATAGGTTCTCCAGTTCTCTTGACCTCTATATTTCCTGTATTTCCTAATGACTTGCCTATAAGACTTCCCAGAAATGGCTTTACATATTCTCTCAAATAAGCTGAAGCCCTGCTGCAACTCACAGATTCTGTGTATCTTGTCTTTTCTTGGGAGCTCAGGTGTGGCAGTATTGCTCTTTAAAATACAATTGGCTAGGTTTGTGTTAGACTTAGTTTTTTAAACTAAACATAATGGGTATGTTTAGTATATAGATAGTAAAACTATCTTTTAAAATTATCTCCCAAAGCTCTGACCTCCAGGTAAAACTATTTATAAACAGTGAACGATAGAAATACCAGGATAGTGATTTTTTTCTGATTGTAGTGGAGAAATAGGGAGTACAGTTTGGGCAGGGCACATAGGGGAATTGTGAGGTACTGGTAACGTTTTACTTCTTGACATGGGTGGTAGGCATGTGAGATTAAAAAAAATTGTTTCTTAACCTGTACATATAAATTACATATACTCATGTTTATTGATCCATTGTATAATACAAATTCTAAAAACCTTTAATATAAATAAAATCAAAGCAAATGATTATTGAAAACTAAAGTCATTCTATAACACAGGCTATTGTAGAAATAAATGGCCTATTTTCAAAATGACTGTGAGGTTGGTAATATGTAACTTGCTTTCTTTTGACAATGATAATTGTTTGTTGGTGGAGAAATGCTCTCTCTAAAGTCAGTTTTCCAAAAAGTAGGCTAACCAGTCTTATTTTTTTGGAGACAGAGTCTCACTCTGTCACCCAGGGTGGAGTGCAGTGGTGCTATTTTGGCTCACTGCAACCTCTGCCTCCTGGGTTGGGTTCAAGCAATTTTCCTGCCTCAGCTTCCTGAGTAGCTGGGATTACAGGTGTGTGCCACCATGCCCAGCTAATGTTTGTGTTTTTAGTAGAGACAATGTTTCACCATGTTGGCCAGGCTGATCTCAAACTCCTGACCTCAGGTGATCTGCCCACCTTGGACTCCTAAAGTGCTGGGATTACAGGCGTGAGCCACCGTGCCCAGCCACTGATCTTTTAAAAAGGGAAATCAGATTGTCTTCCCTACACTCTTAATTCTCAAATGGCTCTCTCAGAATAAAATACAGTCTTTAATACAGTCTATAATGTTCTACAATCATAATCTAGCTCGTGGCCACATCTTTGACCTCATTTTCTTTAGTTCTCAGTTTATTGCTTTATTGTTATTCATCATACATACCAAGCTTATTTCAGCTCCAAGGCCTTTGCATTTGTTCTTCTCTGCCTGAAACTCTTTTCTTTTTACATGGCTTGCTCTCTCTTTTATTCTTGCCTTTGTTCAAATAGAACAGAGAGGCCTACTGCAGTTACACTAGTAAATACACCTTCTCGCCTAGACTTTCAGAACAGTTCTTCACTCTGTACTTCCCCCTCCCTTCAAAGCTCTTATTACTATTTGACATTATCTTACATATTCGTGTGTTTATTTTCTGACACCTTCTTTAGAATATAAGCTCCATGAAGTCAGGAACAATGTGTTCATCACACAATGCCTGGCCTGCTACCGATGTTCAGTAAATTTTTGTTGAATGAATATGAGGAATTGGTCAATTAAAATACAGAACCCATGTCAAATAAAATATTGGCATTGTGAATGTAAAAGAAATTGATATTTTGTTAATGTGATTATGTCATTTTACTGTTTAGTGAGGAATACATGCATTTATTGTTGAAATATTATAAAAAGATTTCTAAGTTTTAGAATTAAGAACATAGTTACAATGTGGAAATAGTTACAATTAGGAAAAATACAAATATTCACAGGAAAATATTCATTCCCTGAACATTTTTATTTTTAGGTATATCACATGGCATGAATGTTCTGTATATGTCATGAGTAAAGGCGAGTTAATGTCGATAGAAGGAAATTTTTGCATTGAGAGTCATTTTTACTTTTGTTTGCTTTTCATCTGTGTGTATACTCTTGTGATTCAATAAGGCCTATTGATTTTTGTGGATAAAAAAATCAGCTTTTCTTCCTTGATTGTCCTATCATCCTCTTATACTATGGCTCAATAAAGATTTATTGAATGAATGTTCAGTTTACTCTATATAATAATGTAGATTACAGAAACAAACACTTTTGGGATTAATAAACTATAATTAGGCTAATACTTTCTGCATGTGTTATAGGTTTTTCTGGCATTTTTGTTGCAAGGGGTGATGGGGGTTACCATTGAAACACCAATGGAAATCATATGATGGTGGCTATAAGATAATCCTTAGATTTTAAAAATTCTAAATCTTGTGACATTAACAAGTACAGCACTCTCTTTAAAAAAAAATTTACTTTTTCAGTTTTTTCCCATTTGGGTAAAAGGCAAAGCATGATATAGGAATGTTCACGGTGCCTAATATATTGTAGTCACTCAGATATAAATGGAATGAATGGATGTATGGATGGATCAACTGAAACATTCAGACTATTTTCGACCAGTTCAAACTTTGGAAATTATGGTTAACCTTTGGGGGAAGGGCTGGATCTTTTTTCTCCCATTGCTAAAAGAATTTGTATTCATTGGCTTAGTGAGATAATGGTTTTGTAGCTTAATAGATATCTGTAGAGCTACTGTAATGGTGAGCATAATTAATTGATATTTTTAATCTCTCCTGCGGACAAGTCCTGGGGAAATTGGTATTCATAGCGGTTGAAACAAGTGTTATCCAGTGCATAAAGCACTTCCCAATGGTACATACTTAAATTCTGGTACAAGTTATGGTGGCCAGTAGAATAGTGTATCCTTTTCCTATACATGTTTAATAATAGGCTAAATAATTATGTTCTTCTTGTGGTTTCATGCTGTGTTACTTGTTAACATTAAAATTGGCTGTAGTTTTTAATGAATATTTAGATTTCTGTGATTGACTTACATTTATCATTCTACTAAAATAAAATATAGGAAAATTAAGTTTTATTGTATTATATAAACTATGTATTTGAAAATTATTTAGTTTTATATTTTGTATTCTGTCTTCATTTCTCATGCATATTTTAACTGATTGTACATTTTTCACCTAGGTCACTTTTGAAATACACAAAGAAAACCTTGCCAATATATTTAGGGAACAGCAAGGAAAAGTTGATGAAGAAATAGGGCTGTGTTCTTCAACTTCAGTTCAAGCAGCCTCTGGCATTAGAAGGGATATTAATGTTTCAGTAGGATCCCAGCAACCAGATACGAAGGATTCTCCTGTCTGTCCTCATTTCACCACAAATGGTAATGAAAATTCAAGTATAGAGAAGACAAGTTCACTAGAATCTGCATCTAATATTGAACTGCAAACTACTAATACATCTTATGAAGAAATGAAAGCTGAGCAAGAAAATCAGGAGTTACCAGATGAAGGCACTTTGGAAGAAACACTGACAAATGAGACAAGGAATGCAGATGATTTAGAAGTATCTTCTGACATAATAGAAGCTGTGGCTATTTCCTCTAATTCTTTTATAACAACTGGCAAAGATTCAATGACTGTCAGTGAAGTAACTGCTTCTATAAGTTCTCCTTCAGAAGAGGATGCCTCAGAGATGCCAGAATTCTTGGATAAATCTATAGTAGAGGAAGAGGAAGATGATGATTATGTGGAACTGAAAGTAGAAGGCAGTCCTACTGAGGAAGCTAATCTACCCACAGAGCTCCAAGATAACAGTTTGTCTCCAGCTGCATCTGAAGCCGGTGAAAAACTGGACATGTTTGGTAATGATGACAAATTAATATTTCAAGAAGGAAAACCTGTTACTGAAAAGCAAACTGATACTGAAACTCAAGATTCTAAAGATTCTGGAATTCAGACTATGACAGCATCAGGGTCTTCAGCTATGTCACCAGAAACTACTGTTTCCCAAATAGCTGTAGAATCAGACCTTGGTCAGATGCTGGAGGAAGGGAAGAAAGCAACTAACCTCACTAGAGAAACCAAATTAATTAATGATTGTCATGGTAGTGTCTCTGAGGCTTCTTCTGAGCAAAAGATTGCGAAGTTGGATGTTTCCAATGTTGCTACAGATACTGAGAGGCTGGAGTTGAAGGCCAGTCCCAACGTGGAAGCACCTCAACCTCATCGACATGTGCTTGAGGTGATTTTATATATTGTCTTATTCAAGTACTTTTGCACTGAGTTAAAAAAGAGCAAGTGTATATACTTAAATTTTATTTTATTTTGAATTTGGTTCACATGCTATTCACAACTAAATAAATGCAATGAATGTGAAGATTGTATTTCAGATCATTAGCACAGTGTTTGGCAGTTAATGTGAGTTCATTAAATGACAGTTTTTATTACTATTTTTACCATAGTATCACCAGAAGTTACCACTTTGAAGGATTGGTATAATTTTAGTTTATAAAACAAATATTGGAAACACTTGCATTTTACCTTTTATTTGACTAACCCAATCCTAGTACATTAGTTTTCCAACAAACTCTAGGGCTACCTACCTGCCAGTGTATAATTTTAGTTACTAAGCATGTGATTTAAAATTGTATTATGAAGTCTATAAGAGAGAGGAGGCTTTGTGAGATCTAGAGGCACAGCCTTCTCCTCTGTCCATATCTCAGAGTGACCCATGAGACAGTGCTTGGTAGCATGTTGTCATTTTCCACTTTATTCAATTCTTATCCTCTGTCCCACCCTCCTTTTTTTTGTTTTTGTTGGTTGGTTCTTCATTATGTTATCTCTGTTTTTATTCTTCATTCTAGCCACTTCATAATCCAAATGCCACTTAGATTCTAAATACTGCCTTTCTTTTAGGCTAAGGCTAAAAACTAAGAACTGTTACTTGATTCTTTTATAAAATGCTACATAGTGGTAATACTTAACATGGTTCCAAGTTAATTACTTTTAAATTGTGGTAGTTTTGCACTTTTGATAGCTTTGCTTACATGTACTAAAATGTTAATGTTATTACTCATTGATAATTTTTCTTTCTCTAATTTGGTTCTTATAGTGTCTTAAAAACGTGTTAGATGAATTGCATAGAAGCTACTAAATTATTTACTTTGCTAAAGCCTCCTGCTGAAGTTGAACCTATTTTATTACTTTTTAAATTTCTGTATTAGATATCAAGGCAACATGAGCAGCCAGGGCAAGGAATAGCACCAGATGCAGTTAATGGACAAAGGAGGGATTCCAGATCTACTGTGTTTCGTATTCCTGAGTTCAACTGGTCTCAGATGCATCAACGTTTGCTCACTGATCTATTATTTTCAATAGAAACAGATATACAGATGTGGAGAAGGTTTGTCTATATGTTTATTATGGAAGATGTGTATAAACCTAGTCTTTATTTTCAAAGAAATCCATAGAAACAGTTTGTAATTAATTTCAGACATTTGGTTAAAAAGTAGAATAGAAATTATTCTATGGTAGGGTTTTACTGAATTCACTTTTATTCTCCATTATAAGAATGGAATCCTTATCTGGATTACAAAAATGTGAAAAGCAGAGGTTTCTCTTTTAAAAAAATTTGTAGTAGATTTCCTGTAGCAATTTTATGGCACGGAATTCACCAGAAGGTAGGTTTATCAAGTTGGTTTATTACTAGAAGTATTAAAAAATAATTGGTATAGGCCGGGCGCAGTTGCTCAAGCCTGTAATCCCAGCACTTTGGGAGGCCGATGCAGGCGGATCATAAGGTCAGGAGGTCGAGACCATCCTGGCTAACACGGTGAAACCCTGTCTCTACTAAAAATACAAAAAAATTAGCTGGGAGTGGTGGCGGGCGTCTGTAGTCCCAGCTACTCAGGAGGCTGAGGTAGGAGAATGGTGTGAACCCGGGAGGTGGCGCTTGCAGTGAGCTGAGACCACGCCACTGCACTCCGGCCTGGGCGACAGAGCGAGACTCTGTCTCAAAAAAAAAAAAAAAATTGTTATAACATTATCAATATTTCCAATGTATTTTTAGCATTAAAAAAAATCTGTGTACTTCAAGTTATCCCCCATTGTATGATTTATGATTTTAAAGTGACCTAATTTATTTTTTTTTATTTGTGTAAGATTCTTGTTATGTTTAAAAGCATTTTATAGGCATTACAGAAGAAAATTCATTTTTAATAGCACATTTACCAGTATTTACCTCCTAATTTTTGTCACATGATTTCTTAGTTTTGTTCCCAGTAAGGATAATTTTCTTCAACTTTTTATATCCAGTGTAAAATGAATAGTATTTATGTTTCAGCACTGAAGGAGGGCATGGATAGTAACTACTGATATGGAATGGTCTGTTTCTTCTGAAGAAGTATACACCCTCCAAATGCCTGCTGCATCATCTTCCTTCAGTTTTCAAGATGAAGCAAAAGCACCTTCTTATCTTTCCTCCCCTCAAGTAGGCAAACTGTGATTTCCTTTCTTTAGCTTTATCAGTAAATATCATTTATCTTTGGACAGCCATTCAACAAAGACAGTTATGGACTTCGTGAATAGCAGTGATAATGTCATCTTTGTACACAACACAATTCATCTCATCTCTCAAGTGATGGACAATATGGTCATGGCTTGTGGGGGTATACTGCCATTGCTTTCAGCTGCTACATCGGCTACAGTAAGGACTTAATTACTATAGAAAATTGGTGTGAAAACATGAGTGTTATGCAACTTTATTGACTAAAACTTAAATGTGGTGGTTACTATGCATCGTAGGTGCTATAAATAAAAAACAATAGGATCTTTTACTTGAGAGGACCTTAGAATCTGTTCTAGTAATGAAAGAACTTAAAAGAATGTTGATTCCCTAAGTATGAGTCAGCTAGTGAAGAATGTGGTTCATGATGTTTCACCTGTATGGTTCTGTTGCTCCTCCTCATCCCCCACCCTTTTTAGATGAAATAATAAGTATAAATCACTCTGTGTTACTAGGTTTCTGAAAGTCTGACTACTTATGCAATTTATAAATTTTAGGACTATATCTGGTAAAATTTTTTTTTCAGAATATATATATATAAATGTCAAACTTTATTCTTTACAGCATGAACTGGAAAATATTGAACCTACTCAAGGCCTTTCAATAGAAGCCTCTGTGACATTTTTGCAGAGGCTAATTAGCCTTGTGGATGTGCTTATATTTGCAAGTTCTCTTGGCTTTACTGAAATTGAAGCTGAAAAAAGTATGTCATCTGGAGGAATTTTGCGGCAGTGTCTCCGACTAGGTGAGCTGCTAAAAACCGTTGGGAATTTACTAAAAAAAATTTTTCAGTAATTCAGAGATGACATTGAAAATTATCCGTCTTCTGTTGGTGAGAAAATATATGTTAGCTAATTTGTCATATGGTTACTTTTTTTAATGTACATAGTAGTAGTTGGTAAGTTGGATGGGCAAGAAGGAGGATGTATTTTGAAAAATTTACTAAGGTGATTTTGGTCAGGAGTTTCCACTCTCCCCTATCTTTTTTTTTTTTTTTTTTCTTTTTTCTCCCTGAAATGGTGGTTCTGCTTTCTTGCCAAGGCTGGTGTCAAAATCCTGGGCTCAAGTGATCCCGCCTCCTTATCCTTCCTAGTAGCTGGAATTAGAGGTGCTCCCCTATCTCTTTTTGCTCTAAAGTAGTGCTTCTGAAATTTTAAGGAGATACATAAACTTAAGGTGATTAAAAAACACAAGGTGATTCATAAATTTGATGATCTTGTTAAAATGCAGATTAGATTATATAGGTCTAGGCTGGGGTGGTGGCTCACACCTGTAATCCCAGCTCTTTGGGAGGCCAAAGTGGGTGGATCCCCTGAGGTCAGGAGTTCAAGACCAGCCTGGCCAACATGGTGAAACCCCGTCTTTACTAAAAATACAAAAATTAACCAGGTGTGGTGGTGCACGCTTATAATCCCAGCTACTTGGGAGGCTGAGGCAGCAGAATCGCTTGAACCTGGAAGTTGGAGATTGCAGTGAGCCAAGATCACACCACTGCACTGCAGCCTGGGCAATTGAGCGGGACTCTGTCTCAAAAAAAAAAAGGGTTATAGAGGTCTAGGGTAAGGCCTAAAATTGACTACCAAGTCCCAGGTGATGTTGATGCTGCTTTTCTTACAAACACACTGGAATAACAACGTTCTAAACTAGCATCATTCAAGTACAGCCTTTATTCAAAAAAGCTGTGGTAATTTGTTAATGCAGTTAATAAAATCATGAAATCTCTGTTCTTCTCCTGGAAACACTTCTTCCCTAAGTAAAAGTAAAAATACATGAAATGACTTTTTAATGTTAACTGGACTTCTTAGGTGAAGCAAAAAACAAAACAAAAAAACCCTTTTTTGCATAATTTTCCTTCTATATAGTTGTAAATATCGAGACTTTGTTAAATGATTTGATTATTAAGTGAAGAGAAGGTGGTGAGGAGAGAAGGCACAAGAAATGGAAGCAAACCATTAGGAGCCATGGTCATATGAAGAGATAAAGCACCTATGAAAACATAACATGGAAGTGGAAAATGTAGTTAATGACATATTTTTTCATATTTAGCAAGAATGTCTGTTACATAAACTAATGTATACCTGTGCTTTTTGCCACAAGTATAATTTTTACTCAAAATGCTATTCAAAGTATTTAATAGTATTAGTTTAAATGTAAAATTCCAAGTATTTTATATTTAATAATCAATGGTATATCTTGCTATTCTAAGTAACTTGGAATAACAATTTATAGACAGTTGTTTTAAAATTTAAGAGACATTCTAATTGTAAGCATAACAAAATAAAAGTTATCATTTATTGACTATTGTCATTTGTCATTGTTGATTTTCACGGTGACAATTTTGTTCTTTTTATTCATGAGGAAATTGAAGATAAAAGAAATTGGGAAACTTATCTATAGCTAAAAAGCTATAATTGGTGAAGGTAGAATTTGAATACTATACTTTTGTCTAACTAGTGCTCCTACTCTTTCTATTGTAGTATACTTCTTTAATCTATTAGTATTATAATTAAAATATTTAGACTTTATTGCTTTATGTGTGCCATTTTCGAAGGCTTTTCACTTTCCTAGAAAGAGTACATTTCTAGAAGTAAAAGTGCAAGGCTATACTAGCAAAGCCTTACTCAAGAATCATCAGATTCAGAGGCTAGGGAAATACTCTATGTTCCTAGTTTTTCATAGCCACGGAAAAGAATTAAGAGATAATTTAATCCACCCCAGTACCATCTGTTCTTATATATGGAAATGGGACTTAAAAAATGACTTGTCCAAGATCATTTAATAGAGTATGGTAAACAAAGTAACAGTCCAAATGTGTGATATCTTTTTTTTAAATTGTATTTGTGTAAATTTATGGGGTACAAGTGCAATTTTGTTACATACATGGATTGCTTAGTGGTGAAGTTAGAGCTTTTAGGGTATTCATCACATGAATAACACACATTGTACCATTAAATAATTTCTCATCATCAGACCCCCCTCACCCCCTCATCCTTCTGAGTTCTGAGTCTCCATTTTCTTTCTTTTTTTTTTTTTGGAGATGGAGCCTTACTCTGTCGCCAGGCTGGAGTGCAGTGGCAAGATCTGGGCTCACTGCAACCTCTTTCTTCCGGGTTCAAGCAATTGCCCTATCTCAGCCTCCTGAGTAGCTGGGACTACAGGTGTGCCCCACCACACCCGGCTAATTCTTTGCATTTTTAGTAGAGACGGGGTTTCACCATGTTGACCAGCATGGTCTCGATCTCCTGACCTTGTGATCCCCCCGCCTCGGCCTCCCAAAGTGCTGGGATTACAGATGTGAGCCCCCACCGCTGGCCTGAGTCTCCATTTTCAATCATTACGCACTCTACTTCCATGTGTACACACTATTTAGCTCCCACTTATAAGTGAGAACATACAATATTTGTCTCTCTGTGTCTGACTTGTTTCACTTAAGATAATGATCTCCAGTTCCATCTATATTGCTGCAAAAGACATGATTTCTTTCTTTTTTACGGCTGAATATTATTTCATTGCGTATATGTACCACAGTTTCTTTATCTAGTTATCTGTTGATGGACACTGGTGTCCTCATTCTTGTTTCCTGAGGTTGGAGTTAGAAGTTAGGATGACAGCAGTAAGAGTAACTGATTGAAACCAGGAAATGAGGTGTGATTTTTAACTTTGTAATACAGACTCAAATTTGATTTTATGCAACTTGTGAAAAAGTTTGTATGAAAAGTATTTCCTGGGTCTGATAGCAAATTTGATAAAGTAAAATATTTCTTGGGTCTGATAGCAAATTTGACAAAGCTGTATTCCATATTCTCTCTTCCCTCCTCTTGTTCCCTCCTTCCTTTCTTTCAACTTTTATTGCTCTCTTTGGGCACCTTTCAGAACACTTTCTTTCTAAATTCTCATGCCTGCTAGCCATGTGATAGGCCAGTGATTCTTTGTGAAGTCCCCCCTTAAGTTTGCTATTTTGTTCCTAATTTGCTCTCCCTCCTTTGCTCAGTTCAAGTACCTTGAGTGCTACAGATTTGGAGGGAATTTAGATGATTACATGGTATCAAGCAATTCATAGTGAAGGGTACATAATGTAATTCATCATTTAAAATCCAAAATTAATTTCTAAGTAATCTAACTGCCTGATTCGTGGGAGCCTTAGGTAATTTTAGACTGTATATTAATCAAATTCCCTTTCCTGTCTCCCATTTTCTAAGCAGTTTTAATGAAAGCTAGTAAATGCTGGACCCTATAAAGCTTCTTTCAAAAGCTATATCCTCTATTAGTCTCAATTAATATCATGCTGTAATGATGCAATATAAGAAGAACATCAAAGTTTCCAGTTTAACTAATTTACTTTAATGATGGTAATAGAAGATTGTTACCTCGACTAGTTCATGGTAATGTACTTTGTTCCCTGTTTTCTTCCATTTCTTTCAATTCTTTTCTTCCCTATCCTTTTCTTAACTAAAGATTGTCCCAGCTAGCTTAGTTGAGATCTAAGAAATAGTAGCCTATTGTTAAGATTCCTGAACTGATTTCCTTTCAGCAAACCCTAAACGTTTAGACCACTAGGCCATACTGCCTCCCTAAATCTTAACTGGGCCACAGCATGGAAGCTAACAATATCAGACAACCAACACTAGGCGATAAAGTCTAGGGACATTTTAGGAATAAGCTGAATGTCGTCTGTTTTGAATAAAATCTTATGTAAATCATATTGTGTAGTTGATGTTTTTCACTTCCATAATCTTAAATATTAACTTTTCTTTCCCTATCTTTTCCTTAAAATAAATTACAGTTTGTGCAGTCGCAGTAAGGAATTGCTTGGAGTGTCAACAGCATTCACAACTGAAAACTAGGGGAGATAAAGCCTTGAAACCAATGCATAGCCTTATTCCTTTAGGGAAATCTGCAGCGAAGGTAAGTATACAGATTAATTAATTTTCAAAAAGCATACTCCTATTTTACAATTAAGATTTTTATTTGTTCATTTCAACATAAAGTTAAATAAATCTGGCAGAGATTAAAATAGTTACTTTAGGCCTGCATATAACATTCAAATATTTGTGTTTAAATACACAATAAAGATTTGTTTATATTTAAACCTCTCTGCTTTTCCCAGTGTTTACTTTGATTGTTTCTGTGATGCCTTTTCCTTCAAATATGTCATTTTTTCCTGCATGCCATCTTTCTCCACCTCTCTCCCCAACCCCTCAAAGAAGAAGGAAGCATACACACAAAAAAAGTGGGGAAAGGAATGCTATAGCTTTGCTTTTCTGGTTCTGGGAATACTGTGTTTATTTTTAAAGAATATCTGTGTAATGTATATATGAATATATATATATACAATTTTTTTTTAATCTTAAATAGAGCCCAGTGGACATTGTGACTGGCGGTATATCTCCAGTAAGAGATCTTGACAGGCTTCTACAGGACATGGATATTAATCGGCTTAGGGCAGTTGTTTTCAGAGACATAGTAAGTTACAATATGTCTTTCACATACTCTCTTAACTGATGCATATTTCCTCTTAGGCCTAATGTATTGAGATTAAAAATTCTTTGTGATATCAAATAGTGGAGCAGAGATAGAAAGGTCTAGAAACGACTTCTTTTGACAATGATTTTAGAAACAGAATATTAGAAAAGATAGTTTATATAAAGCGAGCTAGCAGATCAGCATAGTGATATTAAAAGGAATAATGCATTATTACATAGTAAGCAGTCTAAGTGATATACATGTATTAATTAAGTCCAACAACTTATTGAGCTGTACTATTGTAATTTCCATTTTATAGATGAATAATCTAAGGCACATAAAGCTTGAGTAACATCTCCAAGCTAGTGTTGATAAACAATGATAAAATCAGGATTCAAACCCAGCAGTCTTAATTCTAAAATTGATGCTCTGAATGTAATAAAATGTTCAACTTCTGAATGGCATATTATTTTACTGAATATTGGATATTTTTTCCTCAAAGGTACACTAATGTGATAAAAAGGTGCATGATGAAATGTTGCTCTCAGTTTGGTGTTTCTAATTTTTTAAAGTTGAAAAACAGTTTTGTTTCAGCTGATTTTGATAGAAAACATTGCTAATTCTTATGTAGACAATTTAAAGTCATATAGAAAGTATAAAGATGAAAGTAAAAATAATTTATAATTGCACTCATCAGCATTTGGAATATTATCATTAGTAAATATTTGTTGAACACTTACTGTATGTTTTACATATATATTTCTTACAAACTTTCTAACCTCAATTTTTCTTTTTCCCCTCCCTTTTTTTCAATAGTTTTATTCTCTTTAGTTCTTGACTAGGTTTTTATGCATATGTAGAATTTGGAGTATTATCACTACTTAATAGTATTGAATACTTACTGTGTATTAAACATGATACTGGATGCTCTTATCAGGGGTCCCCAACCCCCAGACCACTGACCTGCACTTAGGCTGCACAGCAGGAGGTGAGGTGAGCAAAGGGTGAGGAGTGAAGCCAAGCTCCGCCTCCTGGTCAGATGGGCAGGAGCATTAGACTCTCATAGGAGCACGAACCCTATTGTGAACTGTGCATGCGATGGATCTTGGTTGTGCGCTCCTTATGAAAATCTAATTATAAATGTAATGCACTTGAATCATCCTGAAACCATGCCCCCTACCCCCACCCCGCCTCTTACCCCCTACAGGTCCATTGAAAAATTGTCTTCTATGAAACTAGTCCCTTGTGCCAAAAAGGTTGGGGACCAATGCTGTATATGTGTGTTTAATTCTCACAATAATTCTATGAGGGAGTTAGCAATATTTAAGTAATGTGCTTAAGATTATACAATTAGTAAGAGGTGAAAGTGAGTTTAGGACTTAGGGAATCTGATTCTTGAAATTTTGATCTTAACTAAAAGGCTATACTACCTTCTTAGATCATAGTTCTCTAGTAGCTGTTATTATTCCTTTAATTAAGAAGCCATCAACTTTTTTTCTCCCTGGAATCCTTTGAATGTGGTCAGTTTGAGGACCAAATGTTGCTGTTTTCTCCTCTGTTCACTTTTTTTCCATTGGGCAGGTTCTGAGTCTATTGTCCATAACTTTATATTTCCTAGAATGATCCTTAAAAATCTAGAATAGAATTAGCCACATGTGGTAGCACACGCCTCTAGTCCTAGCTACTTGGGAGGCTGAGGTGGGGAGGATCGCTTGAGCCTAGGAGGTCAAGGTTACCGTGAGCTATGATTGTGTCACTACAGCCTGTGTGACACAGCAAGACCCTGTCTCATAAACAAACAAATAAACTAGAATAGATGATGTTACTCTTTTTCTTTCAGAATTCTCTAATATCATCTTTTAGTGGTTAAATGGAATCCAAACTCTTCACAGTGCCTCTGGATGATCTGGCTCTTGAAGAACCTTCTAACCAGTTATTATATTACAATATTCTGCAAACAATTAGAATATCTCCTTTACTATATGATTACTGAAAGTCATAAATAATTTTAAGTGTTTTGTAATTATAAAAGTTATATAATCACCTTATAGGAGTTTTAGAAAAAAGAAAACACTATATTTTACATGCTAGAGTTTAGTCTCTTTAGGGAACAAAAGGAACCTATGATGAAAAAGGAAATCACTGGGTGGGTGCGGTGGCTCACACCTGTAATCCCAGCACTTTGGGAGGCTGAGGCAGGTGGATCACAAGGCCAGGAGATGGAGACCATCCTGGCTAACATGGTGAATCCCCATCTCTACTAAAAATACAAAAGCAGAATTAGCTGGGCATGGTTGTGGGTGCCTGTAGTCCCAGCTACTCGGGAGGCTGAGGCGGGAGAATGGCGTGAACTCGGGAGGCGGAGCTTGCAGTGAGCCCAGGTCACACCACTGCAGTCCAGCCTGGGCGACAGAGCAAGACTCTGTCTCAAAAAATAAAATAAAAAAATTTAAAAAATAAAAAGAAAAAAAAAGGGAAATGACCTAAGATCGACGACATAAATAAATTTCTACCTTGAGGTAAAGAGCTAAGGTTTTTAATCACCATAATCTGAGTTCAGATTTGCTTTTTTACATACTATATGTCCTTAAGTAAGTTGCTTCTCTAAGCCTTATCTTGTTCAAGTTTGCTAATAAAAATATGTATGAAATACATAGCACAGTGCCTGGCCTACGGTAAGTATTCAATAAATGACAGCTACAATGGAAAGCAAATCTATTTCTTGAGTTAGGATTTAAATGTAAACGATTTATGGGATATTTTTTATTTGAGGCCAAAAATCAGGCATATACTGTAAACTTCATGTGGTAGTTAGTAAACATTGAACATATTAATGGGCTAAATAAGGATTTAGATTGGCATAACTAATTTATAACAGACTAAGAAGTTAAGAACAAGTAAATTATTTGCTTGCATTTTGAATATTAATATCATTAGCAGCAGTTATTATAACATGGCAGAATTGTGTGGCAGAAGAACATGGGTATGTCTAGAGAAAAGGGGTGGTTTATAAAAAAGACAAATGTACCTTTGTTTTTTCCAACAGACTAAGAAGTCATTACATATGAACCTGCAAAATATCATAGATTTTGTCAGATCACGGATCACAAATATGTCAAAGAATTGCATCAAGTGGATATGTTCAAATTGAGCCTATCTTCTATTTTTCTGAAACTGATTATATCCAAAATTTTTGACATTAAGTATTAACAATTAGTCTCATTTTTACCATTAGTTTCTATTTACAGGCATGCCTCATTTTACTGTGCTTTGCTATTGCATGTTGCCGATTACTGGATTTTTTACAAATTGATGGTTTTTGGCAACTCTGTGTTGAACTAGTCTATCCATGCCATTTATCCAACAGCATGTACTTTATGTCTTTATGTCATATATTGGTAATTCTTACAATATTTCAAACCTTTTCATTATTATTATTTATCTGTCATGCTGATCTGTCATCAGTGATCTTTGGTATTACTATTGTAATTGTCTTGGGGCACCACAAACCACACCCATTTAAGACAGTGAACTTAATAAATGTCTGACTGTGCTACAAACTGGCCATTCCTGTCTCTCCCCATCTCCTTGGGAGGGGCCTTTACCCTGTCTCTCTATTTCCTGAAACACAACAATATTGAAATGAGACCAATTACAGCCCTACAGTGGCCTCTAAGGGTTCAAGAGAAAGGAAAAGTTGCATGTCTCTCACTTTAAATAAAAAGCTAGAAATGATTAAGCTTAGTGAAGATGATATATCAAAAGCTGATACAGGCCAAAAGCTGGGCTTCTTGTGCCAAACATTTAGCCAAGTTGTGAAGGCAAATGCAAAGTTCTTAAAGGAAATTAAAAGTAAACGATTACTCCAGTGAGCAAATGACTGATAAGAAGTAAAACGGCTTTATACTGTTGATTTGAAGAAAGTTTTAGTGGTCTGTATAAAAGATCCAACCAGGCACACTTAGGCCAAAGCCTATTTCAGATAAGGCTCCAACGCTCTTCAATTCTGTAAAGGCCGAGAGAAGTGAGGAAGCTGCAGAAGAAAAGTGAAGCTACCAGAGGTTGGTTCATAAAATTTAAGAAAAGAAGCTGTCTCCATAACAGAAAAGTACAAGGTGAAGCAATAGGTGCAGAAGAGCTAGCTAAGAAATTGATGAAGGTGTCTACACTAGGCAACAGATTTTCAATGTGGACAAAACACCTTTTTTTTTTTTTAATACTTTAAGTTCTAGGGTACATGTGCACAACGTGCAGGTTTGTTACATATGTATCCATGTGCCATGTTGGTGTGCTGCACCCATTAACTTGTCATTTACATTAGGTATATCTTCTAATGCTATCCCTCTCCCCTAACCCCGCCCCATGACAGGCCCTGGTGTGTGATGTTCCCCTTCCTGTGTCCAAGTGTTCTCATTGTTCAATTCCCACCTATGAGTGAGAAGATGCAGTGTTTGGTTTTTTGTCCTTGCAATAGTTTGCTGAGAATGATGGTTTCCAGCTTCATCCATGTCCCTACAAAGGATATAAACTCATCCTTTTTTATGGCTGCATAGTATTCCATGGTGTATATGTGCCACATTTTCTTAATCCAGTCTATCATTGATGGACATTTGGATTGGTTCCAAGTCTTTGCTATTGTGAATAGTCCTGCAGTGAACATACGTGTGCATGTGTCTTTATAGCAGCATGATTTATAATCCTTTGAGTATATACCCAGTAATGGGATGGCTGGGCCAAATGGTATTTGTAGTTCTAGATCCCTGAGGAATCGCCACACTGTCTTCACAATGGTTGAACTAGTTTACAGTCCCACCAACACTGTAAAAGTGTTCCTTTTTCTCCACATCCTCTCCAGCACCTGTTGTTTCCTGACTTTTTAATGATCGCCATTCAAACCGGTGTGAGATGGTATCTCATTGTGGTCTTGATTTGCATTTCTCTGATGGCCAGTGATGATGAGCATTTTTTCATGTGTCTGTTGGCTGCATAAATATCTTCTTTTGAGAATTGTCTGTTCATCTCCTTCGCCCACTTTTTGATGGGGTTGTTTTTTTCTTGTAAATTTGTTTGAGTTATTTGTAGATTCTGGATATTAGCCCTTTGTCAGATGAGTAGATAGCAAAAATTTTCTCCCATTCTGTAGGTTGCCTGTTCACTCTGATGATAGTTTCTTTTGCTGTACAGAAGCTCTTCAGTTTAAATAGATCCCATTTGAAAATTCAAAAAATCAGAGCACCTCTCCCCCTCCAAAGGAACGCCACTCCTTGCCAGCAATGGAACAAAGCTGTACAGAGAATGACTTTGACGAGTTGAGAGAAGAAAGCTTCAGATGGTCAGACTTCTCTGAGCTAAAGGAGGAAGTTTGAACCCATCCAAAAGAAGCTATGAAAACCTTGAAAAAAGATTAGACGAATGGCAAACTAGAATAACCAGTGTAGAGAAGTCCTTAAAGGACCTGATGGAGCTGAAAACCATGGCACAAGTACTACGTGACAAATGCACAAGCTTCAGTAGCCAATTTGATCAACTGGAAGAAAGGGTGTCAGTGATTGAAGATCAAATGAATGAAATGAAGTGAGAAGAGAAGTTTAGAGAAAAAAGAGTAAAGAGAAATGAACGAAGCCTCCAAGAAATATGGGACTATGTGAAAAGACCAAATCTACGTCTGATTGGTGTACCTGAAAGTGATGGGGAGAGTGGTACCAAGCTGGAAAACACTCTGCAGTATATTATCCAGGAGGACTTGCCCAACCTAGCAAGGCAGGCCAACATTCAAATTAAGGAAATACAGAGAACATCACAAACATACTCCTCGAGAAGAGCAACTCCAAGACACATAATTGTGAAATTCACCAAAGTTGAAATGAAGGAAAAAATGTTAAGGGCAGCCAGAGAGAAAGATCGGGTTACCCACAAAGGGAAGCTCATCAGACTAAGAGCGGATCTCTTGGCAGAAACTCTACAAGCCAGAAGAGAGTGGGGGCCAATATTCAACATTCTTAAAGAAACGAATTTTCAACCCAGAATTTCATATCCAGCCAAACTAAGCTTCATAAGTGAAGGAGAAATAAAATCCTTTACAGACAAGTAAATGCTGAGAGATTTGTCACCACCAGGCCTGCCCTACAAGAGCTCCTGAAGGAAGCACTAAACATGGAAAGGAACAACCAGTACCAGCCACTGCAAAAACATGCCAAATTGTAAAGACCATCGATGCTAGGAAGAAACTGCATCAACTAATGAGCAAAATAACCAGCTAACATCATAATGACAGGATCAAATTCACACATAACAATATTAACTTTAAATGTAAATGGGCTAAATGCTCCAATTAAAAGACACAGACTGGCAAATTGGGTAAAGAGTCAAGACCCATCAGTGTGCTGTATTCAGGAGACCCATCTCACATGCAGAGACACACATAGGCTGAAAATAAAGAGATGGAGGAAGATCTACCAAGCAAATGGAAAACAAAAAAAGGCAGGGGTTGCAATCCTAGTCTCTGATAAAACAGACTTTAAACCAACAAAGATCAAAAGAGACAAGGCCATTACATAATGGTAAAGGGATCAATTCAACAAGAAGAGCTAACTATCCTAAATATATATGCACCCAATACAGGAGTACCCAGGTTCATAAAGCAAGTCCTTAGAGACCTAGAAAGAGACTTAGACTCCCACACAATAATAATGGGAGACTTTCACACCCCACCGTCAACATTAGACAGATCAACGAGACAGAAGGTTAACAAGGATACCCAGGAATTGAACTCAGCTCTGCACCAAGTGGACCTAATAGACATCTACAGAACTCTCCACCCCAAATCAACAGAATAATCATTCTTCTCAGCACCACGTCGCACTTATTCCAAAATTGACCACATAGTTGGAAGTAAAGCACTCCTCAGCAAATGTAAAAGAACAGAAATTATAACAAACCATCTCTCCGACCACAGTGCAATCAAACTAGAACTCAGGATTAAGAAACTCACTCAAAACCACTCAACTACATGGAAACTGAGCAACCTGCTCCTGAATGACTACTGGGTACATAACAAAATGAAGGCAGAAATAAAGATGTTCTTTGAAACCAATGAGAACAAAGACACAACATACCAGAATCTCTGGGACACATTTAAAGCAGTGTGTAGAGGGAAATTTATAGCACTAAATGCCCACAAGAGAAAGCAGGAAAGATCTAAAATTGACACCCTAACATCACAATTAAAATAATTAGAGAAGCAAGAGCAAACAGATTCAAAAGCTAGCAGAAGGCAAGAAATAACTAAGATCAGAGTAGAACTGAAGGAGATAGAGACACAAAAAACCCTTCAAAAAATCAATGAATCCAGGAGCTGGTTTTTTGGAAAGATCAACAAAATTGATAGGCCACTAGCAAGACTAATAAAGAAGAAAAGAGAGAAGAATCGAATGACTCAATATAAAATGATAAAGGGGATATCACCACCAATCCCACAGAAATACAAATTACCATCAGAGAATACTATAAACACCTCTATGCAAATAAATTAGAAAATCTAGAAGAAATGGATAAATTCCTGGACACCCTCCCAAGACTAAACCAGGAAGAAGTTGAATCCCTGAAGAGACCAATAGCAGGCTCTGAAATTGAGGCAATAATTAATAGCCTAACAACCAAAAAAAGTCCAGGACCAGATGGATTCACAGCTGAATTCCACCCGAGGTGCAAGGAGGAGCTGGTACCATTCCTTCTGAAACTATTCCAATCAATAGAAAAAGAGGGAATCCTCCCTAACTCATTTTATGAGGCCAGCATCATCCTGTTACCAAAGCCTGGCAGAGACACAACAAAAAAAGAGAATTTTAGACCAATATCCCTGATGAACATCGATGCAAAAATCCTCACTAAAATACTGGCAAACCGAATCCAGCAGCACATCAAAAAGCTTATCCACCATGATCAAGTGGGCTTCATCCCTGGGATGCAAGGCTGGTTCAACATATGGAAATCAATAAACGTAATCCAGCATATAAACAGAACCAACGACAAAAACTACGTGATTGTCTCAATAGATGCAGAAAAGGCCATTGACAAAATTCAACAGCGCTTCATGCTAAAAACTCTGTATAAATTAGGTATTGATGGGACGTATCTCAAAATAATAAGAGCTATTTATGACAAACTCACAGCCAATATCATACTGAATGGGCAAAACTGGAAGCATTCCCTTTGAAAACTGGCACAAGAAAGCGATGCCCTCTCTCACCACTCTTATTCAACATAGTGTTGGAAGTTCTGGCCAGGGCAATCCGTCAGGAGAAAGAAAGAAAGGGTATTCAATTAGGAAAAGAGGAAGTCAAATTGTCCCTGTTTGCAGATGACATGATTGTATATTTAGAAAACCCCATCATCTCAGCCCAAAATCTCCTTAAGCTGATAAGCAACTTCAGCAAAGTCTCAGGATACAAAATCAATGTGCAAAAATCACAAACATTCCTATACACCAATAACAGACAAACAGCCAAATCATGAGTGAACTCCCATTCACAATTGCTTCAAAAAAAATAAAATACCTAGGAATCCAACTTACAAGAGATGTGAAGGACCTCTTCAAGGAGAACTACAAATCACTGCTCAGCGAAATAAAAGAGGACACAAACAAATGGAAAAACATTCCATGCTCATGGATAGGAAGAATCAATATCATGAAAATGGCCATACTGCCCAAGGTAATTTATAGATTCATTGCCATCCCCATCAGGCTACCAATGACTTTCTTCACAGAATTGGATAAAACTACTTTAAAGTTCATATGGAACCAAAAAAGAGCCTGCATTTCCAATGTAATCTTAAGCCAAAAGAACAAAGCTGGAGGCATCACACTACCTGACTTCAAGCTATACTATAAGGCTACAGTAACCAAAACAGCATGGTACTGGTATGAAAACAGAGATATAGACCAACGGAACAGAACAGAGGCCTCAGAAATAACACCACACATCTACAACTATCTGATCTTCGACAAACCTGACAAAAACAAGAAATGGGGAAAGGATTCCCTATTTAATAAATGGTGCTGGGAAAACTAGCTAGCCATATGTAGAAAGCTGAAACTGGATCCCTTCCTTACACCTTATACAAGCATTAATTCAAGATGGATCAAAGACTTAAATGTAAGACCTAAAACCATAAAAACCCTAGAAGAAAACCTAGGCAGTACCATTCAGGACACAGGCATGGGCAAGGACTTCATGTCTAAAACACCAAAAGCAATGGCAACAAAAGCCAAAACACCTTTTATTGGAAGAAGATACCATCCTACAATGTTCCTAGCTACCAGGAAGTCAATGCCTGGCTTCAGTGTTACAAAGGACAGGCTGATTCTCTTGTTAGGGACTAATACAGCTGGTGACTTTAAGTTAAAGCCAATGCACAATTATCATTCTGAAAATCCTCGGACCCTTAAGAATTATTATAAATCTACTCTGCCTGTGCTCTATAAAAGGAAGGACAAAGCCTAGATAAGAGCGCATCTGCTTACGACATGGCTTACTGAATGTTTTAAGGCCACTAGTGAGACCTGCTGTTCAGAAGAAAAGAGTCTTTTCAAATTATTACTGCTCATTGATAATCAACCTGGTCACCCAACAGCTCTGATCAGATATACAAGGAGATTCATGTTATTTTCATGCTTTTTAGTGAAATATTCATTCTGCAGTTCATGGATTAAGAGTCATTTTGACTTACTATTTAAGAAATACTTCTTATTATTTAAGACATACATTTTATCAGGCTGTAGCTGCTATAGATAGTAATTCCTTTGATGGATCTGGGCAAAGTAAATGGAAAATCTTCTGGAATTGATTCACTATTGTAGATACCATGAAGTACCCATGTGATTCATGGGAAGAAATCAACATATCAATGTTAATAGGAGTTTGGAAGAAATTGATTACAATTCTCATGGATGACTTTTAGGAGTTCATGATTTCCATGGAGGAAGTCACTGCTGATGTGGTGGAAATAGCAAGAGAATCAGAATGAGAAGCAGAGCCTAAACATGTGATTGAATTCCTACAATGTCATGATAATACTCCAACGAATGAAGAGTTGCTTCCTATGGATAATCAAAGAAATTGGTTTCCTACAATGGAATCCATTCATGATGAAGATACTGTGAACATTGTTGAAATGATAACAAAGGATTTAGAATATTACCTAAATGTATTTGATAAAACCTTTGTAGGGTTTCAGAGGAATGACTCCAATCCTGTGAGTAAAATGCTATGAAACAGCGTTGCTTGCTACAGAAAAATCTTTTGTGAAAGAAAGATTCAGTTAATGTGGCAAAGTTTCTTGTCTTATTTTAAGAGATTGCTACAGTTACCACCCTCACCCATCAGTCGACATCCATGAATGTGGAGATGCAACCTTCCACTAGCAAAAAGATTGTGACTCACTGAAAGTTCAGATAATTGTTAGCATTTTTAAGCTATAAAATATTTTTAAATTATGTGCGTTTTTTTTAGATACAATGCTGTTGTACAATTAATAGATTACAGTATAGTGTAAACGTAACTTTTATATACACTCGGAAACTAAAATATTTGTGTGACTCACTTTATTGTGATAGCCACTTTATTGCAGTGGTCCGGAACTAAACCTGTGGTATCTCCATGGTATGCCTGGATTTATCTGATAGGGAACAGTGTTCTTCATGTTCTTATTTTAAATTTACCTTCTGCTTGAGCCTTTGGTTTTCAGAATTTGATAGATAAATTTGAGTTTTTTCTTTAAATTAACAAGTTCAAACATATTTGGGAAAGTTAGTAGAATAGTGGTGTGTGTAGGTTCTCCTTGAAGATGGGGAATTTGACAAGATAAAGAGGTCAGTGATATATAGGTGACCTGTAGAGCTAGAATGGAGCCTAGGCCCTTCAAGAGGTCAGTCTAGTTTGTCTTCTTTCTCATAGATCCTTTTTTTTTAAATCTTGATATATAATTGTTTGTACTATTTTAAATACTCTCAAGAATTCCTTTGTGGTCAGGTGTGGGAGCTCACACCTATAATCCCAGTGCTTTGGGAGGCTAAGGCAGGAGGATTGCTCGAGGCCAAGAGTTCGAGACCAGCCTGAGCTACATAACAAGACCCTGTCTCTTCAAGAAATTAAAAAACAAAAATTAGCTGGATGTGGTGGTGTATTCTTGTAGTCCTAGCTACTTGTGAGGCTGAGGCAGGAAGATCTCTTGAGCATGGGAGTTCAAGGGTACAGTGAGCTATGATTGTGTCATTGTACTCCAGCCTGAGCAATGGAGTGGGGCCCTGTCTCAAAAAAAAGAAGGAATTCCTTTGGCATCCTATTCTGTATCTAATAGCTTCAGTTTTTTTCTTCTGCATGTTTATTTTTTGGCACTTTTATTGTGATATTTTATGTATTTTAGTTTTTATGATTACAGATAAAAATAACCAGTTATCCTCATATCATTGTTTATTTATTTATTGATTGATTGCTTGATTGAGATAGAGTCTCACTCACTCTGTCGCCCAGGCTTGAGTGCAGTGATGCGATCTCAGCTCACTGCAACCTCTGCCTCCTGGGTTCAAGCCATTCTCCCACCTCAGGCTCCTGAGTAGCTGGGATTACAGGCATGTGCCACCACACCTGGCTAATTTTTGTATTTTTAGTAGAGATGGGGTTTCACTATGTTGGCCAGGCTGGTCTCAAATTCCTGACCTCAAGTGATCCGCCTGGTTTGGCCCCCAAAGTACTGGGATTACAGGTGTGAGCCACTGCATCTGACCTGTTTTCATATAATTATAATTACTGTTTGTTTGATTAACATTATAATGTATATTAGGACATACGTCTTTAGATTGAATAATTTAAAAAAATGAGCTAACTTCTCTCTTTCCATGTTTTGCAAGTATAAAGCTTCTCATTTAAAGACATTTTTCTAAGAGTCTTTGCCTAATGTTTGCTCAAGTAAGTTTATTAATAAATTTATTATTTACGTAGGTAATGTATTTTCTGTGTATATTGAAAGATTTGTGAACATGTTTTGTATTTAAACATTGTGATGTAAAATATAATGATGTTATTTTATGGTTACATAATCAACTCCTTTAATTTTTTTTCCCAGGAGGATAGCAAACAAGCTCAATTTTTAGCCTTGGCAGTAGTATACTTTATCTCTGTTCTTATGGTCTCCAAGTACAGAGACATTTTGGAACCCCAAAATGAAAGGCATAGCCAGTCATGTACAGAAACTGGCAGTGAAAATGAGAATGTATCACTCTCTGGTAAGTTTGCATTTTCTATTCCTTTGTACCAAAGTTCAAATAAATGTTACTTACTTTTGATGGTTAAAATATTGATATTGGAATTTAAATCCATTTCTGTGCAAATTAAGGGAGAGCATACATATATTTTTATTATTAACTAAAAGTTGTGGCTTAAATATAATGTAATTAATTGCAATTGGGATATTTTTTGTTCTTTAAATGAACTAATTAAATGTAAGTCAGAAAATGTTATACAAAAAGAGTTGAAAAATTTTATTGACTTCATTTGCTGTGAAGAATCACTAACTCATATTCTAAGAGACAGACTTGTTAACAAGTAACTGCAATAATTGGAGTATTAAAAGTAGCTTCCAGTTATAAAAGTATAGTTAGTTAAGTAGCTGTTGCAATTATAGAAGTAGCTACCACCCAAAGGAGGCAATTTATTATTCACTCGATATTCATTCAATATCTACTGGATACTTGGGTATATATTCATGACTAAAACAAAACAAAAAATCTGTTTCCTTATGGAGCTTATATTCTAATGGGAGGAGATAGAAAATATCTACATGCTATAAGTAGATTGTGTAGTATTTTAGAAGGTGGTGAAAGTGCTAAAAAAAAAAAAAAAGAAAGTAATAAAGATGGTAAAAATATCAGGAATGACCAGGAGTAATTGGGTATGGATTTCTCTTTGAGGGAAATGAGAACTCATTGGAGGGTCTTGAGTACAGGAGTTACAATTTATGTTTTAAAAAGTACCTCTGGGCTGGGCTTGGTAGTTCACGCCAGTAATCCCAGCACTTTGGGAAGCCGAGGCAGCTGGATCACTTGAGGTCAGGAGTTGGAGACCATCCTGGCCAACATGGTAAAACCCTATCTCTACTAAAAATACAAAAAATTAGCCAGGCATGGTGGTGGGTGCCTGTAATCCCAGCTACTTAGGAAGCTGAGGCAGGAGAATCGCTTGAACTTGGGAGGCAGAGGTTGCAGTGAGCAGAGATCCCACCACAACAACTCCAGCCTGGGTGACAGAGTGAGACTCCGTTTCCAAAAAAAAAAAAAAAAAAAAAAGTAACTCTGTATTCTGTGTAGAGGATATAGCGTAGAGGGCAAGGATAATCAGTGTTTTTGGCTGGGTACTGCTGTTTAATACCTTACCCTGCACTTAGTGTCCTAAGACCATAACCATTTTAATCTTTCCTTCATGATTTCTTGAGTTAGATTTGGATAGGGCACGGTGGGCATGGTTTATCCCTGTTTCAGATGATGTTTGCTGGGTCTGGAAAATCTAAGATGACTTTTCTAATAGTATATATAGTGCCTCAGGTGGGATGGCTCCAAGAGCTGAGACTGACTGACTAAAACAGCTGAGCTGGGGTTGTGTGTCTGCAGCCTTGATACTTGTTCTCAACTGAGTTCCTGGTTTCCTTCATTAGTTTGGAGAGCATCTCTGTCTCCATATCGTCTCTCTACATGTTCTTTCCAGCAAGGTAGATCAGAAATAAGCCACACTTCTTACAGAGATGTTCAGAGATTCTGGGAATGCAAGAGCTGCCAGACCTTAAAACGTGGGCCAAATACTGGCCCACTGCTGCTTTTGCCAGATCCTGTGGGTTATTGTCAGTCAAGCCTAGTCCAGATTCAAGGGCTTGTCAAGGGATGCATACCAGGAGACATGGGGCAGTAGGATTATTAAAACAACCCTCTTCCACAACAGTTAGGAAGGAGGATATTGCAGTAATCAGTAATCCAGGCAAGAGGTTATGGTGGGTTGGATTAGGTTGGTAACTAGAGATGGTGAGAGGCAGTCAGATTCTGAATATGTTTTAGTGGTAGAAAAAACAGAATTTTAAAACATTAGGTGTGCATTTTGTGAATGAAAAAGGTAGTCAAAAATGATTACAAGGTACAGTGGAGTAGATTAAAGGTGAAAGAGATTTTCAGGGAAAGATAAAAAGAGAAGAAATTCAGTTTTCAGCATGTTGAGTTTGAGAGGTTTTTTTAGACATGTAAGATAAGTTGTAGGGTAGCAGTTATATTTAATAGTTTGAGTTTTTTGGTGGGGAAATATAGTGGTATTTAAAACTTGGAGAATGAATGATACCACGAAGGGACTAAATGCAGACAGAGAACATAAGAGGAACAAGGACTGAACCTTGTGTCCCTCCAACTTAAGAAATCAGGGAGAAAAAGAGGTGAAGGATGTTAAGAAGGAACAGTCAGTGAAGTAGTACAAGGAAAACAAAAAGAGAATGGTGTCCTGAAAGCCGAGGAAAGGAAGCATTGTCTAGTTGGAGGGAATAATCAGCTGTTGCTGTTATGTGAAGTCCTATTAGGACTGAACACTGACCATTGGAGTTAGCAAGATGCAGATTTTTTGGTGACCTTGATAAGACTATTTTTGCTAGAATGGGTTGAAACCCTGATTAAAGGGAGTGAGAATTAAAAGAGAGAAAAGGAGGTGTTCCTTGTTGAACTGGATTTTAAGGATCATTGAATTATTTATGCACGTAGAAGGGGTAACAAGTTTTCCAGCTGCAGTAACCATGTTTGAGGTAGAGCTTTTTATTTTATCCTAAAGATTGCGGACTTGGGCCAGGCATGGTGGTGCATGCCTATAATCCTAGCACTTTGGGAGGCCGAGGCAGGTAGATTGCTTGAGCTCAGGAGTTTGAGACCAGCCTGGGCAACATGGTGAAACCTCATCTCTACAAAAAAATAGAAAAATTAGCCAGACGTGGTAGCACATACCTGTAGTCTCAGCTACTTGAGAGGCTTAGGTGGGAGGATCGCCTGAGCCCAGGAGGTCAAGGCTGCAGTGAGCCTAGGTCACACCACTGCACTTCAGCCTGGGCAACAGACTGACACACACACACACACACACACACACACACACACACACACACCCCCAAAAAAGATTATAGACTTTTTCTTACAGGCCAATGACTTTCAACCTTGTGTTGCTACCCATTACTTTAGATCATTTTTGCAAGTATTTTATTATTTATTTTATTATACCATCTGTCTTGATAATAGGTGCACCCACTCAGTACATTCTGTAGAATACGTAATTAGTTTTTGCTTTTTTAGAACATGATGTATTTCATAATTCAAAACAGTAGATAGCTATTAAAACAGAATATACCTTTTAAAAATTAGTTCTAAACTTTTGTTTGTTTATTTCTTGTGTTTCTGGGTATGATATAGAAATCACACCAGCAGCATTCAGCACTTTAACTACGGCATCAGTGGAAGAATCTGAAAGCACATCATCTGCTCGAAGGAGGGACTCAGGCATTGGGGAAGAAACAGCCACTGGTTTAGGAAGCCATGTGGAAGTAACTCCTCACACAGCACCTCCTGGTGTCAGTGCAGGCCCAGATGCAATCAGCGAGGTGCTATCTACTCTTTCTTTAGAAGTCAATAAGTCTCCGGAAACCAAAAATGATAGAGGAAATGACTTGGACACTAAGGCTACACCGTCAGTTTCAGTTTCAAAAAACGTCAATGTGAAAGACATTCTCCGAAGCTTGGTTAACATACCAGCAGATGGAGTCACAGTGGATCCTGCCCTTCTGCCACCAGCCTGCCTTGGAGCCCTTGGTGATCTATCTGTGGAACAACCCGTGCAGTTCAGATCTTTTGACAGGTACTGATAATAGTTTTTCGTTTTGGTATGTTTCTACATCTGACCCTTGAACAACATGGGGGTTAGGGATGATGACGCCCTGTGTAGCCGAAAATCCACATATAACTTTTCACTCCCTCAGAACTTAACTACCAATAGCTTATGTTGATCAGAAACTTTACTGATAACATAAACAGTTGATTCACACATATTTTGATTGTTATATGTATTATATACTGTAATCTTACAGTAAGGTAAGCTAGAAAAAAAGAACATGTTATTAAGAAAATCATAAGGAAGGCCAGGTGCAGTGGCTCACATCTGTAATCCCAGCATTTTGGGAGGTTGAAGTGTGTGGATCACCTGAGGTCAGGAGTTCGAGACCAGCCTGACCAACATGGTGAAACCCAGTCTCTACTAAAAATACAAAAATTAGCTGGGCATGGTGGGGTGTGCCTGTAATCCAGGCTACTCCAGAGGCTGAGGCAGGAGAATCGCTTGAACCCAGGAGGGGCAGTGGTTGCAATGAGCTGAGATCGCACCATTGCACTCCAGCCTGGGCAAGAAGAGCGAAACTCTGTCTAAAAAAAAAAAAAGAAAAAAAAAGAAATCATAAGGAAGAAAAAAATATATTACTGTTCATCAGGTGAAGCGAATCATCATAAAGATCTTCATCTTTCTTGTCTTCATGTTGAGTATGCTGAGGAGGAGGAAGAGAAGAGGTTGATTTTAGTATCTCAGGGGCAGTTGAGGTAGCAGAGTTGGAGAAAGTGAAAGGGGAAGCAGGAGAGGCAGACACACTTGGTGTAAATTTACAGAAATGCACTGGAATTTCTTTCTGACCTTTTTGCTTTTTTATTTGTCTAAAAATGTTTCTATGTGGTACAAACCCTTCTTTCACCATTTGCTTTAGTTTCAGTGCCTGTATCATAGAAGGGTGAATGTCATAAAAGAAGTTAAAAGCAGTCTTGAATCATTAGAACCCTTCTGCCAGATTGTCTAATGTCAGTTCATTTTCTGGTACTGCTTCTTCTATGTCTTCCTCATCTAATAGTGGTTTGGATGTTCTTGTCTCCGTCAAATTGTTTTCCCTCTGTTGATCCTTCTGTTCTTGTGGTATCTGTTAGTTCTTGAATTTCTCTGAGATTCATATCTTGAAACCCTTCACCCCTCACCTTTTTGTCATATCTATAGTCTCTCATGATTTCCTTGATTAGTTCTGTCAGAAATCCTGTGGAGTCATGCACAACACCTAGAAACACAGTCTTCTCTAGGAGGAATTTATTGTTTCAAACTTGATGGTTTCCACAGCTTTTTCTGTAACAGTGATCCTCAGTGGTATAATCCTTCTAGACTTTCACGATGTTCTGTTGGGTTCTCTTCCATAGTGTTGACAGTTGTTTCCTAAGAATGCCATGTGTAATGAACCATAAAGGTCCTTGTGACCTCCTGTTCTAGAGGCTGAATTAGAGAAGTTGCGTTTGAGGGCAGTTAGACCACTTCAACACCCTCAGTGTTGAACTCATGAAGCTCTGGGTGGTCAGGAGCATTGTCCAATTGTAAAAGAACTTTAAAAGTTAATCTCTTACTGATAAGGTACTTCCTGACTTTAGGGACAAAGTATCAATAGAACCAATCCAGAAAAAGGATTCTTTTTGTCCAGGCCTTCTTGTACAACCAACAGACTTGCAGCTGGTGTTTGTGTTTTCCTTTCAAGGCTCAGGGGTTAGCAGCTTTATATTAATAGATAAGGGCAGTCATGATCATAAACCCAACTGCATTTGCACAAAACAGTAGAGTTAGCCTATCTCTTCCTGCCATAAATCCTAGTGCTCACTTCTCTTCCTTGCTAATAAATATCCTTTGTGGCTTCCCCCCCATCCCAAATAGGTTACGTTTGTCTGCATTAAAAACCTGACTGGGCTGGTCCTTTCTTCTAAATGATTTTCTTGATGTCTAGGAACTCATCTGTTGCCTCTTGGTTGGCAGAAGCTGCTTCTCCTGTTATCTTGATCATCCTTTGCTGGCATTAAATCTAGCCTTAGATTCTTTTTTACTTAAATTTGACATATAATGACTTCAGTTTTTCTCAAATCATGTTAGAGTCTATAGGTATGCCTTTCTTATAACAATCCTGTACCCACATAAAAGCTGCATTTTCAGTGCAAGATAAAGATATTTCACAAAAAGTGCAAGTTTTTTTTGTTTTGTTTTTTTGTTTGTTTGTTTTTTTGCCTCCTGGTGTCACTGCAGTGACAACTTTGCCAACTTCCTTTTCTTTACAATAGTTCTTATGCGGGATTAATTTCTTTGGAAATGGCAGGCAACCATAGCTACAGACCTCAATCTACAGTACATATCAAGCAATTCAACTTTTTCTTATAATGTCATGACTTTTCCCTGCTGCTTGGGAGCATGTCCAGTATTGCTAGTGGCACTTTGTATGGGTCCCATTATGTTATCAAAGGTTTATAATATTGCAGTAAACATGATGAAAAATATATGAGAACTGGGAGAGAGCACTTTTACCGTGATACACAGTTTACTGGAGAGACAAACTTCCCAGTACTTTGGGAGGCTGAGGCGGGTGGATCATTTGAGATCAGCAGTTCAAGACCAGCCCGGCCAACATGGTGAAACCCCACCTCTACTAAAAATACAAAAAAATTATCTACGCGTGGTGGCGGGTGCCTGTAATCCCAGCTATTTGGGAGGCAGAGGCAGGAGAATCGCTTGAACCTGGGAGGTGGAGGTTGCAGTGAGCCAAAACTGCAGCATTGCACTCCAGCCTGGGCAACAAGAGCAAAACTCCTTCCCCCCCTGCCCCATAAAAAGAGATGAACTGCGTGCTCTGAGATGACTAGTGTCACACAGCATTTTAAGTGATGCTAACAATACCAATGCTCAATGCAATTGTGGCAGGAAGTAGCTATGAAATTATTACAGTAGTACAGTATGCATTAATGTTAATTTTATACAGTTATGCTTTAATAATTGAAATTTACATTGTTTACATTTCTTTTAACTGTAGATGGTACCATGTACTATTTCTAAGTGTTTGTGTTTGTAAGTTTTGATATATTTTAACTTATTTTTGTGTCTTCTGAGATTTTTCATTTTATGAATTTTTTTTTTTTGTCTGGGTGCAGTGACTCACACCTGCAATTCCAGCATTTTGTGGGCTGAGGTGGGAGGATTGCTTGAGTCCAGGAATTTGAGACTAGCCTGGGCAACACGGTGAGATTTTAAAACAAAAAGATTAGCTGGGCATGGTGATGTGTGCCTGTAGTCTCAGCTACTCAGGAGGCTGAGGCGGGAGGATCACTGGAGCCCAGGAGTTTGACACTACAGTGAGCTGTGTTCATGCCACTGCACTCCAGCCTGGGTGACAGAGGGAGAACTTGTCTCAAAGAAACTTTTTAAAAATTGATGCATAATGAGTGGGATTTATTCTGGGGATGCAAGAATGTCTGAGCATACACAAACTATCAGTGTGATACATCATATCAACAGGATGGAAGACAAAAGCCATATGATCATTTCAATTGCTGCTGAAAAGCATTTGATAAAATTCACTATTCCTTCATGATAAAAACCCTTAAAAAACTGCATATAGAGGGAACATAACACAATAAAAAGCCATAAAGAACAGATCCACAGCTAGTATCATATGGAACAGAGAAAAACTGAAAGCCTTTTCTCTAAAATCTGGAATGAGACAACGATGCCCACTTTCATTACTGTTACTCAACACAGTACTGGAGGTCCTAGGTAAAGCAATCAGACAAGAGAAAGAAATGGCATTTAAATTGGAAAGGAAGATGTCAGTTGTTTGCAGATGATATGATCTTGTATTTAGAGTATTTAGAAAAACCTAAAGAGTCCATAAAAAACTATTATAACTGATAAATTCAGTACAGTTGCATGACAAAAATTAGCATACAAAAATTAGTATCATTTCTATATGCTAACAGTGAACAATCTGAAAAAGAGATCAAGAAAGTAATCCAATTTACAATAGCTATAAGTAAAATACCTAGGAATAAACAGCCAAAGAAGTGAAAGATCCCTCAGTGACAACTATAAAACATTGATGCAAAAACTAAAAAGGACCCCCAAAATGAAAGATATTTCATATTCATGGATTGGAAGAATTAATAGTGTTAAAATGTTCATGCTACCCAAAGCAATCTACAGATTCAGTGCAATCCATATCAAAATACCAGTGACATTCTTCACAGAAATAGAAAAAATATTCCTAGAAACTATATGGAACCACAGAGACTCAGAATAGCCAAAGCTATCCTGAGCAAAGAGAACAAAACTTCAAATTATACTACAGAGCTATGGTAACCAAAACAGCATGATACTGTCATAAAAACAGATACATAGACCAATGGAATAGAATAGAGAACTCAAATAAATCCACACGTCTACAAGTGAACTCATTTTTGACAAAGGTGCCAAGAACATGCAATGGGGAAAGGACAGTCTTCTCAGTGGTACTGAGTAAAGTGTATATCCATATGCAGAAGAATGAATACCTTTATCTCTTACTATATACAAAAATCAGTTCAAAATGGATTAAAGACTTAAATCTATGACCTGAAACTATGAAACTACTGAAAAAAAATCATTGGAAAAACTCTCCAGGACATTAATCTGGGGAGATTTCTCGAGTAATACCCCAAAAGCACAGGCAGTCAAAGCAAACATGGACAGATGAGATCACATCAAGCTACAGAACTTATGCATAGCAGAGAAAACAATCAACAAATTGAAGAGACAACCCACAGACTGGGGATTATATAATAAACTTATAATTCTGGTTAACTGACAAGGGTTCTAATAATCAGAATATATAAGGGACTCAACCAACTCTATAGGAAGAAATGTATTAATAATAATTTAAAAATATTACTACATTTTAAACGAAATGATAACCTTAAAATGGGCTAAAGATCTCAATAGACATTTCTCAAAGAAGACATAGAAATGTCAAATGATTTTATGACAAGATGCTCAACATCATTGATCAGAAAAATGCAAATCAAAACAATGAGATATCATCTCACTCCAGTTAAAATCGCTTATATCCAAAAGATAAGCAGTAACAAATGTTGGCAAGGATGTGGAGATAAGGGAACCTTCATATACTGTTGGTGGGAGTGTAATTACTACAACCACTATGGGAAACAGTTTGGAGGTTCCCGAGGCAACTAAAAATAGAACTAGTTTGTGTTTATAACACTGTGCTTACCGGTTTAAGCTGTGATTACTGATGTGTGCCACCATGCCCAGCTAGTCTTTGTATTTTTAGTAGAGATGAGGTTTCACCATGTTGGCCAGGCTGGTCTCAAACTCCTGGCCTCAAGTGATCCAAAGTGTTGAGATTACAGGCATCAGCCACTGCGCCTGGCTTCAATTTTTATTTATTTATTTTATTTTTGAGACGGTGTCTTGCTCTGCCACCCAGGCTGGAGTGCAGTGGCAGTCATAGCTCACTGCAGCCTCAAACTCATGGGATCAAGGGATCGTTCTTCCTCAGTCCCCTGAGTAGCTGGGACCAACATGTCCAGCTATTTAAAAAATTTTTTGTAGAGATGAGGTGTTGCTCTGTTGCCCAGGCTGGTGCTGAACTCCTGACCTCAAGCGATCCTGCTGCATTGTCCTCCCAAAGCATTGGGATTCCAGGCGTGAGCCACTGTGCCCTGTCTATTCTCAATTTTTATAATTTATTTAGATTTGTTAGTGTTAGATTGAGTACCCAGAAATATGTGAGGCTATACTTTTAAATTTAATATATGTTAATATAGTTACATTGTTTACTAATGATCAAAATTTTATGTATTTTAGCATTTATTTCTTTTTAAAATAGTGTAGAAATTAAATTTGTGCCTTACTGATGTCTTCAGTGAGTAGATCATGAACATATTTAGGAAATCATGCTTAGGTGTAATACATTTTAAGGGGTTTATTGAAATAGAAAACAACAGATAATTTTGATGGTAGCATTTTCCAGGATGTTCTGTAGAATTTAACATGTCTAGTATTCATTTAACAGTCTCTGATGGCAAGGAAACTGCTCTGTTTTTTACCCTCTTTTTTTTTCTTATTTAGAGACCCCTTTGTAAAAACTTTCATGCTGCCTTGGGCTAGTGGAATATCTTTGGGAATTTCAAAGCATCCCTCTGATCATGTATTTATCTCAGGAATGCTATGTCAGAAATCACAACTCTCCTCATATCTTAAGTATTATCAACTTCCAAGGAATAGCTGGAAAGTTTAGAGTAACAGCTACATGAATAAAACCTTGCTGAAAGGCTGCCAGGTTGTGGGCCTTTGTGAATGCAAAGGTGTTTGTGTTCATTCCCATGCCAAAATTCTTGTTCTTATCTAATTTGAAGATCCTCTCTGATGATTAGTGAATGCCAGGGATTTATCTTGATAAAGTTCAAGGACTGGTTTGGCTTTTCAACTGGATCCTTAGGGACTGAAGTGGTAGGCTGAAATGCTCTTTTTTCCTTTAGTGAACTATTTGCATGTTAAGTAAAATAGCATTTGTGTGAGGGTTTGTGATATTTGAAACTGATATAATACTGAAATGGAAGTTCTCAACTTTATTGATCGGGAAGGCATTGTTGCTATTTGCCTATTGCCAGTAAATTAAAAGAAACTTTGAAATGAGTATCCCTTGTTCAGGGGAAAAAAAAAATCCAGCAACAGTATTTTCATTTGTTCTGTGTGGTACTTTAGGAAAATTACTTCTTTCTCATTTGTAAAATTAGCATAATAATATGTACTACTAATCTCAAGGGTTGTCATAAATTAAATATGATAATTTGTGTATGTTCTTAAGCACGGTGCCCCACAAATATTAAGTATTCATAGTGAGTTCATAAAGAAAAAAATGATAATAAGAACAATTTTTATCTCTTTTAATATTTGGTTTATAATTGACAATTTGGGAAACCAGCTTGCATAATTGGTTGTCTATCTTTCAGATTCCTTATGCTAAAAAGTTTGAAGCACTTTCTGCTAAAATTGATGTAGATATAAAAAGTTCCAATAATTGTTCTTAAACATTAAAAAAGATTTCAATTTGTTTCTTAAATAGAAACTTAAGCTGTAGCCTGAGAAAGATGCCAGAAATATCCCTAGCACATTGTCTGTCATGTAAAGTCTCAGTTTTGTCAAATGCATATTGCATTTTCCTCTGTGTTTTCCAATGCATTGTATAAAAAGGTAATATTAAATGCTTAGTTTTTGCATGATCAATCTTAACTATTGGTAAGTTTAAAATTCTAGATTATTTTTGTTAACTGTGGAACATGCTTTACTAATTTAGATTTATACTTATATTTAACAACATAAACACGATAGGTTAAAGATCTCTGTTGAAGATTTTAGTCTTTTACACTGAAACTTTATAGTAATAATGACAATGATTGGTAAAGACAATGAAAATATTTCAAAATCTACCTACTGCTTAGTGTCCTTTTAATTGGATCATTGTAACTTTGATTTTTCTTTGATTTTGTGTAGCCTTAAGCTGAAGCAATGTTATGTTAATTCCTTAGAATTGATTTGAATCAGTCAGCGAATTTGGAAATTGATTTTATTTCTCTATTATATACTAATTATGTAGCTATATGAAATAATTCAGCTTTTAAAAATTTATGAGCAGATGTATTTTTGTGATTTTATGGTAGTATATAAATAATTTTATATGTTAGAGATCTTTATTGCTGTTGATTATAGATGATTCTAAAATTATGTTTAAATGTTAATATGATTGTGGTGATAAATATACAACTTTGTGAGCATACCAAAAATCTCTTAACTGTATATTTTTAGTGAATTAAATGGTATGTGAATTATATCTCTGAAGTTTTAAGAAAGGTCAACATGGGGAAACGGTTCAAATTCAAGGCTCTGCTGTTAGATAAACCTAGATTTCCATGGTAGTTCTACCATTTACTTTGGTTATTACTTTACCTTTCTGAGGTTTTTATTTAAAATTTCTAAAAATTGAATTAATATGTACCTTAGGATTGTTTTGAGAATTGAATAATAATTGTTGGCATATTGTCAGTGCATTTATCTTAGCTGCTATTAGAATTTATAATTTTATATTACCTAACAAGCAAGCAGGATTAAGAAGAAAGCATCTTGGCAGAGGAGGCATATATACGAAGGGTTGGAGTTGTGAAATGACACAACACGCTTAGCAACCATAAGAGCATGTTGAAGAAGTGTGTGAGGAACATGTAAAATGTAAATTCATGTAGAAAGCCGTACTTCTGATCTATCATTCCTGACAATAGGTGAAAGATCTTGGACAATAAATATTTACTGAACTGAATAAAAGAATAAGATCTTATTTGTGACTGAAACATTAACAGCAAGAGGCTAGAGGATTAGAAATGAAGTTGAGTTCTTTTGTTGTGTTTAATTAGCTATGTCATCTTGAATAAATAGGGATTGTGCATATTTGGAACAGCTGTAGTAAATTCTGTTCTGTTACCAGTTTTCCAGTGTTTTATTATGAAAATGTTCAGGCATACAGAAAAGTTGAAAGAATTGCACAGTGAACACCTGTAGACCCATCACTGAGATTCAACAATTAGCTTTTAGCTCTGTTTGCTTCACCATGTATCCATCAATCAATCTTATTTTTGTAATGTACTTCAAAGTTGTAGACATCAGTTCACTTCACTCTTAAATATTTCAGCCAGCATGCAGCTCTCTAACTGGAGATGAATACAGTTTTTTTTTTTGAGCTAAAATTTACATACAATGAAAGACACAGGTCTTAAGTGTACCATTTGATGAGTTTTGACAAATTTATACACTTGTGTAACCTTAAGTCCCCATCATGATATCATTGGTCTTGAAAGTTCTCTTTCCCAGCCAATTCCTGTTCCTATCCCCCAGAGGCAATTATTCTGATTTTTTTCTACCATAAATTAGTTTTGTCTGTTCTAGACATGCATGTTAAAAAAAAAAAACCCATAAAGTATATACTCCTTAGTATAAGACTTCATTCAACATAATGCTTTTGAGATTCATCCATGTTGTTTGTTACCTTTTCATTTCATTCATCAGTAGTTTGTTACCTTTTATTGCTGAATAATATTCCATTCTAGAAGCATAGCACCATTAAAAATTTACTATATCTGCATAAAGGACATTTGGGCTATTTCCAGTTTTTGACTATTATAAATAAAGCCTGTATGACCATTACTGTATACATGTTTTGTGGACATAAGCTTTCTTGAGGAAATTCCTAGAAGTGGAATTGTTGAGTCATAGCATAGATGGGTATATATCTTACATTTTGATTATAGAAAAAGCAATTGCACTTTTCTAAGTATTCTTTTCTATTGCTCAATTCAGTCCCTACTTACAGTATGAGTAAACTAGATCTTGCTGGTTCTTTCTTTTGTGAACAAATGTGAAAGTAAATTCTTCATATTTCTCCTCCCTCCCCTGCAAAAACATTGGTAGAAGACAGTGATTTTCTTAAGCAATGGGTTTTAAATTTCTCCCTCCAGTAGGAAATACAAAAATTACATTTTGCGTTGTTTTTGAAGGTACCACTAATACATACGTACACACACACATTCGTGCACGCACACACACACACACACACACACACACACACAGACATTCGTCATATCTACTCCCCCTTAAGTCAATAATCTTCATCTGATATAAGCTGCTGTGATTTAAGCACACCATTTTGGATTGGGGGCTCAGGTGGCTGTTGCTTCTATTTTTTAGTGTATAGTTAACATTGGCAGTCACCCTTATAATGATGTGACACCAGCTACCCTGAAGTACATTGAATAAGCCATGCCTAGCACAAGAGACCTTGATTTAATTGGCAACAGTGTTTGCCCTCACATGATAGGCACTGAGGTAAAACGAAACCTATTTTGCTTTGTGTGTGTGTTTTTAAAAATAACTACAAAAATGTATTATTAAAATATTGGAATTACATAATTTTCACTTTTGAATGCATGTATAGGGATCAAATACCTAAGTTACTTTGTTTAGAAGCTGAATACTTTAAAGCTATTAAGGGAATACTTGAAGCTCGCAGTTATAGTACTGTCAACAAAAGATGTGATTAAATAAATTGAATGTTGAAGACTTTGGGCTTATGGTTAACACCAGGTAATTAAAAGTAAGCACTGCTGTGGGAGTGCATTATATATCAGCTGTCCTCTTTACCTCATTAACTGAGTTTTTGCATGTTTATGGAGCCAACTTCAATTAAAAATGCCTTTTAAGTTATGCCTAACAAGGTCTTTTACTTACTGTTTGGTATAAAGTATTACATTTTAATTGAAATTGGTATATCATAAATACCTGTGTTTGAATAATATACAAGATAAAGAACTTTGACTATTTGATATTTTTGCGTATGGTTTTTATTCCTATGCATTGCTTTTTTATATATTATCAAAAGATATAGTCTTTGGGGTTTAAAAATGAAAAACTGGGTTGTATACATGTTAGCAAATTGCTTATATCTGCTTTTTTTTTTTAAGCTTATAAGATTTCTAAGGTTTTATTATTTCAGATTAGCAGTGCTTTACAATTCTTGTGGAAACGTTGAATTTTCTGCTTTAATACTTTTGGTTATATTTTATTTGTTAGATAATTAAGATGATCCTAAATTTTAAAAATACTATGTGGTAAATATAAGCTTAAATGTTAAATAGATTATTATATTTTCATAGTGAAATGCAGATAAATATGGACAGTATTGAAGATATTTCATGTTGGGTGAAAAGTCTAAATTGTACATCAAATAGAAATAAGAAAGAAAATTAGAAAAATAAGTTAGCTACCTAGTTTCTGTTTTGAAATTCATGTAATTAATTCAAGAGATCAATTTGTATCTTTCAGTCTGTTTACTTTCTTTATTACAGAAGTGTCATTGTTGCAGCAAAAAAGTCAGCAGTCTCACCTTCCACCTTTAATACAAGCATACCTACCAATGCTGTCAGTGTGGTTTCCTCAGTAGATTCAGCCCAAGCCTCAGATATGGGAGGAGAATCACCAGGTGAGTTAGTTATCAGTGATTTCAACAAAAATGTTTTTAGATCTCATTTTAGCAACGCTTAAGATTTTTGATTAACTTAAAATTTGGGGGCACATTAGAAACCATTGTACTTTTATACTGTTGATTGTTTACTACTTTTCTGAATAAATTTGAGTAAAATTAAAAGAAATTAAGTCAAGGATTTCACTATTTTCTCCACTCAAACCTAGTAGTGTGTGGTAGATTAGATGCTGCTAGTTGGGTAGATGAGTGCATGGATGAATGATAGATTCATAAAAATATTTTTTTCCTTTATTTTCTTTCCCTGCACTTAAGAAGATGTATATAGATAGTGGCCTAAATAAGAAAGTCTTGTTGACATGTAATCTTTTAATGTGGTTACTGGTTGTCAAATATTTTGGACTGTACAAAAAAAAAATATTTATATAGTGTCCAATACTTTGTTTTTTTTGGCATATTTTTTTGAATTAGAGGCTTGGAAAGGAATGCTGCTCTGAAGTGTAGCATCATTCTAACAATGGTCATACTGGTTCATTTCCTCCTATAGCACTTTTATTTTTGTCCATCTCTCCTTCTACATTCTTTCCATGTTTAAAAGCATATATATGGATAAAAAATTATTTCCATGTATAAAAGCATATATATGGATGCAAGATCCTATACATTGATGGGAAGCTTAATGGTGATACTGGGTAAACTTGAATAATGTGAAGAATGTGCAGTATTAAAATGACCAAGTATAACAAAAGGGATGTTACTGTATCAGTGGTTTTCTTCTGGATATTTTGCTGTTTCTTAAAGTTAATAACAAGATATTGTACCTACCAAAACACTCATCTTATGATTCTAGGTTGAGATTGACGGAAAATAAAGGAATTTTGAAGGAATGGCCTGGTGGATTATATTGAGATCAGAAATAATGCCGTTACTTCTTTTGGGATATCTCAGGCCAGGGTTTGCCTTCTATTCTGCTGTTCCACCTTTATTTGGCAAATTAGCATATCTTGGAGAGTTTTGTTCCAAACTTGATATTGCTACTGGCCAGTAGCTGGGAATTTTTTTCCTTGATGTGTACTATGTAATCATGTATCCTAGAAACAAATACTATGTTTATTTCTTTTGTCTTCTCTTTTATTTGTTATTGTGCTTGTGTTAACAAAAATACATTTTATAAGAAGTTTTAAATGTATTTAATTTTTTTACAAATTTTATAGTATTTAGTGAATAGAGAAAATGTTCCAGTAGGTTAAGTAAAAGAAAGTTATATGCAATTCTTTACGTACTGTATAATTACAACCAAGTGACTTATCTACCTTCTTTACATGGTAAAAGCAAGAAAGTGTATTATGAAGTCATTTGGATCTCCATGAAGTTGGGCTACTGGCAATTTTGATTTTCGAAATTTACTTTAGGTGGCATTTCTAACATTTAATTAATAGTCTTGTATTATTTTTATTCTTAGGAAAAATAGTGATTAGAATTTTTTTTCTAGTTTGAAACCAAAAGCTGCGATGGTAGCAGAGTTTTGTCTGCCTTGCTTTTTATTTTATAATTTTTTCCAAAAATTAATAGACTTTATTTTTTAGATCAGTTTTAAGTTTACAGGAAAATTGAGTTTGAAGTACAGAGAATTCTCAAATACCCTGTCATTCTCTCCCTCGCTGGTTTCCCCTGGCCCAGTGAGAATTACAAAGGAAAATGGGCATGAAACTCTAGCAAATTTTTCATCTTTATTGTTCCATTATACTCTGATGCCTCTTTTTTTTTTTTCCTTTGGAGAAGAAATAATTTGGTAATTCATTTGGAGCTGGGTATGCACATTTCCGCTTCTCCACCCCCATCCAAAGTCCTTTAAAAAAAAAGAATCAACTGTGGTTTTTCTAGAGTAGTCCCTTTTGTGAAAAATGCAATAGTTATTAATATCTATGAAATGATTTACCTGCCGTCTTTTAAATTCAGGTATAGTAAATTTTTCATTAACATCCAAAATCAAATGTAGTTTCAGAAATTCAAAGTACATTGAGTAAAATATTTTCTTATACTGCCCTCTAGTTTCAGTTTAGGAACAGAGGAAATAGGACCCTTTGATTGCTTTTAAGTCTATTCTTTAAAATTTAAGTCTTGGAGTTTTCAGAAGAGATAAGAAACAGCTGAGACATATGGGTAATATTTTACATGTAACAGTATTATACATTTCTCTCTGAAACCATTGTATTTTTTCCAATAAATTCATTGTAATTTAAAATATTCACTTTGAAAAACTGTATGCAGAATTATAAAACAATTTGCTATCTTGAAGACTGTTACATTTATTGGCAAAATCTACAAAACCCTATACCATTGATCCAGCTCATAATGTATCTTATTTTTCTATTGTTTAAATTTTGTATAATTTGTGATGGAGTTTCTCAAATAGTTACCAATTTTTTTTTCCATCTTGAGCTAGAATTTTAAACTTTTTTCCCCTCCTTAGCCCCCCCCATTTTTAAAAAAACAGTTATTGCTTTTTCAGTTATTTCAAGTCTTCCTTGTGATGATGGTCTTTCTGTTTACCATTTGTTTTGGTTTCCACATCTGACTCTTCTTTTTCCTCTTTCACTGTGTTCTTGTTACTGTCATATGGGTTCTCTATTTCAGTGTATTGCTTCTATTTTATTCCGTTAATTGATGCCATGAACATTACTGCCTTGATAAGAAAAATCTAACCTAATCTAGTGTTTTTGGTTGTCCTGCTTCTTACTCTTCTGCCGCCCCACTTTACATGCTTTTGCCTACTATACTTGCCCTTGTACTTGTTAGTACTCATTTTCACATGGAAACTACCCCAACCTCCCAAATAGTTCTCTTTCCCTTGTCAGTATTTTTTTAACTGTTAAATTTTTGTTTTCTTTTTGGTGGGTCTCTCGATTTAAGTTATCTGCCATTAAAATAAGTAGATAAATATATAGATGGTTCCATCTTAACAATTTTTTGACTTTATAATGGTGTGAAAGCAATACACATTCAGTAAAAACTGTACCTCAAGTATCCGTATGACCATTCTATTTTTCACTTTCAATACAATATTTAGTAAATTATGTGATATATCCAATACCTTCTTATAAAATAGGCTCTGTTAAATGCATTTGTGACTTAGAATATAGATGCTCCTTGACTTATGATGGGGTTACATCATGATAAACCATTGTAAGGTGAAAATATTGAAAATTGAAAATGCATTTAATGCACCTAACTTACCAAACAACATAGCTTAATCTACCCTATCTTAAATGTGCTCAGAACACTTACATTATCCTACAGTTGGGCAAAAAATTTACTTGATAGAAAATATGAAGTTTCTTCTGTGACATTCATATTTTCTGTTATATATTCACATGATATCTTCAAGGAAATTCCCATTTGTGGATATTTGGAAATTTTGATATCAAAATGAGACACATTTTACATGTGGTACAATTAAAGAGAAACTAGTACTAGATAGATAATAATCACAGAAACAGAGTTAAAACTTGCCAGCTTTATATGAGGTCCAAGCTTTTTCTATGAAAATATTATCACTGAAAAATTTTATAACCCATAAAAATTGAGAATTTGTTTGCATTTTGAAATAGTATACATTATTAAGACTGTAATTAACATACAAAACTTTTTTGGTGTACAAATTTCAAATTTCAAATTTTAATTTGAATAGTATACCTTAGCTTATGCAGCATTTTATCAACCAAAAGGACTAGTCTAAGAGCAACAATTGTATCTTCTAATTAATAAGTATTAAAAGATATTCATCAGAGGATAAGGCATATCCTTGTATATGCATGTTTTCAAAGAAAAGCGAAAGTGATTTTAGTAAATATATCAAAATCTAGAAATTTTATAGTCATCAGCAAAGATCTGATTACCTAGAATACAGTATCCTTTCTTTTTTCTTTTCTTTCTTTCTTTCTTTCTTTTTTTTTTTTTTTAATTGAGACAGGGTCTGTCTTTGTTTCCCAGGCTGGAGTGCAGTGGCACAATCATAGCTCAACTGCAGCCTTGAACTCCTGGGCTTGAGTGATCCTCCTGCTTCAGCTTCCCAAGTAGCCAGAACTACAGGTGTGTGTCACCATTCCTGGCTAATTTTAAAATTTTTGTAGAGACAGAGTCTTGTTCTATTGCCCAGACAAGCCTTGAAGTCCTGGCTTCAAGTGATCCTTCCACTTTCACCCATATCCCTTCTTGTATGTTAAAATATCATTATTCTTTTTCCAATATGCTGTTTCTCTATATTGCAAAGCATAAATGAATAAATCAAAATTGAAACTAGCTCAATAGTGGAACTAAGTATACTGTTCACTAATTTATATGCCTGGTGTTTGCTATTTTGCAAAATTTAGTAATTCTACCACTTACTAGAATATTAGACAGTATCTGTTTATCAGAGCCATATACATTATTAATTAGTACTTTTTTAATATTAGGGAAATATTTGAGTCATAACCATCTTTGCTTTGTGTAAGATTTAGGCCAATAGGCTTATTTTTATTCATTCAATAGGATTTGTTTAATTAGTTTTTACTGGGCATGTAGACTATCCCAGGCTGAATTAACTGGTTCAGAAAAGAGAGAGAGAAATGCAGTGCTAAAGTGTTTAGGGGTTAAAAATTGGCATTTGTTTTAATGATTCTTTATTGCAAGGGACATTAGTTATTTAGACCCGCAGGGACCTTAAATAAACAATTGCCTACTCCCCAGATAGATGCTAGACAGATGATATATTTGCATTTTCCTTTTTGTTCTTTTGAATGTCTGGAAAACTGTCAGTTAGAAGGAGCCAGTTTATCAGTGCTAGGATAAGGAAAAGATAAGTGAGTATCATTCCACATGTAGGAGGTAGCTTCTGCATTTATGTATTTGTGATCATTTGCTGGAAATATTTAATGATAATTTAAAACAAATTGATTGAAAGTTTATATTTTTACCTGAGTTGAAAAAATACAGAATGTGTTTGGATATTACATTTTTTTCCACAGCAGGAATGGAGGACAACCTAGTGTGAAATTACTGGTGTATTTAGTTTATTCTTTCATGTGATTTTTTTCTTATAACTATTGCTGGTTAATTTATTATCCGTGTTGGTAAAGTGTCTTCTTATGACTTAAGACACTGTAAAAAATCTCTTTCTGCTATATTCTCTTTTAGAATTGAAAATTGGCATTACTTCTAGGGTAGTGTGAGGAAATAATTTTTGTTACTGCTTTATTTAGAAGTAACAATGTTGCTTTTCTTTTTCACATTTCTAATATGCATTTCTCATTAAAATTAGTATCATTTAGCACAGTGGGCAGGGTGTGGTGATTTACACCTGTAGTCCCAGCACTTTGAGAGGCTGGGGTGGAAGAATCACCTGAAGCCAGGAGTTCAAGACTAGCCTGGACAACAAAGTGAGACCTTATCTCTACAAGAAATTAAAAAAAATTAGCTGAACGTGGTGGTACATGCCTGTAATCTCACCTACTCAGAAGGCTGAGACAGGAGGATTACTTGAGTCCAGGAACTCAGGGCTGTGGTGAGCTATGATCACACCAGTACACTCCAGCCTGGGCAATAGAGCAAGACCTCGTCTCTTAAAACAAAAAACAAAAAACCCAATAAACCAGTTAACACAGTAAAGACTAATTTTGCCTAAAGCCTCATGCACACCCCCTTTTTTTTTTTTTCCTAAAGCCTCATGCATATGTTTTCTGGGGAGGGATTTATTTTTTCCATTTCTACTTTTAAGTAAATGGGTCCTTATGTGTTCCTTTGTATTAGCTTCAGAAAAGCTCAAGAAAATCCATCAATAATCCTAATAGAGAAAATGTCTGATACATTGCAATAAAAATGGTCTTCAAAAACTATCACCAATTAAGAAAACAGAACTATTTAATTAATCACTGGTAACAGTCAATGACCCACTGTGATTCAGTGATCATATAGTTGTCAAGAACTTAGAAAATTGCAGGTGTCATTTACTGAGTTTAATAAAGCCATTGGGTCTGTGAAGTACTTTACTGAGTGTTGTATATGATTTTAGGATTGGACCTGACTCTTAGAAGTGCCAGATACCAAAGGGTGAAAAAATGTTTTTGAACTTCCCTGGTCTTGCCCTCTAATTTGAAATTTTATTGTGAAAAACACAAAAATAGCAATATTTTTATGATGAAATGTGAATTGATATTTATGCTTTTAAAAATTGTCACAATGGGCTGGGCATGGTGACTCACACCTATAACCCTCGCACTTTGGGAGGCCAAGGCCAAAGGATTGCTTGAGACCAAGAGTTCGAGACCCGCCTGGGCAACATAATGAGACCCTGTCTCTACAAAAAAAATAGAAAATAGCCAGGTGTGGTGGCATCCACCTATATTCCCAGCTACTTGGGAGGCTGAGGCAGGAAGACGGCTTGAGTCCAGGAGTTCAAGGCTGCAGTGAGCTCTGATCACACCACTGCACTCCAGCCTGGGTGAGAGAGCAAGACCCTCTCTCAAAAAAAGAAAAATAAAAAATAATTGTCAGCATGATGAAGTGTGTGCTTTAGCTTCATTTTTAAACGAATCCTATGCGTCCTGACCAACAGTCACTTGGTTAGAGTTTTTAGGTACAGTTAGATCTCAGTTGAGCAGGATGGTGAGGAAGGCAGGACTGTAAGCAATACAAAACTTCCGGTATATAAAGGAAAGTCAACTTTGATTATCAAGGGAATGGGAAAGGAAATATGTTGTGGAAAAGAAAGATTAACTACAGTTAAGTTCATTTTGTACTAGGTATGTGCTCACTCTAAGGGGTGGGCTCAGTAATTATCCAGAGGTTAATTGTGGAAGATTGCTGCATTGCCTGCTTTCCAAAAGGAACCAAGCTTGTTGGGGGGCCAAATTGTCTAGATTTTTGGATCCTTAGATTTGACTGAGACCTGGTAATCAGAACTGAGGGTTATTGATCAAGTACTGCCTAAAAACCAAGCATGTTTCAGGAAAGTTCAAAATTGCCTCAGATCCTTGCTGTTTTTTATTCAGTTATATCCACAAATCTTCTGATTAGGTCCTGGCTATGCTTATCTATATCCAGAATTAACCTTATTTGCCTTACCAAAAAGAGCACATTGAATCAGAATTCCTAGATACAATTGAAGTGAGCTTGAGGAAGTTCTGGGAGTGGTGTGAAGCAGAGGGAAGTATCGTATCGTATCGTATCGTATCGTATCGTATCGTATCGTATCGTATCGTATCGTATCGTATCGTATCGTATCGTATCGTATTTTAAGACAGGGTCTTGCTTTGTCACTCAGGCTAGAATGCAGTAGTGCAGTCTTGGCACACTGCAACCTCTGCCCTCTAGGCTCAAGTGATCCTTGAGCTGGGACCTAGCTGGGACCACAGGCACACACAACCATTCCTGGCCACTTTGTTGTATTTTTAGTAGAGACGGGCATTGCTGTGTTTCACAGGCTAATCTTGAACTCCTGAGCTCAAGCAGTCCTCCTGTCTTGGCCTCCCAAAGTGTTGGGATTACTGGCGTGAGCCACTGCACCTGGCCAAAAATGGCAATTCTTTTTTTTGAGACGGAGTTTCACTTTCTTACCCAGGATGGAGTACAATGGTATTTGATCAGTGGGAGCCCCTTCAAGCTGGCTTCATTGTCCTTTGACATAACCTTATTCCTTGTATATATCTTATCATTCCTTGCTTTCTACAAAGCATAACTAGATGTTTCAAACTCATTTTGTGCTTTTCTTACACAGATCTTGAATCAGCCATTTCTTTCTTTTAGTGGAGTATAGTATTTAGAAACCAAGATCTGGACACCAAGTGTTAAGATGCTGCTGCTTCCGTGTCCTCTTAGTGGACAGAGCTAGAGGCAGTGTGTGTGTTTGTGTGTGTGTATGTTTGTATATAAAAGTCTATAAAAATATATACTGTCATTCACATATTATTTCCATCCTTTATTGGAACCATGAATTCATATAGATATGAATTCTACAATTCTCAGTTTTCTCTTTTCCTTGGATTTCCTCCTCACACTGGCTCCAATAACTTTCTCTGGGCCAACACAACCTCCAGCCTGATGCAGATGCTTTCCTTGATGTGTTTCTAATCACTTTTGGACTGAAAGATTCAACAATCTTTGGGAAAGAGGGCCCTTATTCTCTTTAAAGCATAGTGTTTTTGTATTTGGGGCATAAGGGGAAAATAACTGATAATAGTTGTGATACAAGATTACAGATTCTCAGAGATCTAGGCTTCTAACCCTGATTACATTTATTGCTACAATTTAGTCCTTTAGTAGTGATTTGATAACTGAATACGGATAGTTTTCATGGTAATGGAGGTTTAAAGCTAAATTTGGAATGTAGCTGTTTCTGTGTTTTTGCTATGTTAAGAAAATGCTTTTACTTGTAACTTTCTGTTGACACTTGGTGTTGAGTAGAAGGAATTGTGAACCTTATTTAGGGAGTCAGAATTTACTTTTCTCTTGCTTCTTCAGCTCATGGATAGAAAGATTGCTCTGGCATGATAATTGAGCTTGTAGCTGAGGTTTATATATGAAAGCATTTAGTTGTTAATTGTTAGATTTTAATGTTATCCAAATAGTAATGGACATAAAAATACGTTATAATGCTTTTATTGACTGGTATAATGACATTCTTTTTATTTAAATCTTCATATCTAAAAGCAGAAAATTCCTATAGATGGTTATTTTTCTTTTATAGGCAGTAGATCATCTAATGCAAAATTGCCCTCAGTTCCAACAGTTGATTCAGTTTCACAAGATCCGGTTTCAAATATGAGGTATTTAAGCTACTAACTTGAATATTGTGATTTATACCTTTTGATGACTTTTTAAGCTATCTAGGTTTATTTTACTTCGTTTCATTTCATTTCATTTCATTTCTTTCTTTCAACATATATGACATTTAGAGGCTTGGGAACATTTTAGAAGTTCATTTTCTTTTGAAAGATTATAAGATGTACAAGTCATTTGATGATGTACAAGTCATTTCATGATGTACAAGTCACTTCATGAGAAGTGACTATTTGTGGTAAAAAAATAATTGCTGCATGCATAACAAATATTTACATAAGCTTATGACTTTCTTTCAAATGATTGCAAATTGAAAGTGTGGAATTTGTTGTTTCTCCTCTATAAAATACTGATATAGGCCAGGTGCGGTGGCTCACGCCTGTAATCCCAGCACTTTGAGAGGCTGAGGCAGGCGGATTACTTGAAGTCAGGAGTTCAAGATCAGCCTGGCCAACATGGTGAAAACTCATCTCTACTAAAAATATTAAAAAAAATTAGCTAGGTGTGGTGGTGCACACCTTTAGTCCCAGCTACTCGGGATGCTGAGGCAGGAGAATCACTTGAACCCGGGAGGCAGAGGCTGCAGTGAGCCGAGATCGCACCACTGCACTCCAGCCTGGGAGACAGAGTGAGACTCCATCTCAACAACAACAACAACAACAACAACAACAACAACAAAATGCTGATATAAGTGATAGCCAGTCAGCCAAAGCCACAATAATACTGAATTGTAGATAGATTTTTATTGTTACTTACCTTGTTTAATTGGGTTTCAGAGTTTAATTTCGAATGCTTTGAGTGTATTTTCCACCACTGGAGACTTAGTGTCCAGAGAGTCCTTGATTTTCTTTACCACAATTGGGAAATCCATTAGACACTACAAATGTAGGTACTTGAGTGCTTCGAGTATAGCTAGTATTTGTGATACTCTTCAGGGATAACAAGTTCTATGAGTTGTGTGGAAGAAAATAGTATTTAGAGCAGTGCCTGTGAGGAGATGGTTATTCACAGCAAAAATTTATATATGTTTGTGTTGATAGTTTCAGTAGCAACTGTCTTCTTGGTAGTATGAATAGGAAGTACTCCTAGTGTTAATAGTAGATAACTAGTGGCTCTTTATGTATATGTTTAATTTGTAAGTTAGAAACTAAAGCTGTGGATATCTGTGAATTATCTGAAATGCTGGGGACCTTAAAAAAAAAACCCTCATTAAATGTATCTGTGTATGTATACATGAATACATGTATATATAATCACAAATATATATTAATATATTTTTATATATTTATAGGTACATTTACAACTATCTCAGTTTATTAATAAATATAACTATCAACCAAATGATAGTTTTGTTATAATGTGCCTATAAAGTATATTATTTTCAGGAGAAAAATCATTCACATTGCATTAGAAAGGAATAATTGACTTCAATAAAAAAGAACTGCTTTTTATAATTTATAAGCACTCAACGTCTGTTGAGTCTATACTATATGCTATAACTGTGAATTTTAAAATGAAGTCATGGTTCTTGAACTCAGTGTGCTAATGGTTTAGTGGTAAATAGAAAAATTTGTTGAAGACTTGATGAGAGTTTGTTTAGATTATAATGGGCCTAAAAACAAACTGCTCTTAACTGGCCAGGTGAGACTTGTAGTAAGTACTGATGCTTGGAGTGGTTGTTAACCAGGTTGTTTGTTGGAGATTGTAGGGGCAAGATAGATCAGGATAAAAACGAATATTTTTGGCAGAAGGACTGCTATGCATAGCAGTAATGTCTCTTTAGGTGATTTTTAATTTTTTTAAATAATTATATATATATATGGAAATACATCTTTATTTTCAAAACTAGAAAATTGATACAATCTGTTGAATAGTTCAAGTAACTTAATGTCTTTTCCTTAGTATTACAGAGAGGCTTGAACACGCTTTGGAAAAGGCAGCTCCTCTCCTTCGTGAGATTTTTGTGGATTTTGCACCTTTTCTTTCTCGGACACTTTTGGGTAGCCATGGACAAGAACTGCTTATAGAAGGAACAAGTAAGTGGTTTTTCTTTATTTTATTTGTATGTATTTATATTTCAGGATTAAAAACTTACATGGATAATGAAATAACATGGAGTTTCATTGTTTAAGTGTTGTCAGCCTTTGACAAGGTTTCTCATAGGCTATCTTTTGAAGACTGTGTCACATGTCTATTATGTTGTAATCTTCAAGATTTTTATCAGTGATTTGGATGGAGCGTAGAATTATGTGTTGAACCAAAGAACTAAGACTTTTTTTTTTTTTTGATACATTAAAATTAATTTTGAGAGCAAAGAATTGGAGAGACTAGTGTCACAGGATTTTACTTGAACTTAGATCCATATGAACAACAATGTATTGCCACACAGATAAGGAATGCATTGTTATTTGTAGAATTCTGTTTTACAAATAGAGATAACAGCATTTTACTCTATACTGCTTACGTCATTCATAGATTCCTGGGTCTCTTCTAGGTAGTGTACTTTGAGATTGTCAAACTAGATAGCATGCTGAGGTAGGTTGCTGAGGGGATTGGAAACCATGCTATTTATGGAGTGGATGAGGAATAATGGGTCCTTTCCTTCTCCTTCTCCTTTCCTTTCCTTTCGTTTCTTTTCCTTTCCTTCTCCCTTCCTTTCCTTTCCTTTCCTTCTCCTTCTCCTTTCCTTTCCTTTCCTTTCTTTTCCTTTCCTTTCCTTTCCTTTCCTTTCCTTTCCTTTCCTTTCCTTTCCTTTCCTTTCCTTCTCCCTTCCTTTCCTTTCCTTTTCCTTTCCTTCTCTTTCTCCTCCTTCTCCTTTCCTTTCCTTTCCTTTCCTTTCCTTTCCTTTCCTTTCCTTTCCCTTTCCTTCCTTTCCTTTCCTTTCCTTTCCCTTCCTTTCCTTTTCCCTTCCTTTCCTTTCCTTTTCCCTTCCCTTCCTTTCCTTTCCTTTTCTTTCCTTCTCCTTCTCCTTTCCTTTCCTTTCCTTTCCTTTCCTTTCCTTTCCTTTCCTTTCCTTTCCTTCTCCTTTCCTTTCCTTTCCTTCTCGTTTCCTTCTCCTTTCCTTCTCCTTTTCCTTTCCTTTCCTTTCCTTCCTTCCTTCCTTCCTTCTGCCTTCCTTCCTTCCTTTTTTTTTTCTTTTTGCGCATGGAGCATTGCCATGTAGTGAGTGCCTTCGAATATTAGAGAGAGTGACTTAACCAAGTGAAAGTAGATTTACCGTAAATTTCCTCAGAAAACAGATTGCAGTTCAATAGAGGATAATTTCTTAAATAATGAGTTGAAGAGTTTATCAGACTGACTTCAAAATACCAATCTTCATCTTCGTACCTAGGATTTATTTTTTATTTTATTTTGTTTTTGAAGAGACAGAGTCTTGCTTTGTTGTGTAGGCTGGAGTGCAGTGTACTGGCAAGATTGAACCCTACCTTGGCCTTCTGAGTTGCTGGGATTACAGGTGTGAGCCACTGCACCTGACCTCATAACTAGGATTTTTTAAGGTGAAGCTACAGGGCTTTTTATAAATGATGATATAGAATTAATTTTTGCATTCAAAAGTGCTTGGATTAGGTGGTTGCTAAATCTGGCTTTTTTTGGGCCCGTGATTGATGGTTTAGGATAATATACTTGTATTCTCCTCAAACTGAAAAATCATGGGAATGACACTCCCATCTGTATTCCAGTGTCTTTAAGTATCAACTGGCAGCTTTAGTTATTGTAATCTTTTGTTGACTAACAGTAGCTAGGAGATGGTCTGAGGAATTTTTTAAAAACCTGTGAAAAAGCATCTCTCTTGTAGCAATAAGGATATAATGGAAATGCAAGGTTATAGGTAGGCTAATAGTTTAAGATATCTATATTTGAGTATTAACTGTGCAATATGAGCACTTCGTTTGACCCTTACAATATCAGTAGGTACATATGAAGCTTTAGTTAGGAATTTCATCTCTTCTATAGATGTAAATGGAGTTGGTGATGAGCGATATTATTTTCATGCAGTCAAAAAGTAACAATGAGTTTATTTGAAAAAGAAAGTTCAGATTTTAGAAGTACTTAAGTTTGGAATAGCAATTTCCTTAGATCTATTGAAGGATATAATTTATTTAGCTATGAACTATTTGATGAAGTAATGAATGACTTTTACTTATGAAGTAATATAATTGGAAAAAAATTGAATTTTAAAAATTGAAGAGTCTATATTTCAGGGCTTTTCCCTAATTTATGTTTCATATATGAAACTTTTTTTTTAAATGGTGTAACAACTTATGAACTATGTTTAATTTTATTACAGTGAGTAAGATGTATGTATTAAATACAGCCTCTCAGTATTGCAAGACATTGTTGCTTATTGGTCTTTGAATTTTATAGCAGATAACAAGATAGGATCATGTTAAATACCCAGAAGCATTAGCAATGGACACTTCTATATCCCTGAACAAAATTTAATTTAGAATGATTTTTTACCAATAAATTTTGGTAAAATTGTAAGAAGGAAGAAGGTGTACTATTGCTCATGTATAAATTTGAGCAGTGCCTATTCATTGATGATGTTCATAAAAATAGCAAACAAATCTAAGAGTTCTTATGTAACTTATGTATTTTATGTTGTGAGGAATGTTTTGGATTGTGGTTTCATGTACTGTAAAACAGAAAGGATTTAAAAAGAGGTGATTGTGCCATAGTACTGTATAAGCAGCATAATACTGTACAAAAAGCATTAATATAAAAGGCAGGAGACTTTGGTTTTCATTCTGTCCTTGCCAGTGACTAGCTGTGTGACCAAACATTACAAAGCTTCTTAATTTTTAAAAAAATGCTTATGAGTTTTTTAGTATTAAAAATATTTTAATGAAAATTTCAAATTTTCACAAAAGTAGTAAGTATAGTATCTATGAACTTATTACCAGCTATCCAAACCATATTCATTTTTCCATAATTATTTGATATCTCTACTTCCCTTTATTTTGCTTTAATATTTAAAACTATCTTAGATATTTAAAACTATCTTAGATGTCATGTCATTCAACCCTTGAATACTTAATAGCATGTAAAAAAAGACATTTTCTTACATAATCACAATGCTGCTATTACACCTAATAATAGTAATAGTTTCTTAATGTCGTCTAATACCCAGCCCATATTTATCTTTAAGAAATATATATGTTTATATAGACATATATATATTTGTGTGTGTATATATGTGTGTGTGTGTGTGTGTGTGTGTGTATATATATTTTTTTTTTGTTTGTTTTTGTTTTTGTTTTTAGTTTTTTTTTTTTTTTTTTTTGGAGACAGAGTCTCACCGTGCCACCCAGGCTGGAGTGCAGTGGTGCGATCTTGGCTCACTGCAACCTCTGCCTCCCGAGTTCAAGCAATTCTTGTGCCTCAGTCTCCCTAGTAGCTGTGACTACAGGCATGTGCCACCAAGCTGGCTAAATTTTGTATATTTTGTAGAGATGGGGTTTCGCCACATTGCCCAGGCTGATCTCAAACTCCTGACCCCGAGCAGTCCTCCGGCCTTGCCTCCCAAAGTGCTGGGATTACAGGCCTGAGCCACTGCGTCTGGCCATATGCCCTGTATATTTTGAAGACTTGAAGTTAAAGCTAAAAGTTAAATTAGATGTAATATTTCATATTACATCATGCCTGGAATCACCTGTAGCCTGATTGTCTCAATTGTAATGATGTTAATTAACCCTCTTTTTCAAGTAGTTATAACCCTTTGTAAGGATTAATTTTTCTAAAGAGATTTTCCAAAGAACAAAGAGAACACAAGCTTGAAAATTTTAAATTATGTCTTACAATTATTATATGTGAGTTCACTGGATCCTTTTTATAAATATGATTAATTATAGTCTTAGTGATCTTATTTTTTCTGTATCTTGAAACATTTTGCTATTTCACTATTACACATCAGCTATTCTTTACTATGCTGTGGACTAAAATTAAAAAAAAAAAACCCACGAATGCTAGAATTGCACTTGGAGTGATGGTGCAATAGGAAAAGAAATAATTACTCTTGTTTATTAGCCTCTGTCGTTGTATTGCTTTACCCAAAATTTTGCACTGTGGTTTTTTTTTTTTTTTTTTGAGACTGAGTCTCACTCCTACACCCAGACTGGAGTGCAATGGTGTGATCATGGCTCACTGCAGCCTTGTCTTCCTGGGCTCAGTTGATCCTCCCACCTTAGCCTCTCAAGTAGTTGGGACTACAGGCGCATGTCACCATGCTCGTCTAATGTTTTAAAAAATTTTATTGATTTATTTATTTATTTATTTATTTATTTATTTATTTATTTATTTATAGAGATGGGTTTTGCTGCGTTGCCCAGGCTGTTCTTGAACTTCTGGCCTCAAGTGATCCACCCGCCTTGGCCTCCCAAGATGTTGGGATTACAGGCATGAGCCACTGCACTCTGCCTGCACTGTGTTTTAAGAAAGTATAAACTTGCAGTCTCAATGGGGCAAAAACTTTTTTTGGGGTAGGCAAAAAATATCTTAGATATTACAATGGTTTGTGACCCTCCAAAGGGTCACAGTATCTCTGTACACTCTATGAGCATGTTATTTAGCAGGAAGGACTTCATTGTGCTTAGTTTGTGTGATAACTTGAGACAAGAACCTGGGCCATCCCATTTTTCTAAAAAGACGTGTGGCGGTGTTCTTCCGTCTTGTGGGATGATTATGTACCACAGTTTACTTGATACAGTTTCTAAGTAGATAAATGCTAAAGGCAGGTGTGCATACAATGATGACTAGAAGGAAAAGTTTATATGGAAATAAAAAATTCAGTGGATTGATTATTCTAAATGTTTGCAAATCTGTACAAGAAAATATTTTGCAAGTCTCAAGCAAAGAAGATGTCTGTCCTCTTTAACAAAATTTTTAGTCATCCAATTTTTCCAAAATGTTGGATTGGATGATATAAATTCAGGAAGGAAAACCAGAATTTATGATAAGCTAGAGCCTATTAAACATGTATTTGAAATTTCGACTTAGTGTTTTCAAGATGGTTGTGTTTCAGATTCATCATGAGCATTTAGTTTTATCTAAAAGATAATGCTCATTTGGAGTATATGTATATACCTTCAAAACCAGGAAAATATGGAGTAAAACTTCTTGAGTTTATTATCCTTAAATTCTTATTAAAGTTTCTCATAATGTTTATTGCCATCCTATTTTAAAAAATAAATTATTTAAGGTGACTTAAATACAAAAAACAAGAGGGCTCTTATATTCCAGATAGTAAATAGTCATGACTATTTTTTCATTGTATACTTGAGGATTTAGATAGATCGATGGGTTTAGGTGGCACTGGCTTACTGTCTGGTGAGTCATTTAATCCTTTCACTGAAGTGATATATCTGGGTGAGTCTCCACTGAAGAAATTACAGTGGTCTTTGATCATAAAATTCCAGATTAGTGCAGATATAAAACTCTTGGCTTGGTATCCTGAGTTTGTCCTTTTGAAAAGACTAACATTTTCTACCTTTGAAAAGCCAACCAAAAAATAATCAAACCAAACCCTATTATTCTACTATTCTACTGAGAGTTTTAGAGAGGTCAGATTGTGAGCTGGTTCAAATCTGTAAGCTTGCAGTACTTCGTTTCTTTTGATTGAGACAGTAATAGGGTGTGTGTGTTTGTGGGTGTATAAAATGAAAATGATAGTTCTGGCAGTAACTTACAACTTGACTTTAAGGTTTTAGGGCCTTCCTTTGGATGTTCTTAGAGTATGACTAAATCTGAAGAGAGATTTACAGGTTTATTATTTGTTTTTTTGCACATGTGATGAGTGTCATCCATTGGCAAAAATTTAGGTCAAAAATAGAAGTGACGTAAGTTCTACATTTTGATGTTAAGTTCCTTATTGGGGCTATCCTCTATTTCTTTGCTCCCAATGTTATTTTTGTGTTTACAGTACCAGTGTCCTTTAGACAGGGAACTTAAGGTCTGTTATCAGGTCTCTCTTGTTTTCTGAAGCCCTTACTCATTCGAATTGAACATACTTTCCACCCTGCCCCTGCAATACATCTACCATCACTCTCCTCCACCTTAATTGTTCAAACCGAACTATGAAATGTTATTTGACCTTTTACTAGCTTTGTCAGTGAATATATTTTTTCCTGAATATTCATATCCAACTAGAAAGTAGCTATGAACCTTCTTCTGGTTTGTTAGCCTTTATTATTGGAAAATAAGACTGAAATAAATAAACAGAAATGTGTATGTGTGAAATTTTTCTTAAGACTATATAGGTATATGGGCCAGGTATGGTGGCTCACGCCTGTAATCCCAGCACTTTGGGAGGCCAAGGTTGGCGAATCACCTGAGGTCAGGAGTTCGAGACCAGCGTGGCCAACATGGTGAAACTCCGTCTCTACTAAAACTACAGAAATTAGCCAAGTGTGGTGGTGGGCGCCTGTAATTCCAGCTACTCGGGTGGCTGAGGCAGGAGAATTGATTGAACCTGGGAGGTGGAGGTTGTGGTGAGCTGAGATCGTGCCATTGCACTCCAGCCTGGGTGACAGAGCGAGACAACGTCTCAAAAAATATATATATATGTATATGTATGAAATATGATAAGTGTGGTAAGAGGGACAAAGGAGCACCTATAAATCTCCCTAATTTTGGATAGCTTAAGGTCTTTTTTAAAATTACTATTTTTCATTATCTGAAGAGATGTATAATAAAAGGGCCCATCAGGGCCCAATGGCAGGAATTCTAGTTTCTCTCGAATAAAGCAATAAGGATTAATGACCTAATAATAGAAAGATCTGAATTTACTTTCTGGAAATAATGGGTTTTGAAGTTGGAGCAAAACTGAACTTCTTTTATTATCTGGGTTAAATTTAAGGAAAAATGGCAAGGTTTCAGACCAGCAGAGGGCTACACCTGCAGTAAGAGAGGGAGTATTGCTTGCCTTTTCTTTTGGCCTTGACAGCATTAGCCTGAAGAGCCATGTTCATCTTCGCCCTACAGAAATCACACTGTAGTTAATAATTTGCTTCCTAATACAATATAGAGACATTCTATAGCTAATTTTCTTGCCAGTGCTGACACTGTTACCATCATTTCTATGTTACATATTTTTTCAGACATTGAGAAAAATGGTTCTAACATTTTTTAAAAAACGAAGGGGGTGAACAGCCCTTTTAACTTGAATGCTATTTATAAAGCTAAAAAATGCCAACATGCGCTATCATTAGGTTGGAAGCATTCGTATTTAAACGGGGAAGGAGAAAGAACTAAAGAATAAAAAGACAAAGGGAATGGATAGGGTACCTGGAAGAGTTTTCTTCGGGAGAAAAAAGAAGGCAATAGGATGTTTAAGAGCCATCAGGAATTATTTTAGATGTTATACCCTGGAACCTAAGCCTGTGTTTGCTTAGAAAAATGTCGAATAAAAAAATTGTAATTTTTTTGATTACTAGTAATGCAATTTAATAATTTAGTCCCTTTAATTATTGGCATTGCTTTGTTAAGATACTAATGAACTACTTTATATTTTATTGGTAATTAAAACCAAAGACTTCTTTAAATAGGTATTAATTATATAAAATATCCATTCTAAAGATATTTTTGGTGAACCAAAATGAAACATAAAAGTAAATGAATTAATTTATAAGAAATCAAGAATATATAACAGACAACGGCTTGCATTTCTGTTAAGGTTTAGTGTGAGGTCAGAGGTCAAGGTACTAATAAGAGTGTTTGGGATGTCTGCTGCCATGAAACAAAATGGAAACTTGATTGATAGCTAGAGGGTTGAAGGGAGAGAGTGTAGTGGAGAAAGCAAAGGTCAGGGAGCCATTTCCCTTCTCTGCATGTATAACGATCAACTCTCTCCAAAACAAAATGTAGATGATATTGATCAATATGGCATATGTTGTGCACATTTCTATGAGTATTGTGAATTGTCATTATATATGAAGTTGTAATAAATGTTTTAGTATTTTGAAAGCTGAAATGAAATACTTTACAAAAATGGTGGTAGTTTTGAAGCCAGCTTTGAACTAACTATAGTGTACCTTATTTGATCATGTGATTAAATGTGCACTATTAATAGTCTGAAAAAATAATTTGAAGAAACAGTTTGGATGAAATTGTAACAAATCCTCATTTGTTTTCTTTATAACTTCTTTTTTAAAATTCTCTTTAAAATAGGTCTGGTTTGCATGAAGTCGAGTAGTTCAGTTGTGGAATTGGTTATGCTACTGTGTTCTCAGGTGAGTGGCAAGAATAAATGTTGAATTAAAAGTAGATTATCACATGAATTTGTTTTCATGGGGGATTTTATATTTGCATTACTGAAATTTTTGGTATAATAAAATTGTGAGTTTGCTGTTTTAAAATAATTTTGTTTGTATTGCAAAAGGATTACTTCTTATTTTTGATACTTGCAGATAATTTTGAAGCAAGCATGAGAGGAAGTGAGAAACAAAAGTTTTTAGAGTCACTTTAAAAATGTCCAGATCAAATGATCTTGATAATTTCTTTGCTGTATATATTAAGGTTATAAAAACAGATTTATTTCTATATCTTGTGGAGTGCCACGCTGACTCCACTGGGAATTATGGGTTTACTTCCATTTTGTGCAGAGGTTATAAAATGAGCGATAAATGATTTTGAATCCTTGTCATTGGTAATTATTTTTGACATGCACAGTAGATTTGGGAAAACATTAACAAAAATGTGGCAGCTATCATAATAAGATGTAGAAAATAAATTCCTAAGAGCAAAATTATTTTAGGTGTTCCAAAACCTTGTACCTCATGTGGTAAACTTTAATGATTTTTTTAAAAAAAACTTATATAAAAATCATGTATCCTGTGAGGTTTTCTTTTCTGTTTTGCAATTAAACAGATGAATGTTTTTATTGAGAGTTTTCTTTGTAGTCTTTTAAAGTGATATCTTGGTGGTAGTAAATTCCCCCACTTAAAACTTTAAAATAGCCTTTTTTAATAGGAAAGGTATTGGTCTAGAGGTCAAGGGTTTTGACCCATTTCAAAACCTTTGACCTTCATTTACAACTCTCATGGTTTACTTGCCTAACGAATAAGGATAATGCAAAATTAATGTTTCTTTGCATCGATTTATTTGTTTTAGTGCCTATATGCCAAATTTATTTAGACTGTGCTGATGGACATTTCATGAATATAAATTAAAGAATCATAGAAGGTGTGAAAAATCAATACTATGCATTGTCAATAAGGTGCGATAAGAACAATTACTTCTAGAGATTACACCTAATGGATTTTTGTAATGAACTTGTGAGAAGTAGTTACTTAGTAGGCTTGTGATTCTTAGATTTACTGAGAATCATGTTCTATAATTTAATCATCTCATTTAGAAAACTCCATTTCTTCAAAAGCTGACTAGATAAAATTTCTCATTAAGCCATTTGATTAGAAATAATTGTTTCTTTCTTGGATAGAAATTGCCATATAGCATTCTTATGTCTACATGAAATTGCCCTCACTTTAAAAGAGCATTCTTATGGTTTTGGATGTTTCCTTACAAGAATATAAATTTATTGTTCATAGTGATATAATTATTTCATAGGTGAATTTTCACAATGAAGTTTTACTTTCTAGTTTAGAAGAATCGAATGTATTTTTGGTACATGGAAGCTATTTCCAATATAGTATATTGCATATTTTAATGTTAGGAGCTGCAAAGATAAAGAATGACATGTTTTAATATGCCTATTTATCATGTATGTCACAGTACTGTTTAATACTAATGCAATCAAATGGGATATGAAGATCATATAGTACAGTAAGTTTCAAGTCAGAAATTGTCAAGGTTTTTGTTTGAATAAAATACATTATTGGGTATTTGAAGTCCTTAACATTTTTTGTGAGTTCTTCAAAAGTTCCATGGCATCTCTACAAGATGTAGCACAGTGTGAAAAATGATGTGAAAAATGAAGCTAGAATTAGCTCCAGATGTATACAGATTGTTCTGGGGTGATAATTACATTTTTCACTTTGAATTTTCCTAATTCAAAGAGGTCAACTTGGCAATCACAAAAGTGATTTATTTTGTTAAGAAGTGAACTGTCTTTTTCTACATGAAAGCTTAAGAGATATGAAATTGAATTTCAAGTCGACATTTTACAGATCCTGGGTGGGGATGGCTTGAGTTTGATTGATAATTTTTTTTGGTCTGAGATAGGGTGGGAAGCAAAAGCTACCATCTTGCTAAAATTTTAATTAATTTTTTAAGAGGAGATGGAGAGGACGGAGTGCCAAAGATCGAAAGATCAGGTCAAAAACTACTTTTTAATCACGTAAATAATGGGATATGCTTATGAACTTAACATCTGCAAATTTGATTTAGAACTTTACAAATTAGTTGGTGTTAATTTCATGACAATCAGCCATGCTCTGATTATTTTTCTTGAATCCATTCAAAACTTATATTCTTTTTGTGTTATTTTTAATAAGGTGTTTAACTGCATTTTATTTGTAAAAGAGAATTTAGAGCCTAAATTTAAGAAATGAGGAAATGATCACATTTGGTTAGCTGACAATAAAACCAAACAGATCACTATATATTTGTTTTGACTAAGATTGTCATTTTCAATGTCCACTCATTTACCAATAGTTGATTAGGCTATATATAATAGTTGATTAGGCACCATTTCATATTTTAGTCTATTTAAATGTTAATATTGTTTAGGCAAAATGTTATTAATTAGAGTTGGAAACCTCTCATAATACTCAGCATTATATTTTTGAGTATAATTAAAATATGAGGTTTGTAAAAATAGATTTATTCATCTGTTGAATCCCATGTAGAATAATTCAAGAATGACTGAAGTTCCAAAGATCAATTTAAATCCTCTTTATTTCTTAAAATAAGACTGCTTACATTCTTCAGGAAACTGTATGTTCTCTGTTGCAAATACACAAAAATTGAACAAGTTCTCAACTGTGTTTCAGGTGGTTTTTCACAAACATGCAACTTACTTGTGTGCCAAATTTGTTGTATATGTGTATAAACCTGTTTTAAATATATATGAATTTAAAGAAAATGTTAAGCAAATGTTTCAAGTAATATTACTCCAGCATTATATAAAGTGTTTGTATCTTGTTCATTTGACATTAATATCATTTTTGAAAGACTTGACGTTGCATTCAAGGCCACTTTATAAAAGCGTTGTGTTGCTAGTCCTAATTCAGTCTGACATACATTCCAATAACACTACCTCCCTTCTTGGGTTTAAAGCTAAATTTATGACTGTGCATTGTGAAGTGCATCATTTAAAAATGGTTTCAACCCAAAACATCTAATAAATAAATAATGTGTATGGCTACTCAGTAGTAGACTTTGTAGACTAGAAATCATTCCTTCGGATACTCAACAGTCCACTATCGGAGAGGGCTGTCAGATAAATCTTGTGGTAGCTGCATTCTTGTCCTGTAAATCACATATTATTGTCTGAGCCTTCTGCCAGGTCATCTATTCTTTTCCCATTTATCAGAAATGCATACAGTATATAGAAAAACTAGAAGCACCATGTAGTCTGGACTGGCATCCTGTCTGAGTAATTAATTAGCAGCAAAAGTTAATTTAAAATACTATTTTAGGCTGATTATTCTTTAAAAAATTTTTCAACAAAATATGTAGATTGTTGCTGTTTTGGGAAATATTTTCTTTACATGAAGGTAATGATATAAGGTTTGGTCATTTTTGACTTGTATTTCTTTCTGTACCTCTGAATTATTAATTTTAAAATTATAATAATTTATAATAAGAATGAGATAGTTCTTATGATTATTTTATGTCAGTTTTATGTTTGAATTTTTTTCCTGAATCTTCAGTAAAACGTTTCTTTATTTTTTGTTCTTCTGTACTTTCTTTTCTCTAATCCCAAGTTTCTTCTCCATTTTGAGTTTATTTTTTCTGAATATATGATATTAATATTCTTTTCTATAGTTATGATTTTATAGATGAATATTTTCAGTATGAGAAGATTATTAAAATACCTCTCTTCCACCACCCCCAAAAAAGGCAAACCAGCTCCATACATGGCACAAGGTGTCCTTTACCATTTAGGTCTCTCTTAATGCCTGAACCTCATTTCTTACCACTTATTCTCAAGCCATGCTGAACTATTTAAAGATACCCAAATATGCCATTATATTTCTGTGTCTTGGTACATGCTTTTTCTTTCCCTAAGCTGCCCCTCTTTCTAACTTGGTGACTTTTGTTAGCTGCTGCTTATCATTCAGAGCTCAGCTTAATTATCTCATTCTTCGAGGATCATATCTATAATTGGTATCTTTTTGTCTTAATCTTAGCACCAATTATAGAATTTACCACAAATTGTAAGTATAAATATGCTAATTGGTTTACTTGTTTACTGTTAGTATTCCTCTTTGTTTTCTAGATGCTATGAAGGTAACAGCTATTTCTGCTTTGTCCATTAAAGTATTTCTGGTACCTAGCACATTATGGCTTAGTGAATATTTATGGAAAAAATGAATCAGTTAGCTAGCTCCTAGATAAATTACAATCTCTTTTGGAAAGATTTCCTTTACCCTCTCTTCCCTACAACTCTACGCCTAAATGAGGTATTGTGCAGAACACTCACCCATAGTTAATTTCATTCTATATTTAAGTTGCCTGTTGTTTTCCTTTCTCTTCCATGTAGACTGCAAATTTCTTGAAGACAAGCACTGTGTTTTTTTTCTATTGTATCCCCAGCGTCCAGTATAGTACTGTTCAACCATATAAATGTTTATGTACTTGTATAATTGATAAATCAATGGTAACATGGATCATAAGTCACCATATTTTGGACTTTGTCTTTTGGTCTTTTTCATTAGGAAATACCTCCATACTTTCCTGTATTAATTAGTTTTTATATTAAATCTTCATTTTCATTAAGACAACTAATTTTATCATTACCAAATAGTGTAGTTATGTTCATTTATGAGCAGGGCCTTTGGTTTTTCATTTTCTTGTGACTTAATCAGATTCACCTCATTTTTTTAAGACGGGGTCTTGCTCTGTTGCCCAGGCTGGAGTTCAGTGGTGCAATCATGGTCCACTGCATTTGACCTCCCAGGCTCAAGTGATCCTCCTGCTTCAGCCTCCCAAGTAGCTGGGACTACAGGCACATGCCAGCATACATGGCTAATTTTTTGATTTTTTTGTTGAGATAGGGTCTCCTTATGTTTGTCAGCCTGGACCTCTTTCTTTTTTTTTTTTGTTTGAGATGGAGTTTCGCTCTTGTCGCCCAGGCTGGAGTGCAATGGCGTGGTCTTGGCTCACTGCAACCTCCGCCTCCTGGGTTCAAGCTATTCTCCTGCCTCAGCCACCTGAGTAGCTGGGATTACAGATGCCTGCCACCATGCCTGGCTAATTTTGTATTTTTATTAGAGACGGGGTTTCACCATGTTGGCCAGGCTGGTCTTGAACTCCTGACCTCAGGTGATTCGCCCGCCTAGGCCTCCCAAAGTGCTGGGATTACAGGCCTGAGCCACTGTGCCCGGCCCCTAGCCTAGACCTCTTTTTTTAAAAAAAACAATTTAGCCCAGGTGGGAGGATTGCTTGAGGCCAGGAGTTCGATACCAGCCTGGGCAACATAGCAAGACCCTATCTCTACCAAAAAGAAAAACATTTAACTGAACTTGGTAGCATGTGCCTGTAGACCTAGCTACTCTGGATGCTGCAGCAGGATCGCTTGAGCCCAAAGATTCGAGGTTACAGTGAGCTAGGGTCGCACTGGTGCACTCCAGTCTGGGTGACAGAGGAAGACCCTGTCTCAAAAATAAATAAATAAATAAAAAACGTCAACTTTATTGAGGTATAATTTATATACAGTAAATACCCACACATTTTAAGTGTACTGTTCAGTGAATTTTGACATATACCCAACCATTTTAATCCTCAAATTTCCCTGTGCCTCTTTTCAATCAATCCCCTCCTCTGTCACCTCAAGTTGCCAGTGATTTGATTTCTATTACTGTGGATTAGTTTTACTTACTGCTGAACTTAATATAAATAGAAATTTATTTCTTTTAAGTGGAGTGGTTAGCTATTCATAGTGTGCTGTGTTTAGGGTACGCTTCAACCTTTTTTTTTTTTTTAACTAAAACTTACTATCCGGTATTAGGAAAATTATGTATTTATTTCAAAGAAATAATTGAGGTAATGAAATAAAGGATTATTTTTTGCCAACCAAAAAATAGAAATTTTGACTATGAGTTGCTTTGCTTAATCAAAATAGAAATAAGCCTTCTTTTTTTTTTTTTTTTTTTTTTTGAGATGGAGCCTTGCTCTGTCGCCCAGGCTGGAGTGCAGTGGCGCGATTTCTGCTCACTGCAACCTCCATCTCCCGGGTTCATGCCATTCTCCTGCCTCAGCCTCCCGAGCAGCTGGGACTACAGGCGCCCACCACCACACCTGGCTAATTTTTTTGTATTTTTAGTAGAGACGGGGTTTCACTGTGTTAGCCAGGATGGTCTCGATCTCCTGAGCTCGTGATCCACCTGCCTCGGCCTCCCAAAGTGCTGGGATTACAGGCATGAGCCACCGCGCCCGGCCAAGCCTTCTTAACTTCATTATGCATTTCTTTCACCTATAAGGAAATCCTATGATACGAAGTTTTGTATAGCAGTTTGAGGAGGCCATTATTCTGTACATTTAGAATTTTCAGTTTTATGGTCAATCAGGCTCAGTTCAAATGCTGTCTCTTCTACAGAGCTTTGTGTGAATATATCTGCCTTGCCCAAGTCCTTTTCTTTATGTCTGCTTCTGGTATTATTTATTCATTTATTTAGCAAACATGTGTCGTATGCTTTTAAGACAAGCCCCTTCCTTTAAGGAAACTATCATCTATTATTCCTTAAGCAGTAGAAGAGACAATTAGTGAGCGAGACAAATAATTGTAATATAAGATAATAATTTTAAACGGACATTAACAATTTTCCTTGGTTGAAATTGTGGTAGCCATGTGCTTGTTTGATCAACTCTCACTATCTGACTTTTTCAATACAGCAAATTCCACAGTGAGTACCTTGTGATAATAATAGTAGGTGTTCTGCCCAGTGTGGTGGTTTGCAACTGTAATCCCCGCTACTGGGGCTGAAGCATAGAATTGCCTGAGGCCAGGAGTTTGAGACCAGCCTGGGCAACAACATGAGCAGACCCAGTCTCAAAAGAAATTGTTCCATGAAAAGAATATACAGTGTTAAATAAGTTTGGAAAATGTTGGTTTCAGTACATTTTAATTTCAATTTCAAAAAGGAATTTTTAATTCCTTCTTGATGTGTTTGTAACTTATCCTTAGAACGTACTTATAAAAAATTAGTGGATATAAATTGATTGTCCCTGAGCTTTGTTATTGTTACTACCTATGACCTTTTGATTGCAGATGGAATGAGAATCAATAGGGTAGGCTTCTAATACACTCATATTGTTTTGCTTTAGAGCTGCTGTGAATGCTTTGTTCTTATAATATACAAAGCCCGAGAAAGTAGGTATTCTTTGCTGAAATGCTCAGAATTCATTTTGTGCGCAGTAAAAACAGTTGACCTTAAAAGAAGGAAGTATAGACTTGTGAGGACTGGATAGGAAGTCTATGGTAGTTGGAGAGGTTAGGTGAAGATTCAAGCTATATAAATTGGTCATGAAAAACTTAGATGCATGAACTATTTTAAAATATTTAAAATCAGCTCAATAACTGTACTTTATTGCTGATATGCAAACATGCTTTATTGATTCAAAATTTTATAACAGATAACTTTCTATTATAAGGTGGAAACATTTGTCTTGAAACAATAGCAAAAACATTAATACAAAATAAATCGGAGTAAAGTACTTTTTTTTTCTTTTCAAAAATAAAATAGGTTGATGGGTTGGTGAGCATTAATTGATCTTTATTTGAGTTTCCATAATATTGATTTAAAAGTGCTGTTACAACCAAAGAAAAACATAATTTAACTTTAGATTCAGGATTTGACCTGAAATACAGGCGTCCTATGGATTCACCAGCACACTAGGATTTAGAAAACACAACCTTTGAGGTAAATTTTGTGGAACTGGCAGTACACCCTGTGGCTTGGCAGTCTAGTCAGAAGGATGATACCATGCTGACTATATAACTAGATCTTTGAACATTATTCTCAAGGGTGGTAAATGCAAAACAAAGTAATATCAACTGGCACTTAATTCTGCAAGTTCCCTGCTGATTGGGGTATTCAATGAAATGGAACTCTTCCTGACAGGAAGTCAGCCTGTGAGTGTGGAGACATCTGAAAATAAAATGTGTTTTAATTTGGCACCCTACTGTTTTACAACTAGTCTTTTAAATTTGGGATTAAGAAGAGAGTTAGGAAAAGGGAGAAATACACAAATGGGAATATTCTGAGCATAACATTTTTCTTTGGTTTTAATGATGTTGTGCACATGTACCCTAGAACTTGAAGTATAAAAAAAAAGAATACAGATCAGTGTCTCTGTTTCTCAGCTATCATTGCTTGCTTTTACTTAGTACTTTTTTTTCCTATTCTAATCAATCTACTGAAGTTAAGGAATTATAGAGAGGCTAGGTTAAAAGTGTAAATTTTGAGATTGCCTTTGTTTAATACCAAACTCTCTGATAACTTTTAGAAGTTTTAGCTATATTCTCATACTATATAGTTTTTGATGAATAGTATATAATTTAATGGATTTTAGTCAGAGTAGTCAGAGTTCATATTAGGCATCCCAGCTTCTCAGGATCCAGATTTAAATCTTGCTGTATGTTTATGGTATTTGCAGTGTTTAACTTAGTGCTGCGATAAAATTATTATTTAGTAATTTACATACCTTGACATACATAATAGGACATAGTATAATTTAGGAGGGAATGATTATTTGAGTAATTGCACAAACATTCCATCTATTGTACATTTTTTAGTCAGGCACCTATTTTTATTCAAGCTGTTATTTTATAATATGAAAATTCAGAAATATATATACAGTTTTAGCAAAATTTGAGGCTTGAACTTTGATTTAGGCCTGAATAAAAGAATCAGAATCTTGATGCAATTTATTTGGTTTTCTAGTACTGAATTCCTCAGCTGTTTGAGGTCAACTATGTACAGGTGGCTCTTGTCTCTGTCATGGGTCATAACAGGAAGAAGGAAAAAGATGCCTTAGGTGGGTTTTTAAGAAAAGGCTGAGGCCAGGAAAATACTGTGATGATAGATTTTGAATATATATATATATTTTTTTGAGACAGAGTCTCACTCTGTCACCCAGGCTAGAGTGCAGTGGCATGATCTCGGCTCACTGCAATCTCTGCCTCCCAGGTTCAAGTGATTCTCCTGCCTCAGCCTTCCGAGTAGCTGGGATTACAGGCACACGCCACCATGTCTGGCACATTTTTGAATTTTAGTGGAGATGGGGTTTCACCATGTTGGCCAGGCAGGTCTCGAACTCTTGACCTCAGGTGATCCACTGGCCTCAGCCTCCCAATGTGCTGGGATTATAGGCGTGAGCCACTGTGCCTGACCTAGATTTTGAATTTTCTTTTTTTTTTTTTTTGGAGACGAAGTCTCACTCTGTTGCCCAGGCTGGAGTGCAATGGCATGATCTCTGCTCACTGCAACCTCTGCCTCCCAGGTTCAAGTGATTCTCTGGCCTCAGCTTCCCAAGTAGCTGGGATTAATAGACACCTGCCATCATGCCCGGCTAATTTTTGTATTTTTGTAGAAACGGGGTTTCACCATGTTGGCCAGGATGGTCTTGAACTCCTGACCTCAGGTGATTTGCCCGTCTCTTAGATTTTGAATTTTAATAAATGTTTTTTATTCTATTACTTATTTACTGTGTAACCTTGGCAAATTACTTTCCTTTCTTGAGTCTCAGTTTCTTATTAAGTGAAATGGGTATATTAAGATCTTATTAGCGCCAGGCATCGTGGCTCATGCCTGTAATACCAGCACTTTGGGAGGAGTAGGTGGATGGATTATCACAGGCAGGAGTTTGAGACCAGCCTGGCTAACATGGCGAAACCCTATCTCTACTAAAAATACCAAAAAAAAAAAAAAAAAAAAAAAAAAAAAATTAACCGGGTGTGGTAGTGTGTGCCTGTAGTCCCAGCCACTTGGGAGGCTGGGGCATGAGAATTGCTTGAACCTGAGAGACGGAGGTTGCAGTGAGCCAAGACCATGCCACTGAGCTCCAGCCTGGGTGACAGAATGAGACTCTGTCTCAAAACAACAACAAAAAGATTTAATCAGACACTGTTGGTGGGAATCTAAATTAGTACAACCACTATGTAGAATGGTTTTTAGTTCCTCAAAAAACTAAAAATACAGCTACCATATGATCCAGCAATCTGACTGCTGGGTATATATCCAAAAGAAAGGAAATCAGCATATCAAAGAGATATTTGCGCTTCCGTGTTTGTTGCAGCACTGTTCACAATAGGCAAAATTTGGAAGCAACAGTTGAACTCAGAGATAGTAGAGAAGGATGGTTACCAGAGGCTGGGAAAGGTAGTGGGAGGATGGAGGAGAGGTGGGGATGGTTAATGGTATAAATAAAATAATAGTATTTGATAGCACAAGAGTGTGACTATGGTCAATAATAATTCAATTGTACATTTTTACAACAATGAAAAAAGTATAATTAGATTGTTTGTAACACAAAGGATAAACGCTTGAGGGGATGGATACCCCATTTTACAGGATGTGATTATTATGCATTGCATGCCTGTATCAAAACATCTCATGTACCCCATAAATATATACTCCTATGTACCCAGAAAGATTAAAAAGAAAAAAACAAAAAGTATTGAGATAGAAGATGCTAGGAAGTTTTTAACTAGTAAAAGGTGTTAAACAAAATTAAACGTATCATATCCTTTGTTATAAATTTAATGTTTAAATTAATATTTCTATATCTCGTGTTAAAAATTACATTTTTACGATCCACATATAATTCTAACACTACTTTCTCGAAACAATTTTAAAAAAGGATCTTATTAGGCAGTGCATGTAAAACTATGCAGTACTGTTTACAGAGCAAAGTAGGTTGTAAATTAAAGTTACTGAATTCTGAATCAGTGTTTTTTTTTTTTTTGAGATGGAGTCTGTCTGTGTCACCCACGCTGGAGTGCAGTGGCGCAATCTTGGCTCCCTGCAACCTCCGCGGTGATCTTCCCGCCTCAGCCTCCCCAGTAGCTGGGATTACAGGCACCCACCATCATGCCTGGCGACTTTTTTTTATTTTTGTAAAGACAAGGTTTCACCATGTTGGCCAGGCTGGTCTTGAACTCTCTACTTCAGGTGATTTGCTCACCTTTGCCTCCCAAAGTGCTGGGATTAGAGGCGTCAGCCACCACACCTGGCCGAATCTGAGTATTTTTTAACAGCACTCAAAATCCTCTTCATTTATTCGGTATTTCCAATGTAATTGCCCAATAGGTTCTTCTTGCCTGCTGCCAAGGTAGAGCCAATTTATGAATACTGGGGAATTGCAATAGGGAAAAAGTTTAATACACATACAGCTGGCTAAATAGAAGACTGTGGAGTTTTATTAGTACTCAGATCAGCCTCCCTAAAAATTTGGAGACTAGGGTTTTTTAAACATATTTTTTTGGTCAGAGTGCTGCTGATAGTTTGGGGATAAAATCATTGGATGGTGGAAAATGGTCCTCTTTTGCTGAGTCCACTTCTGGGTGAGGGCTACAGGACCCTTGAGTCATGAATCTTGAGTCTGGCTGGAGTGATCTGGTCATCAGAAATACAAAAGTCTAGGCCAGGAGCAGTGGCTCATGCCTGTAATCTCAGCACTTTGGGAGGCTGAGCTGGGTGGATCATCTGAGGTCAGGAGTTTGAGACCAGCCTGGACAACATGGCAAAACCCCGTCTCTACTAAAAATGCAAAAATTAGCTGGGCGTGGTGGCGGGTGCCTGTAGTCCCAGCTGCTCGGGAGGCTGAGGCAGGAGAATAGCTTGAACCCAGGAGGCGGAACTTGCGGTGAGCTGAGATCATGCCATTGGCACTCCAGCCCAGGCGACTCCATCTCAAAAAAAAAAAAAAAAGAAATGCAAAATGCAAAAGTCTTAAAAGACATCTCAAAAGGTGGCCAACCTTAGGGTCTACAACAGTGATGTTATTTACGGGAGTAATTAGGGAAGTTGCAAATGTTGTGACCTCTGGAACAATGGCTGATAACTATGCCTACATCTTAACAGAATTCAGGCACTTCTCATCCTCCTAACCTGGTGGAGCTAGACGAGGTCTCATAGATTAGCCATTTCTGGCCTTCATTTCCATGTAGACAAGGATAATGGATAACATTCACTTTTTCAATAGGCTCCCAAAGATGATTCCGTGGTTTTTATGTGCTAGCTATTAATGACTGCCCTTTCTGGGATACTAAACAAAATGTACCAAAATACAAGTAACACTGATGTCGTGTTACTTGTATTACTACTCTAATTGTTTTTAAGTGCCCCTTTTGTCAACTTTAGTGCTTTTTGTTTATACTATGTTACTTTCAACGTACCTCCTGTTTTACCGTAGTTGAGAAATACTTTTATAGTAGTTAATCTAGTTCTGTGATAATCCACCTTTTTTTTCTGGTCAAGTACATTATTATCATTAACAGTTGTTCATTATGATGATTCCTGAGTCCTAGTAGAATTTGAAACCTCCTTTGCAAAATTATAACTAAGGAAATTATGACACTGAAATATATCAGACCTAACCAACTCCATCTTGCTTTTAACCTCCAAGCTGTCCTTGTTCATTCCTAGGCGTAGGCCAAACTAGCCTTGACAAGGAATTTCATTTATAGTTTAAATAGTAGCCCTTCCCAAAAGCTAGACTGTTCTTGTAAAATGAATGAAAGGCCACCAGCCACCAAGTTAGGATGAGAGGGGCTGGAATTCTAAATATTACCAGACATTTTTCCAGAGGTCATAAGATTGCAACTTCTCCAAATACTCTCGAAAATAACATCACTACTGTGAACCTATGATTGGCCTTTAAGATGTCTTTTCGGGTTTTTGCATTTCTGACAACCAGATGGCCCCACCTGAACTTGCCAACCAGTTCTGTCCCCACGCCCCCGCCCCGAACTAACTCAGCATAAGAGGACAACTTTGACTCCCTATGATTTCATCCCCAATCCAAACAATCAGCACTCCTGACTAACTGGCCTCCTCCCCACCAAATTATCCTGAAAAACAAACCCCCAGGTTTTGGGGAGACTGATTTGAGTGATAATAAAACTCTTATCTCACGCACAGCAGGTTCTGCATGAACGATTTTTTCTCTATTGCAATTTCCCTGTCTTGATAAATCGGCTCTGTCTAGGCAGCGGGCAAGGTGAGCCCATTGGGTGGTTACAAATTGGGGAGAAATAAAAGGAAATATCATTTTCAAAAGCCCTCTGTAAAGAATCAGATTCTGGCTAAGAGTGTAGATCTTAAATGTTCTCACTGATATGACTCCGATGAGTGGAGGAACACCAGGGTTCTTGATCCTCATGCCAGTTTAGATAAAATGACACTGACACACGTGGAGTGGTTTTAAGGAGCAGAGAGTTTAATAGGCAAGATAGAAAGGGGAAAGAAAGAAGGAAGGAGCTCCCCTGTACAGAGACAGAGGGAGCGGGGCTCCAAAGCCAAGAGAGGGAACCCCAAATGCAGTGGATACCAGTCAGGTATATGTAGAGGCTGGAGGAGGTGGTGTCTGATTTGCATAGGGCTCAGGGGATTGGTTTGACCAGGCATGTCATTCACGTAGGGCAAAAAGGCTGGGCCTCCCACCCTAGCCTTTTAATATGCAAATACAGGGCACCATGATGTTCTACACACATGGGGATATGTGGGGGCAGCTGTGTTGCCAGGATCATGTGGGGCAAGGGCAAAAAGGCAGCGATAATCACCAAGTTTGGGTGGACCCAGTTTCAAATGGCCTAAATTTGCATATCAAAGGTTGCCATCAGGCTCAAAGAGCCAGGACTTTTACAAGAAACGTTTCTGAAGCAGCTTTAAAAATGAAAACTTCCCGAGGACCCCTTTTCCTCTCTATCTGCCTAAAATAATTTCTTAATAACTCCTACAGCATCACCACAAAGTGATAAGTATATGAGGCTATAGATATGTTAATTAGCTTGATTTAATTATTTTACAATTTATGCACGTATCAAATCACCTTGGATATATAAATATATACAATTTCTTTTTCTCAGTTATACCTTAATAAAACTTGGGCAGAGAGTGAGATAAAAGAATTAGATTCTGGTCCAATTTATTCCTGAATTAGTGAAATGCCCTTTTTCCTTTCTCCTGATTTTATCTCTGAGTACATACTAACAAATTTACTTTCCTAGTAGAGTGTCTTTATATTTTCTTTCCAGGAGAAGCTGTAGTTGTTTACTGTTTTGTCAAATTCAAACTTCTCTGCCTTATTTTCAAGGCCTCTTAATAGCTGTTTTATTTTCATTTATACTTATTTCCATGCTGACTTACAAATAGTATCCATATATGAGACATATGTGTTAAGCATATCACACTATCTTCTAGGTAGTTAACCAGAAACCCCAAACTGTGTGACCCTAAATCTGTTCCCCACATTCTCCTGACACTTTCTCTTCCACAGTGGGCTTTTATAGATAGTGAGTGTGAAACTGTTTACCAAGGTCCTGAATACTGGATACAACACAGTGCATTCTTTTTGGTAGTAATTATTTATTTCTGTAAATTCTTCATTTAGAAGCTCAGATTATAATTAGGCATTTAATTGAAACATCAGTACTGCCTTGTTTGCTGGCTGGCTTGTCAGTTTATTCTTGTTGCAGTGTATCAGATACTACAAAATTGAAGTTAAATTTAATTTTGGTTTCTTTTTATTTCTTTTTCTCAGAAAAGCTTACCTATTTCTTTACTTGAGAGCACTTAGAAAGTTGCTTGATCTTTCAGACTTGTCTTGTATTTCTATCCATTGGAACGGTACGCTATTATCCTATAATTGTTTGTGAAGTGCTACTAATTCGTGAGAACAGGATTCTATTTGCTAGTATTGTAAGTTAAAAAGGGAAAAAGAAGTTGGTTAGGGGCAGTGAGAAAGTAAAATAATGAGGGAGAACTTTTAAGAAGCTTTCTGTTGCTTAACCAGTCTCCTTAGCAAATCTGGACTGCTGCCTTAAGTACTCTGGCATTAGGCAGTTAGATTGCTCGGTGTGATATCAGCTTGTCACAAGAAGCTCAGCTGCCCACCTTTCAGTTTATTGCAGCCTGATAGGCTTTATACTTAACAAATTAAGCTGAATTTCTGACATTGAAAACAAAACCAGTCACAATGCAGTCATTATTAGAACCAACACTTGGAGCATAAGGTGACTTGATTTGTTTAATTTTTTTTTCCAGTTCTTGCCACACAGCACTAAATTTAAAAAAAAAAGTTTTTGTTTCCTTTGCATATTTTGAATTTGCACTTGCTGGTAAGGTTCACTTTTCGTCTGCTTGCTCTTTCTGTTCTCATTTGGTTTCTTCAGCGTGATTGACTGAGACATGGCTCCCCAACAAATAGCCATGACAAATCCCTGGAACCTGTGAATGTTAGTTTATTTGGAAAAATGTCTTTCCAGATCTTATTAAGATAAAGATTTTGAGATGAAAAGATAATTTTGGATTATGTGGGTACACCCTAAATGTTATCGTATGTATCATTATTAGAGATCGTTAGTGGGAGGCTACAGACAGAGAAATGGAGGACAAGGCAATGTGAAAATGGAGCAGAGAGACCCTGTTTTCTTTGGCCACAAGCCAAGGAATGCTGACAGCCACCAGAAGCTGGAAGAAGCAAGGAACAGAGTCTCCCCTGGAGTCTCCAGAAGGAGAATGGCTCTACTGATACTTTTATTTTGGCTCAGTAAAACTGATTTCAGACTTCTGGCCTTTAGAATTATGAGAAAACAAATTTATAGTACTTTAAGCCACCAAGTTTGTGGCAATTTGTTACAGCAGCTACAAGAAACTAATATATCCAGTAATGCTTTGAAAGTCTCTGAGTATTCTTAATGAAGTGTTTCTCCCTCTTTCAGTAACAGTGTTAAGTTATGATTTATTTAACAAGCAAGACCAGGTGCAGTGGCTCACGCCTGAAATCCCAGCACTTTGGGAGGCTGAGGTGGGAGAATTGCTTGAGTCCAGGAGTTTGAGACCAGCCTGGGCAACATGGTAAAACCCTGTTTCTACAAAATATGCAAAAATTAGCTGGGCACGATGGTGTGCACCTGCAGTCCTAGCTACTGGGATGCTGAGATGGGAGGATCGCTTGAACCCAGGGGGGTCAAGGCTGCAGTGAATTGTGATAGCACCGCTGCATTTCAGTGAGTGACAGAACAAGACCCTGTTCTCAAAAAAATTAAAAAAATAAAAACAAGTATTCAAATGTTTGTTGTATGGAAAATTGAATTAGGCACTGTTGAGGACTTAAGGAGGGTAGAGGTCCCTACTTTTAAAGTAGGAGGGTTGAGGAGACAGATTTGTGATGATTTTGACTCAGAAAAAAAGGTGCAAAATAAATTAATATTGTATTGATTTCTAATGGAGGTGAAATTAATAGGAATAAAATACCACTAGAGAGATGCACTGTTGATTGTTTATCAGTCCTGTTTTATTTCTGGGGCAAAACCAAGTTATCAAGTATTTCATCATTTATTATTTCAGTTATGTTGTAGATCAAACAATGGTTTAAAACAGACGTCCCCAACTCCTGGGCCACAGTACCAGTCTGTGGACTGTTAGAAACCAGGCCATGCAGGAGGTGAGCGGCAGGTGAGCCAGCCAAGCTTCATCTGTATTTATAGCCGCTCCCTATCACTGGCATTACTGCCTGAGCTCCGCCTCCTGTCAGATCAGCAGCGGCATTAGAATCTCATCAGAGCATGAACCCTGTTGTGAACTGTGCGTGCAGCTGATCTAAGTTGTGTGCTCCTTATGAGAATCTAATGCCTGATAATCTGTCACTGTCTCCCATCACCCCCAGATGGGACTGTCTAGTTGCAGGAAAACAAGCTGAGTGCTCCCACTGATTCTACATTATGGTTCATTATATAATTATTTTGCTACATAGTACAATGTAGTAATAAAAATAAAATGCACGGCCGGGCGTGGTGGCTCACGCCTGTAATCCCAGCACTCTGGGAGGCCGAGGCAGGCGGATCATGAGGTCAGGAGATCGAGACCATCCTGGCTAACATGGCGAAACCCTGTCTCTACTAAAAATACAAAAAATTAGCCAGGCGTGGTGGTGGGCGCCTGTAGTCCCAGCTACTCGAGAGGCTGAGGCAGGAAAATGGCATGAACCCGGGAGGTGAAGCTTGCAGTGAGCCGAGCTGGTGCCACTGCACTCCAGCCTGGGTGACAGAGCGAGACTCCGTCTCAAAATAAATAAATAAATAAATAAAATAAAATGCACGATAAATGTAATGTGCTTGAATCATCCTGAAACCATTCCCCCCCCTCACCCCCTTGTCTGTGGAAAAATTGTCTTCCATGAAACTGGTCCCTGGTGCCAAAAAGGTTGGGGACTGCTGGCTTATATCATGATGTTTATGCATAATATGTATTAGGACTTTGTATTATACTTGGTATGCATATATATATATACACACACACACGTATATATATACACATATATATATATATACGTGTATATATATGTATATATATATAGTTGGTATCAGCTATTGTCTCATTGAGAACATTGATAAATATTTGATAAGAGTTACTGAGTCGTTCTGGATTGAAAGGTCTTATTTCTGTACACCAGGAAAGTCATTAAGCATACTATGACTGGCTTTAGGTTGTGACTCTTGACAACCATAAGAAGTTACTGTAACATAAAGTGTATATGTCTTTGCTAATATATGTTTAAATTCAGAGACCAAAGCTTTATAGGTAGATGTATTATGAGGTTTGGAAAATTTAAATTCTGTAGATATCACCATTTCATAGCATAAACATAAGATACCTTATTTGCTCCTACTGAATGCTAAAATGAATGCTGTGTTATTTTACAGTTATTTATGTTTTATTTGGAGTTAAACTTTGAGCACTGAAATTAAAATCTCATTTTCATATTAACCATAAAAACTTATTCCATGAATACATAGTGCCAGTTTACAGTGGTTGTTATTCAGAGTAGAAGGCCCCAAATGGTTAAACAGCAGGAAAGTTTTCTGCTTTTACTTAAAAACTGCTGTTTTCTATATGGCTTATTTACCACATGTTTAATTCTTAATGTTGTGTGCTGTGGGATTGAGCATGCAGAAGTCAGCAGAAAGAGTTCTGGTTTTTACATCTAGAGCTTTTACTTGCTGTACAATAATAAAGGCACTATTTTATTGGGTTACTTGTAATTAACTTCACCACTAGGCATTCATATAAATCATTTGTAATCTGTTTTCTTTAGATTTTTATTCTTTTAAACTGGTGTAACATACTTGTTTTCTGTTGTCTTTTTACAAATGGATTGAGGTTGTAATTACTTTTTGGAATTACGCTGTCAGAAACCAACATATATGTGGATTCAAGAAATGATTGAGGCAAGCTAATGAATTTTATATAAGTTTATAAAGATTTGTTACTGAAATAAATATTCAGTAGTAGGATTGTTTTATTGCAAAACTTAATAAATAATGATTTTCTCTCGAGTTAAAAAGTGTCTAGACATTCAAAAAGTTAAAATGGAAGCAATCATTAATTAGAAAATATACTTTTTATGTTTTTCAAAATTCTGACAGTAAATATATGAGATTTCTTTGAACTCCTCCTTATCAACTTAAGTATATTAAAAAAAGTAAACATTAAACCTTCATGTGTTTTCCTGTTTTGCATAATATTATCTAATAAATGCCACTTTATTGACTAATACTTTATATCATTTTATGCTTAAAATTTTTTATGATTATTAGTTTAAAATAAAATAAAAATTAAAATAGAGGCAGACTTTTGAATAAAAAAGAAACATTTAAAAAGAAACACATATGTATTTCTGGCTGGGTTTAAGTTGGCTATATATTATCCTAAGCTAAATATTAGAAAACAAACATTTGTCTCTAAGAATAACTTTGTTTAGAAAATGTTTATAGTGGTCTGTAGACAGAATTTAGAAGTATGAGATAATTTAATTCTAAATTAAAAGTATTGAAATCTTGAGTTGATAATTCTTATAAAATAAATATGTATGTATTGAGGTGGGAGATAGGAGGTAGGAAGAAACCTGTTTGCACCCATGTCCTGAAGTAGTGCTTCTAAAAATAATTCAGTTGGTAAATACTTTTTATTATAGTTGAGAACATTAGATGGTTTAAAAATCTTTTAAAAATAATTAGCTGTTTTATATAGTTTTAATGGAAGTCTTTCATGTTTCCCCTCCAGAAGTCTCTAATGAACACTCCTTGTAATTTCAGTGCAAGCTTTGAGATTCCCTAAAGACTTGACTTCAGACCTCAAAGGGCAGCAATTGCCATATGTCTGAAGAACTAGAGTTGCCAAACAGACTGACCGTGTACTAATAGGACACATTTATATGGCTCCTAAATGTGGAGCCCTGATACAGACTTAATGATGATCATCTGTTGAGAGCTTGTAGCTGGAAAGAGTTAGAGCAACTTTTTTGTCACCTTTATGGAAATTAAGCTTTCTGTATTGATTAGTGAAAGATCTTGAGTAAATTGATGCCAGTTTGGAAGTCACTGGAAGGATCATTATTGTCTGGAGATATGTTTTACCTGAAAAACTGTAAATACAGATTTTTAGAGGTACTTGCAAATATATTAATATTTCATGTGCCTAAACATAAAAGCAAGAGGATTTTTTGATTATTTACAAATAATTAAAAATGTGTTTATAGTAATTACATAATTGATTTGCATGGTTATCTTAATTTTTTGGAGTTTAAGATATTTATATATTTTGTGAATGCCATGAATAGTTACTTTCTCTTTATTCAGTTCTTTACTAACTGACCTGTAATATTTATACAAGCTACAGGTACATATTAGATGAATATGTTCACAAAAATAAGGGAAACCAAAACTTTCCGAAGGGCAGTATTCTATTTTACTATTTCACAGAGTGATTAAAGACACAATAGAATAAAATCTTTCCTTTATTGTTACACTATATTCTTTTGTGGTATGTGATTATTTAAGTTTGTGTTAGATATGATGTTGAGAGAGTGCTGACACAAAGTGCAAACATTGTTGAAAAGTTAATGATAGTTTACTTTGAGCACTTAAGATTACTGTATCTTGAGCATGAACAGTTTTGCCTAGTTTTTTTTTTTTTTTTTTTTTTTTTTTGAAACAGAGTCTCACTCTGTCTCCAGGCTGGAATGCAGTGGTGTGATCTTGGCTCACTGCAACCTCTGCCTCCTGGGTTCAAGCGATTCTCCTGCCTCAGCCTCCTGAGTAGCTGGGACTACAGGCATGCACTATGCCCAGCTAATTTTGGTATTTTAGTAGAGACGGGGTTTCACCATGTTGGCCAGGATGGTCTCAATTTCTTGACCTCGTGATCCTCCCACCTTGGCCTCCCAGAGTGCTGGGATTACAGATGGGAGCCACTGCACCTGGCCAGTTTTGCCTAGTTTTGACCTTTAGTCTTGTGTGTAATGTGTTTCTCAGTTTTGTGTTAATACATTCCCTTCCTCATTTGAGCTATCCTCCCTGGCTTTCTCCCTGAACTCCTAGGAGTGTTTCTGTCAACTATTTAGGTAATTGGAGGTACATCCATCCAATTCGCTTCGTTTTACAAGGGCATAGATAACTACATCTTAACAAATCAATGTGGATATTTCATTGAAGAACCTAAACCTTTAAATTTTTATATTTTTATAATAAGGAAAATGAAACAGTTTGACATGAGTTCAGGTTTAAAATTTTTTTTTTCTTTATTCTTTAATATAAATTATGTTTGGTTTCTGAGAGCAAAACTTATAAAAAAGGGTAGTATTACTACGAGTAGAAATGGAAATAAACTCAAATTCCATTTGGTAGGTTACAATATTGAATTTAGATCCGGTGCAGTGGCTCATACCAATATTCCCAACACTTTGGGAGGCCAAGGCAGGAGGATTGCTTGAGGTCAGGAATTTGAGGCTACAGTGAGCTATAATCATGCCCCTGCACTTTGCCTGGGCGAGAGAGTGAGACCCTGTCTTTTTCAAACAACAACAACAACAACAACAACAACAACAACAACAACAAAACCCCTCAAAAAACTGACTTTAAAAAAAGTACAGATTCTTAATAGTTAGCTTATAATACTTTTGTATTTTCATAGTTTTTTTCATATTTGTAAAACTTGAATGCATGTTCTATTTTTTAGAGATTTTCAAGAATAATCTTGGATAAATACCTGTTGTCCAGTTACAAAAATATGTGTGTATTACAATTTTTATTTTTTATTCATCTACTATTCTATATATTTAGGGCATATGATTTATTTTTATTTTTATTTTTTTGACACGGAGTCTCACTTTGTCATCCAGGCTGGAGTGCAGTGGTGCGATCTTGGCTCACTGCAACCTGTGCCTCCTGGGTTCAAACAATACTGCCTCAGCCTCCTGAGTAGCTGGGATTATGGGTGCCCGCCACCATGCCCGGCTAATTTTTGTATTTTCAGTAGAGATGGGGTTTCACCATGTTGCCAGGCTGGTCTTGAATTCCTGGCCTCAGGTGATCCACTGGCCTTGGTCTCCTAAAGTGCTGAGATTACATGCGTGAGCCAGTGTGTTCAGCTGGGCATATGATTTTTAATTTAAAATTTATTTTTCATCAAATAAAGCACCCAAATAATAGTATAATACGAAACAGATAAACAATAGTTCTCTGCCTCTTTTCCCCCTCTTCCCCGTGATTGATTCTTAACTCTTGGAAGCAGCCACATCTTTCAAATGTTTTTGGTTGTTGACAGTGATATGCTTGAATTACTATTTCTTTTTTTGTTTGTTTTTTGAGACACAGTCTGGCTCTGTCACCTAGGCTGGAATGCAGTGGCATGATCTTGGCTCCCTACAATCTCTGCCTCCTGGGTTCAAGGGATTCTCCTGCCTCAGCCTCCCTAGTGGCTAGGATTATAGGCGTGCACCACTGCACCCAGCCATGAATTACTGTTTCTTGATTTTTAAACTTTGAACATTAATCTTTTGTGAAAGACGACCATTGAGTACTTAAACTCCTCTCCTTTTAACTTTCACTCTCCTGCTTCTTTCTAATATACTTTCATAATAACATTTGTTAAAACCATACTTAGTATTTACGTTATTATCATGTATTTATGCCAGAGCTAAAAAATGTACTATGAATTACATATTTTTCTTTCTTTTTTTTCTCCCCTCTTTTCTCCTCTTCTGCCCTCCTCTCTCTTCTCTGCTCCTTCTTCTCTTTTCCCTCCTCCTCTCTTCCCTTACTCGTCCTTCCTCTCCCCTCTCTTGCTTGCTGGTCTTTTTTTTTTTTTTTTTTTTTTCATTCTTTCTTGTAGAACTAATGATTTTGTCCTTTTTCCTTTACTTATATTTCTGTGCACTCACCACAAATTGATCTTTAAATTTTTCTCTGTAATCATAAAACGCATTGGAAAAAGTGGTTAAACCCACTGGATATTTATTGGTTCAATTGTTTTGCTTGGAAATATAGCACCTAGAGTCCCCTTTTTCCTATTCCAATCTAGTCTGGTTGTCCTTTAGATCTATAGGAAGCTTTTATGTTAGACGCTTCTTTTATCATCAGCCTAGAATTTCCCTCTTTCCTCTCTTATGCTGCAATCACTGTGTGTGTGTGTGTGTGTGTGTGTGTGTGTGTGTGTGTGTGTGTGTGTGTTCCATTGCAGACTTCCTTTTAGAAATGTATGTTGATTGAACATTTGTGGATCACTAATTCATATGTACTGGTCACTGTTTTAGCACTGGGGATGTAGTAAGGCTTTGTCTCTAAATAAATAAAATAATTTGGGGAGATTGGAACTTTGGAGTAGATTTATAATGTAAGACCTACTTACTCACACTGCAGGGTCTTGAAGATACACTTCCGTGTACTGTGAGAAATAAATTTTTAAAGGGAGGCTCAGCTTTCTTGAAGAGCTCTACGACTACCCTTCTTTGTAGATCAGACCTTATGGTAGGAACTACAGCTGGTCAATTAGAAAACCTGAACGCATTGGGAGTAATTGGATCCTGAGCTGGCAGGAGCCAAGTGGTGGCATTCAGTCACCAAAGGCAAGTTGAATGTGGTCACCATAATGGACAGCAGAGTCAAAGCAGCAAGCAGAACTGTGATGCTGATTTGACTGGAGCAGATCTATGACATTGGTGAATTGATCATGGTGTATGTAGGGGAGAAGTAGATAGTATGCCTATTAATTTTTTTATTTTACCTGTATACGCAGAAAAGTTCTAGATCAAGTGAACAAATACCTAACTTTAATCATAAAAGCAGTGAGTCATGGCCCCTCAATCAATTTCCCAAGTTGAGCCAATTTACAGGACCAGAACTTTGTGAAGGAAGGGGAAGCTGGGTCCCCTTGAGGAAGGACTCATTTTCTCATGACCAGTACAAGGTTAGAAGTAACCAGGTCCACACATATATGTGTCTTTTCACAATGTCAGGCTTTTATTGATGCATTTTAATCACAAAAGCCACAAGCTACATGGATTTCTCAATGAGGCAATTATCCTTATACTTCCCGTTCACTCAGTAGTCAGAGCTGTGGGCACACAGGCTGAAGCCATTCTACAAGTCAGTCAGTATTGCAAACCATACATAATAGTATATTTAATCAATGTATAAATATTATAAGTTAAACATTCCACAACAAAGTAACATTTTAACATCGAGAGGGAAAAGAGATAGGAGAAAGGGTTAATAAACCAGTCCTTGGGGAGCGAAGAAGACAAAAGGAGTCCTGGTCTCGGCTGGGTGGTCAGTCAGTCTTACAACGACAAGTCTTTGAGGTGGTAGATCCTTTGTCAGCAGATGCCAAATTCTTATCACAAGTGACTGCAAGATGTTGAAGGCCTAATCTTTCATAGTCACAGAGTCCTCTGGTCAGAACTGATAGTGGAAGAATGTGTCTGTTGTATCCTCATCTGGTTGGATGCAATTTTTAGGTTTTGATTTATTTTTTTAATTAAACAAAACATCCTTGTTGGCAAAATGCTCCATGAAATATAAAATGGAGTCTTTTTCTAAGATAGAAAGATGTCTATGTTATGTCAAGGGTGCTCTATACACTGGTGTGCCACCAAAATTTATACTGTTAATCTTTTCCTCACTCTTCTTCAAAGGGACCTGTGACCTTTTACCAGGGTTACTGTTCACTGGGGAAAAGGAAATAATCAGATTATTGGACTTTGGCTCTGAAGTGACAATGAGTCCAAGAGACCTAAAATATCAGGGAAGCTTATGGGGGCCAGATGATCAATAGAGTTTTAGGTGAGCACTCTCTCACAATAGGCCTAGTGAGTCTTCGAATTCATCTTGTCATTATTTCCCAAGTTCTGGAATGCATAGTTGGAATAGACATACTCAGAAATTGGCAGTGTCTCCACATTGGTTTCCTGACCTATTGAGTGAGGGTTATTATGATGGGAAAGGCCCCAGGTGGAAGCCACTGAACTGCCTCTACCTAAGAAAATTATAAGCCAAAAGCAATACTGTATTTCTGGAAGGATTTTCCTCCATCAAGGATTTGACACAGGTGTGGTAATTTCCAGCATATATTCATCTCACTTGCCTATTTGGCCTATGCAGAAGACACATGAATCTTTGAGAATGACAGTGTATTATTATAAGCATAACCAGGTGGTAACTCCAAGTACTGCTGCTGTACCAGATGTGGTTTCAATGCTTGAGCAAATTGACACATTCCCTGGCACCTAATAGACGTGACAAATGCCTTTTTTTCTCCATACTTGTCAATAAGGACCACTAGAAGTCGTTTTCTTTCAGCTAGCAAGGCTAGCAGTGTCCCTTAACTGCTCTATGTCAGGAGTATCTGGCTTTCTAGCTGTATGTCATAATTTAGTTTGCATGGATCTTTATCACTTTTCACTTCCACAGAGAAATCACAGTCGTCCATTACATTGATGACATTATGCTGGTTCCACTTAGTGAGCAAGAAGTTGTAACTACCAGACTTTTTGGTAAGGCATTTGCATGTCAGAAGTTGGAAGGTAAATCCACCTCAGTGAAATTTCTAGGGCTCCAGTGTTGTGGGACATGTCGAGATACCCCTTCTTAGGTGAAGAATAAGTTGTATCTGGCCCCTCCTATAACCAAAAAGGTACATGCTAGTGACCGTTTATGGCTTTTAGATGAGATTGGGCATTTTCAGGGTGGTATGGCTGTAGACTCTATGGATTTTAGAGGCAACGTATTCCTCATTTGGATATGTTACTCTGTCCCATTTTCTGAGTTACCTGAAAAGCTGATAGTTCTGAGTAGAACTCAGAACAAGAGAAGGCTCTGTAACAGGTTCAGGCTGCTGTGCAAGCCATAGGCTCCAGGAGATCTAATGGTGCTTCAAGTGTCAGTGGCAGATGGGGATGCTATTTGGAGCCTTTGACGGGCCCCTTTAGGTAAATTGCAATGCAAACCCATAGGATTTTGGAGCAAGGCCCTGACATCCTTCCCAGACAAATATTCTCCTTTTGAGAAACAACTCTTGGCCTGTCACTAGGTTTAAGTAGAGACTGAACAGTTAACACTGGGCCACCAAATTAACAAGTGACTGAGCTGCTTATTATGAACTGAATGTTATCTGTCCTACTAAGCCATCAAGTTGTACATGCACAGAAGCACTCTGTCATCAAATCGAAGTGATGTACATGTGATCAGGCCCAAGCAATGCTTGAAAACACAAGTAAGTTGCATGAAGTGGCCCAAATATCCTATGGTCCTCAGTTCTGCTACACTACCTTCTCTTTGCCAGCCCGTACCTATGGTCTCTTGGTGAGTCCTGTGATCAGTTGCCAGAGGAGAAGACTTGGGCCTGGTGTATAGATTGTTCTGACAATATGCAGGCACCACCTGAAAGTGAACAGTTGGAGCACTACAGCCCTTTTTTGGGACATCCCTGATGGACTGTAGTGAAGAATAATCTTCTCAGTGGACAGAACTTTGAGGAGTGTACCTGATTGTTTACTTTTTTTGGAAGGATAAATGTGATTATTAATTCATGGGCTGTGGCTATTGGTTTGTCTGGATGGTCAGAGACTTGGAAGGGACATGAGTAGAAAATTGTTGACAAAAAAAGTTTAGGGGAAGAGGTATGTGTATAGATGTCTATGAATGGGAGAAAAAATCTGAATACTGTGTATTTGTGTCCTATGTGAATGCTCACTGAAGGGTGACTTCAACAGAGGATAATTTTAATACTAAAGTGGCTGGGAACACCTGTTCTGTGGATACTAGTCAGCCTCTTTCCCCAGCCGCCCACCAGTGCCCAGTGAGCTCATGAACAAGGTGGCCATGGTGGCAGGGATGGAGGTTATCCAAGGACTCAGCAACCTGAACTTCCACTCAGCAAGCCAACCTGGCTGTGGCCACTGCTGAGTGTCAAATCTGCTGGCAGTGGAGACCAACAGTAAGTCCCTGATAAGGCACTGTTCCCTAGGATGATCAACCTGTTACCTGGTAGCAAGTTGATTGCATTTGACCCCTTCCATCATAGAAGGGGCAGCATTTTGTTCTTATCAGAGTAGACACTCACTCTGGATACAAATTTATCTTCCCTGCATGCCGTACTTCTGCCCAGACTACCATCTGTGGATTCACAGAATGCTTTATCAACCTTCATTGTATTGCTTAGCATTGCTTCTGATTAAGAAATCTATTTCACAGCAAATGAATGCTCATGGAATTCACTGGCCTTGCTATGTTCCCCACCATCCTCAAGCAGCTGGCTTGATAGAACTGAATGTAGGTGGCAATACCTTATATGGCTGGGACAAGGTTTTCCAGAAGGATATATGTGTACTGAATCAGCATCCAGTATATGGTGCTGTTTCTCCCCACAGGTAGGATTCATTGGTCCAGGAATCAACAGGTAGAAATGGGAGTGTTACCACTTGTTATTACCTCTAGTGACCCAATAGCAAAAGTTTTGCTTCCTGTTCCTGTGATCTTACAGTCTGCTGGCCTAGAGGTCTTACTTCCAAAGGGAGAAATGCTTCCACCAGGAGGCACAACAATGATTCCATTGAACCGGAAGTTAAGATTGCTTCCCAGCCACTTTGGGCTCCTCCTGCCTCTGAATCCTCAGGCAAAAATGGAGTTATCATGCTAAGAGTAGTGATTGATCCTGACTACTGTGGGGAAATTGAACTATACCACAATAAAAGTAAGGAAGAGTATGTCTAGAATACAAGAGATTCCTCAGTGCATATCTTAGTATTACCATACTGTGTGATTAAGTTGAGGAGCACTGGTAATACAATCCAGGTAGGACTACTAAAGCAGCCCAGACCCTTCAGGAATGAAGCTTTGGGTCACCCTATTAGGTACAGTACCAGGACCAGCTGAGGTGCTTGCTGAAGACAAAGGGAATACAGAATAGGCAGTGAAAAAAGGTAGTTGTAGATACCAACTGTGATCACATGACCATTTACAGAACAAGAAATGTAATTGTTACATTTCTTTCTTATTTTGTGTGTGTATATGTGTTTGTGTGTGTGTGTGTGTGTGTGTATATATATATATATATAAAATCTTTGTTTTCTTTCCTCTTTTAATCCCTCACCATGCAACTTAAGATGTATTGAGTTTATAATATCAACACCATAGTATTTAAGTATTGTTAACTGTAGATCATATTGTTAACTGTACATCCTAGTATGTAAATATGTAAATTGTGGGATATTAGGAAAGTATACATATCAGCTAAGGTGGGGAATGGGTTTATATTAGGGTTCTCCAGAGAAATAGAACCAATAGGATATATATAGATACAGACAAAGAAATTTATTATGAGGGATTGGCTCATGCAATTATGGAGGCTGAGAGGTCCCATGATCTGCTGTCTAAAACTTAAAGGCCCGGGAAAACCAATGGTGTAAGTCCCAGTCTGAGTCTGAAGTCCTGAGACCCTGGAGTGCTAATGTGAGGGCAAGTGAAGAGGATGTCTTTCCCAACAGAAACAGATGAACTCCCACTTCCTCTGCCTTTTCATTTTATTCGGGCCCTCAACAAATCGGGTGATTGATGCTGACTCACACCGGTGAAGGTAGATCTTCTTTACCACTTCAAATGCTGATCTGTTGTGGAACAACCTCACAGACACAACCAGAAATCATGTTTTATCAGCTCCCTGGGCATTTGTTAGTCCTGTCAAGTTGACACATAAAATTGACTGTCACAGGTTTAGAATGGTTTTGGTTGTATACAGAATAGTTGTATCATGTTAGGTAGAATTATAACCTTGTTATTAATCTTCATTTGGTAATGAAATGTGGTTTGAGGAGATGTATATGAGTGCCAAGCTGACAAGGGGTGGACTTGTGATGGTTAATTTGTGTGTCATTTGGGTCACAGGCTGTTTAGATATTTGGTCAAATGTTATTCTAGCTGTATCTGTGAGAGTCTTTTCTGGATGAAATTTAAGTTTAAATTGGTAGACTGAGTAAAAAAGATTGCCCTCCCTGTTAGTGTTGGGCATTATCCAATCAGCTGAATGCCTGAATAAAACCAAAAGGCTGACTCTTCCCCCAGTAGAGAGAATTTCTTCTGCCTAACTGCCTTCTAATTATGACTTTAGTTTTTTCTCACTTTTGGATTCAAATTTGTCTCTTCCTGGGTCTAGAGGCTGCTGACCTTCAGACTGTGCCATTGGTCTTGCTGACTCATCCTGTAGATATTGGCACTTGTTAGCCAATGTAATTGTGTGAGTCAGTTCCTTATAATCTCTTCTCTCTTTCTCTCTCTGTCTCTGTGTCTCTCTGTCTGTGTCTCTCTCTGTCTCTCTCTCTTCCCATTCGTTCTGTGTCTCTGAAGAATCCTGATTAATACCGGGGCATAGAAATAGCAGTTGATAGGCCGGGCATGGTGGCTCACTCCTGTAATCCCAGCACTTTGGGAAGCCGAGGCGGGTGGATTACTTGAGGTCAGGAGTTCGAGACCAGCCTAGCCAACATGGTGAAAACCCATCTCTACTAAAAATAATAATAATAAAAAATTAGCTGAGTGTGGTGATGCACACCTGTAGTCCTAGCTACTCGGAAAGCTGACGCAGGAGAGTTGCTTGAACCCAGAGGCGGAGGTTGCAGTGAGCCGAGATTGCGCCACTGCTCTCCAGCCTGGGTGACAGAGTGAGACTGTGTCTCAAAAAAAAAAAAAAAAAAAAAAAAAAAAGGAGACAGCACTTGATAAAATCCCTATCTTGATATTTTAGATGAAATTTAAAAAAATTTTCCTATGATATTTAATTATACTTTTCTTTAATCTTCTTTTCCTCACCCTCTTAACAATATTGTCTGTTTTCTATGAGTCGTTTTTCTCCTCTGCCTGTTTGCTTTGGTGTCTGTCATCACAGAAGAGGGTTTCCTCAAATGTCTGGTTAACTTTGGCAATTTGCTCATTCCTAAGCATAACACAGAGAAAATCTATATGTCTGGGTATGAGTTGTCCACTGGTGATGCATGAGTTCCCTTTGTTATTTGTAGAGGATTACCTTTTATCCTAGCTTCTCAATTTTCTCAGAAAAGTTTTCAAATATCACTCACAATGTCATAGTCCAGTTTGTATACTTTCAATTTATCTTGCCTTTTTCATTATAGCTTTTTAATAATTTCCTTAATTATAACTTTTCTGGAAAATAAACTTCCAATGTTTACCATGGTAGGATGGCTACACAGCATAGGGAGAAGATGTGGGATTCTAACTTTCTTTTTATGCCAACTTGCATCTCTTTCCCTCAGCCACCTTCGTATGTACTCAGTGCCTTCAATTCCTAGCTTTTCTGGAGTTTTTGTGACAAGCATTGATTTCCTTCCTCATGTTGATTCCTCTACTTTGTTGTGTAGAGTTTTGTTTTCTTTGGTCCTCTAAGTGCATTTATTACTACTAACTCATGTGTTTCCAGGTTGTAAAATAAATTTCTTAATGTATCTCATGTACTGTTGCCCCCTCTTTATTCTCAGATTTACTATGTTTAACCTGAAGTCACTCATTATCTACCTCTCTTGAAAAAAAAAACTTTTTTTTTTTTTTTTTTTTGAGACAGAGTCTCATTCTGTTGCCCAGGCTGGAGTGCAGTGGCGTGATCTTGGCTCACTGCAACCTCTGCCTCCCAGGTTTAAGTGATTCTTCTGCCTCAGCCTCTTGAGTAGCTGTGATTACAGGCGTGCACCACCACGCCTGACTAATTTTTGTATTTTTAAAGTAGAGATGGGGTTTCACCATGTTGGCCAGGTTGGTCTTGATCTCCTGACCTCCTGGTCTGCCCACCTCGGCCTCCCAAAGTGCTGGAATTACACGTGTGAGCCACCGCGCCTGGCCAAATTTTTTTTTTTTTTTTTTTTTTGCAACAAGTCTCGCTCTGTTGCCCAGGCTGGAGTGCAGTGGTGCAATCTTGGCTCACTGCAAGCTCTGCCTCCCGGGTTCACGCCATTCTCCTGCCTCAGCCTCCTGAGAAGCCGGGACTACAGGCACCCGCCACCATGCCCGGCTAATTTTTGTATTTTTAGTAGAGATGGGATTTCACCGTGTTGGCCAGGATGGTCTCGATCTCCTGACCTCGTGATCTGCCTGCCTTGGCCCCCCAAAGTTCTGGGATTACAGAAAAAAAATTTTTTAATACTAAAAGTTATGTTAAAGATCTGCCCACCAGAATCAAATGCTACTATATTTAATGTTAATCAGTATTCATGGCTTGACAAAATAAAATGATAGCAGAGTAGATTATATGTAATCTTTTTAATCTGTGGCCTGATTTTTTCTGCTTTAGAACATGCTAATATTTGGGAATTACTTTTAAAATTGAGATAAATTTATTTAGTGTATTCGTCACTAAAATACGTTCTAGGAGATTATTTATAGAAAACTGTCAAGTTCATGTCTAAAGAAATTAGAATTTTATTACAATAATTTGAATGCATAGTGTGTTAATTGGTATCTTTTTCTTTATATTTATTTGTTGAGGATAGGCAGGAATAGATAATGTTAGGTTAATGAAGTCTTTTGTTGCCCTAACTAACTTTTACCACCAAGAATACAGTCTTGAAATTTGGTGGAGATCTATGTAGTAGATTTCACTAATATGTATTATCTTCACTGTTTTTGTTGTGTGACTTAAAAGCATCAGTAAGCTAAGAGTATATTTTAGTAAAAATTGACTAGTCAACAATTATGGCCTTAGGAAGTGATAGTCAATTAAATACAGCTTAGGAACAGGTATGAAATTATTGACTCTCTTGTTTTGTTTTGAGTTCTTCCTCTCCAAAGTGCTGAAATGTGTTTTGAAATTACTTAGTTGCATTAGTGGTTGGATTTGAGGCTTTTAACATGTTTTTCATCAGTACCTCTGGGAGAAGGATAACCAAGACCTTTAAATGTACTATGCATTTTGCATCACTGTATAATTGTAAATACTGTGATGAAATATTGAAACGATCATGAAAGACGATGACCATTAAGCTTTTCTTTTAACTATTAAAACTCACTAAGGGTTATATTGAGCTGTGGTTTATGAAATTGTTTAGACTAACACCTTCCTTGATAATTGTTTCTGAAGTGGAGAAAAATGGTTTAGGATAGCATAGTTCAGGAATATTCTTTTTAGTTTTGGCAACTTCTGTGAATTACTGTAGAGAATGTTTTAGTATGGAGAAAACTTGTTGGCTTTGACTAACACCTGGATTATAAACAAATTGAAAAAATATTCTCATGGGCTTCAGATTCTTTTTATATAGGCTATTCTTTTTAGTATGCATTTGTATATCTGGCATTTGGTATTTTATTAAATGGTAATAATTAGTAATTAGGACTGTATTATAGAGAAATGAAAACATAAGGATATTCCTGAGATTTGTGATAATTTTTAACAATAACCAAAAGTATAAGGTTTGTATTTTCATTTTATTCCTAATTTTAGCCAATTTGAAAAAATTAATGAGAACATTTTATTTCAGGTTATTATGTAATAATTACTGAAGGTTAACAAATATGGGTTTATAGATGATCCTCGAGAAAACCAGAAGCATAATGTATTACTAGTAATAAATTTGAGTTTCTGAGCCTCCATAAAACACTGAACTTCTTCAATTATATATGTACCTTCATGTCTAATTTGTTTTTAATTGAAAAGAAATATTTCCTGTGACATACCAAGATAAGTTTAGATTACAAATTTTTAGTGTGGTTAAGTTTTGATAGTTATACTAACTTTAACTGGTTTTCAGTCTAACCCCAATAATGCTACTTAAAATCTTTGTGAAATCTAAATGGCACAATTTCTGATTTGACAATGTAATTAAAAGTTTCTGTATATAATGAAAATAAAATCTAAATGATGTTTACCCTTTACCTGCCTACTTAATATATGGGTCTTTCTGCTGTTATCTATTTCATCCATGTGGAGTTTTGCATTTTGTCTGAATTATGTAATAAAAATCCTTTCCCATTGCAGTTTTGGATCAGAACAAATGGATTTGAGAAAAATAGTACTAGTAAATACTTTTTTATTACTAATTTTTAAAAGACATTACTTTTTAGAGCAGTTTTACATTCACAGCAAAATTCATCAAAAGGTAGAGATTTCCCACATTTCCCTTTCCCCTACACACTCATAGCCTTCTCTCTTGTCAGCATTCTTCACGAGACTGGCATGTGTGTTATAATGCATGAACCTCCTTTGACATATCATTATCACCCAAAGTCCATAGTTTACATTAGGGTTCACTCTGGTGTTGTGCATTCTGTGAGTTTAGACAAATGTGTAGTGGTGTGTCTTCATCATTATAGTTTCATGCAGAGTAGTTTTATTGACCTAAAAATCCTTTGTGCTCCCCTCCATTCCCACTAACCCCTATAAACACGGATCTTTTTACATTTCTCCATAGTTTTGCCTTTTCCAAAATGTCATATAGTAGAAATCATACAGTATGTAACCTTTCATATTAGTTTCTTTCTCTTAGTAATATACTTTTACATTTTCTCCATGTCCTTTCATGGCTTGATAGCTCTTTTTTTTTTTTAGCGCTGAATAATATTCCATTGTCTGGTTGTACCACAATTTATCCATTCGCCTTCTGAAGGACATTTTGTTTGCTTCTAAGTTTTGGCATTTATGAATAAAGCTGCTATAAATCTCCATGTGCAAATTTCTAAGTGGTCATAAGTTTTCAACTCCCTTGGTTAAACACTAAAAAGTGAAATTGCTGGATCTTGTGGTAAGAGTAGGCTTAGTTTTGTTAGGAACCATCAAACTGTCTTCCAGTGAGACTGTATCATTTTGCATTCCCACCAGCAATGACTGAGATTTCATTTATTCTTGTACCACATCCTTGCATTAGGTGATGTCAGTGTACTGGATTTTGGCCATTCTTATAGGTGTCTAATGGTATCTAGTCTTAATTTGCCTTTCCCCAGTGACATGTGGACAATCTTTCATATGCTTATTTGCCATTTGTATATCTTCTTTGGTGAGGTGTCAAAGTCTTTGGCCCATTGTTTAATGTGATTGTTTGTTTTTGTTGACTTTTAAGAGTTATTTGTATATTTTGCACAATTCTTTATCAGATGTCTTTTACAAATGATTTTATCCCAGTGTGTGACTTGTTATTACTGATACATAGGAAAGTGGTTGACTTTTGTATATTAACCTTGTATCCTGTAACCTTGCTATTTATTGCTTATTCCAGGATTTTTTGTAGATTATTTAAGATTTTCTATATAGATGATTATGTCATCAACAAAGACAGTTTTATTTCTTCTTTTTCAATTTTTATCCTTTTCTTGTCTTACTGCATTAGCCAGGACTTCCAGAATGATGTTGAAAGATAGTGGTGAGAGGGGACATTCTTGACGTTTTCCTGACAGTGGATACTTTTAAAAGTAAAATGACTAATCTAAAGATTTATATACAGAATTTTAGTTCTTCTGTAATTACTGACTTCTTTTTTTCTAGCAAGAAAGGTAATTTTCTTCATTTTCTTCTTTAACTAAGTTTCTATTTTGAAGTTTTCTGTAAGTTAAATGATCTAAGTGAAAACTCACTCAACTTGAGGTCTCACTTTCCTTCCTATTCTTGTATTATGTCAAATTTCTAGTTGGGTTTCCAAGAATGTTATGTTAGGTATAAGAGCTGAGGAATGAACATATGCTTGTGTTGTTTGGCTGTGGCATCTCTTGAAGTATCGTACTTCTTGCTGATCACTTGCTGCCTATCCACAGAGGTCATGGTTATGTTCTCTTCATCTTCTTAAATCCTAAGCTGCTTCTGCCTCCTTCCATGATAATTTTTTGAATCTTCCTAGCTGAGGTCCATCTGTCTTTAAATTTGTTCCTGTTCTACTGTTCTTGTGCATTACTAGATTTAGGGTAAGTCTTTGAGTCTTATCTCTCTGTGCTGTGCTTGGGAAGTTAGGTGTGGGACCCTCTGTACCAAAATAAAAAAAAAATTTGAGGTTTCTGCTTTTTGTCATCATTCTCCTACCTTTTCGTGGCACATGCCCTTCTCTCAAGAATATAGTCTTGTGGAATTTGATTGCTTCCTTTTGGACTACTTGTCTTCATTTTATTTTGATGGAAAGAAAATGCTTTTAAATTAGATTCATATTTCTGTTTTATATTGGTTTGTTTTACCTCGCTGGAAAAAATTTAGTATCCCTGTTTTACAGTTTTGGTAAAATATGAATTCAGTATGAATTTTAGAGAGTATATATTGTACAATTACAAGTCATGAATTTCTAAATGTTAGTAAATTTTAGAATAATAAAAATTATACCTAGAATACACTTTTAGAAGATAATATCTAAGACCTGCAGATGTAGCACGATATGCCTAAGGATATATTCTGTTAGTATCAGAATGAGAACATGGATTTTATGAATTTGTTTCTTGCTCATTCCTTGAGAATACGTTACTTTTTCTTCTCTGCTAGTTCTAGCCAGTGACTACCCTCCAACGTTTTACTGATTTTCTATTTAATTTTTATTCTACTGTATTTGTTCTGTTAGCATAGTTATACTAATACTATTCATAAAATATAATCCTTTGACAAAATCATGTCATGTGATTGTTTTAGTCTTAAGAACCACCTTGGGTTTTTCAAAAACACAAAAGAAGGTAAGTATGAAAGTGGACATGGAAAAGAGAAGGTAGAAGAGAAAGGATGAGAATGAAAAAGAAAAGAATTTGGAGTGGAACGGAATAGCTATTAGGGTGAAATTGCATGGAATTTGAAAGTCTTAGAGTTATTACACTCAGAAAATATGAATATGGTTTATAGTGAGCAGTGGTAAGTAGCCAGACATGGCCTTTTGATTTGGGTTTTATGAAAGAACAAAAAAAGATCAGTTGAGGGATATTATGTAGTTAGAATACAAAGAGCTCCTTAAATATTAAGAAATATGAAGATTATGTATGTATTTCCAGTTCTTTAAAAGCAAATCTTTGTGTGTGTGTTTATATAGGCACACACACACACGCACATACACACAAGTGGCATTCACGAGCATTTTTCAAATCTAGGTATATTTCAGTTCATGTAGGCCTTTCCTTATTGTATTAATGCTTATTATATATATTTTTTGTTTTAAGGATTAAAATATTCATTTGTACATACTCTATTGATTGATTTCATTCCTAGGCTTTTTAATGGATTGCTTTTTAGTGGATAAAGTTTAATGGGTAAATTTCAAATGGATCAAGAATATAGTTAGTAGATTTATACCAGATATTACTAATTCATAGGGCAGTGAATTATAGTTTCTAACTCAAAACTGGTTTAGCTCAATTCACTGATTTTTCTAATTTCATTTTCAGTTGCTAGTCATCAATTTTTATGGTGAACTATGCTGTTTTTATTAGGGTTATTGAACTATTTAATTCTTTCTTCTCTTCATTTTGGGTAATACATCTTAAAATAAATGGAAAAACAAAGCCAAAACCAAAATGTCTATTTGTCCTTGGTTTTCTTTGTTACCTTCTTTCCCAGCTCCCAACTATTTCAGATAAATTAGTATATCGTGTTATGTAATGAAAAGGGCAAGATAAATATAGATAGGCTCATTTAATTTACACAGAATCAAATTGTTGCTAACTTGTTTAGTGTCAGTATACTTTTCAGTATTACCTGTTCATATGGTTTAACATAACTTTTAAGAGTTAGGCATGAAATTGATATGGGTGATATTTTTCATTATTATTGTTTTAAAAGAAAGAACCTACTGAGTGACATTTCTTCAGCTATTTTTGCTTTTTTTTTTATAGGAGTGGCAAAATTCTATTCAGAAGAATGCAGGCCTTGCTTTTATCGAACTTGTCAATGAAGGAAGGTAATTTATTTTATTTTAATTCATTTTGTATTTTTCTTTAAAATCTTGGGTTTTTCCTATAGGCATTGATATTTTTGGGTTCTGTATTTACTGTTTGTTCAGTCAGTAATGTAATGGAGCTCTGATATATCAATTATTATGTATATGTTAATATTTAACCATTTTATAATTTTCTTTAGATGCAAGCTTACTGATACATTTCTGATTTTTATTTTTCAAAAAGTGTGGCTGAGTTTGGGAAAAGTAAACTGTTAATTCTATTTGCAGGTATAAGGAAAAGCCATACTTATTTGGACTTTCTATCAAGTTATTTTATGTGTGTAGAGCCAATAATTAGAATTAGATGTCTATATTATCTTTCTTATATCACACGCTGATCATAATGGGAGGGGGGACAAGTTTCGCAATGTGATGTGGTGAGAAAGGTGATAGAGGAAATAAGGAGGTATATTTTCTACTTAAAGAACAGAAACAGAAGAATTCAAGGAAAGAAAATTCAGTGGTGGGTAAGAGAAGGGAAGAAAGTACAGAGATGAAAAGAGAGATAAAAGGGAGAAAACAAATGTAAAAGAGTGAAATCATTAAAAGGTAAAAAGAAATTGAGGAAATGATTAGTGGACCACTTTTTGTCTGATTTGTAGTAGCTGATTTTGCATTAATGGAACTGAAGACCCAGAGTATAGATTAAAAGATGTGACTGACTCCCCTTCGAGATAGTATTCTGAACAAACTTACTGTTTCAGCAATGTTCGATTAGTGTTTTAGGTAATGTTGTTGGAAGATTGACCCTATCAGTCCTTTGGTAACTATTTGAACTTGCATCTAGGAATCAAGGTTTGCTCTCTATCTCTCATAAATGTTATGGAAAAGGGCGAAAAGAGTATTCGTAACTTTATTTGATTTTAAATACTACTAAAATCCTTTCCTTCAGAAATAATTACAGGTGCTCACAGACTAGTAACCTGCAATTATAATACTTCATGCTAAATTCTGTGATAGAAATATGTAAGTACAGGGTGCTTAAAACTTAACCAGGAACCATGATTCTTGAGGTGCATTTCAAGGATCAGTACGATTTGTCATGTAAACATTAGAAAATTGGAGGTTATGGAAAAATTGGAGGACATTTGTGTGAAAAACATTTCAAACACAGGGAACAGAATATCTGAAGGCATTGTAATGTGGGAAGGTGTACAGGATATTCGTGTGTGTGTGTGTGTGTGTGTGTTGGAGAGGTGTTGTTGGAATTGGGCATCTAGATCCCTCAAGATCGTGGGAAGCCTTGGAAGATTTTAAACAAAAGAGTCATTGTGATATTTCGGGTTTGGAAAGATAACTGGCGGAATTGTTTAGGATAGGTTGAAGGAGGGAAGACCTGATTGAAATGAAGAACAGTAGCAAGGTTACTACAGTGATCTATATGAAACATAGAGATACATTTTCATGTAGAGTGTGGCAAGTAGTAGGTGATCAATAAAAACTGATATAGATTTATATCAGTGATTACTAATTCATAGGGCAATTAATGAAATAATGACTAATTCTTTACTCTTTTAGTAAACATTTCAAAGTGTATATTTATTGAAAAATAGCTTTCGACTGATTTCAACACTGAGGTATTGGATGATATTGAAGTTTATATATGGAAAAAGAGGTGACTGGAGCTGTCGATTAAATACACAAATGTTCTGCTTAATGCAAAACACCCATGAACAGATTTTTTATAATTTTTAGTGTTTATTGAAGTATAATTCCAGGGCTTTTTTAAAGAAAAATTTATATGAGGTGATTTTGAACATCGTAGACTTTACTAAGTGTAACTACCCTTATTTATGTATGTTATTGTTACATTTAATAGATGAGGCAACATAGACTTAAGATTAAGAGCATTGGCTTTGAAGATAGCCCTGGGTTCAGGTTTCAGCTTTGATACTTGACAAGCGCTTTTAGTTTTTGAGCTTCAGTTCCTCATCTATTTATTACACACTATGTCCCAGGAATTATTCTTGCTACGGAGGATACAGCAATAAACAAAATAGATAAAGATTCTTTTTTTCGTGGATTGTACATTCAAATAGGCATTGACAGATTATAAACAATAAAAAAAAAAGTAAGTTATATAATATGTGAATGACGGTTAGTACTGTGAGAAAAAATATGGAGCAGATGAGGGGAATGAAATTTTTGAAGGAAGTAAAAAAGGTTGGTATGGTTTGTAGTTTAAATAGAGTGGCAGGATTAGGACTCATTGAGAAAGTAACATTGGAGCAAGCACTTGAAGCACACAGGGAGTCAGTTAAAGGGGCATGTATGGAAAAGCATTCCAGGCCTAGGGAACAGCCAGTGTACAAGTGAGAGCTTCTGTGGTGTATTTGAGGAATGAGGCCAATATAGCAAGAAAAGAGTGATTAAAGTAGAATGAAATAGGAAGTAAGGTCAGAGAGATAACATAGGGCAAGATTTTGTGTAGAGGCTTTGTAATTTATTCTGTGGGAAATGACAGCCATTGCATGATTTTGAGAAGAAGAGGAAGACAGTCTCCCTTATGGATTAAAAAGATCACTCTGGGATGGGCACAGTGGCTCACACCTGTAATCCCAGCACTTTCGGAGGCTGAGGTGGGTGACTTGTTAGAGCCCAGGAGTTCAAAACCAGCCTGGGCAACATGGTGAAACTCTGTCTACAAAAAATGCAAACAATTAGCCTGGTATAGTGGCAGGTGCCTATAGTACCAGCTACTTGGAAAGCTGTGAGGTGGGAGGATCCCTTGAGTCTAGGAGGACGAGGCTGCAATGAGCTGTGATCATGCTACTACAATGTAGCCTGGGAGATAGAGCAAGACCCTGTCGTGGGGAAAAAATGACTATGGCTGATGCATGTAGGAATTTAAGGATAGAAGTGAAGAGATAGCCAGAAGCAGTGGCTTCTGTCTGTAATTCCAGCACTTTGAGAGGCCGAGGTGGGAGGATCGCTTGAGCCCAAGAGTCTGAGACCAGCCTGGGCAACATAGTGAGACCCTGTCTCTACAGAAAATAAAAAGAATTAGTTGGGTATGGTGGCATGCACCTGTGGTCCCAGCTACATGGGAGGGTGAGGCAGGAGGATCACTTGAGCCCAGGAGGTCGAGGCTGCAGTGAGCTATGCTCACACCTCTTCACTCCATCCTGGGCAGTAGAATGAGACCCTTTCTCAAAAAAAAAAAAAAAAAAAGACAAAGAGATCAATTAGGGGGCTATTGTAGTAATTCTGGTTAAACATGATGGTGACTGGGACAAGGTTGCTAGCAGTAGAGGAGGTAAGAAGTGGTAGGATTATGAACCTATTTTGAAGATAAGACCTGACAGGATATTCTAATGGCTTGGATGTGGGTTGTGAGAGAAAGCCAGGCATCACTCTTAAGATTTTTGGCCTTGTAAGAAGAGATACCAAATGCCTTTGTTTTGCATTATCATTCAAAGATCTTTATATAGCAGACAGCTTTGGAATATAGAAATAGTGTCTTCATTTAGAACAAAGCAGGATCGTTTACTGTCTAGTATAATAATGTCTTTCTCCAAGCCAAAGACCAACGGGCCTACTGGCCGTCACAGAAGATTCAAGTGCCCTAAGCTCAGAGTTCCTCTCTTGTAACACACTTTACTGCATATACAGGTGTCTACTGGACCTGTATTATTCTGTGGAACTGAGACTTGGAGGTACTGGCACAAATGCTAATACTCCTGCTATTGCTATTTCTGAAAATTTGGTGAAACAGTTGTTTGAATAATTTATTTTTATATCATCTGTTATCATTTTCATAGTACCCTTTCTCTGATTTTTTACCTTTGCTTTTCTTATTCTGTTGAGATTTTTTAGCTTCCCATAGTTAGAAACTGTCTTCTTTACTTCAGTGCTTAGCCTATAGAGAACACTCAGCCTTTATCTTTTACGTGTTTGAAATAAACAGTGGTGGAAGCTAAGATTCATTAGTGAAATAGTGGAGGTAAAATTGGAAATTTTCGTTCTCTCTTTATTTACAGTGTAGAATATATTTTAAAGGAAAATTTTAGTGGTTTATTTTTCTAAATCAGTGGATTTGGCTTTCCTTTTATAAATATTTAGTGCCTTGAGGTTAAATGAGTTTTCATAGGAGTAGATGTGTTTGTGAAATAGTTTGGAGTGTTTGACTACTAGACTTAATCCCAGGGGCAGGAAGAATAATAATAATGATTTTCCTTTTTACTGCAAAGACTAACCTTTTTTTCTTCTTATTATGTAAGTCTGACCTGCCTTGACCTCATTTATAGAGTAGCTGCTATAAATTTTGCCCTTGATTAATGTCGTATTTGTGTAAATAACATGAAGACCTTTATAGACAGACTACAGCATAAGGTCTAACAGACTTGTAGAGTGTCATTAGCAAATCAATTACTAAGTTCAGACATAAGTAATTGTTGTTTGGTAGAAACTGCTGATGTTGTTCTAGCTATGATCAAGGCAGCTGCTCGATGAGATGTTACTCTGTGAAATTTATAGTGATTTGCTGATGGTCTCTTTAACTTACATTTGTTTAATAAGATATTTTTAAATACATTGTTTTGGTAATTTTGAGTTCAATTATTGGTATTTTTCATGTAAACAACACTCCATTTTAAACAAATTTATTTTAGAGAGCTAGAATAATTGATAATCACTGACGTAATTGTTACAACCTTGATGACTTTAAAGAGAAAAAAATACATATACTTATAATAAAAGATTTCAGTTAAATAATTAAATTTTCACAAGTTATGAGCAAGAACATTGTTATTCCTGAATACTAATTTTGTTTATGAGTGTTTTATGATATCTTGAATCATTATTATCAGCACCTCTGTTTACTTTTTAAATGTGCAAGTGAAAGATCTAAAAGAGTTTTCTTATTCTTGAAAGGCACAACTTTCTCTAAACTAATAGTTTTAAAGAACTTAAAGAATATTAAAGCCACCTTTTAGAGTCTCTGTGATGCTGTAGCACCACATCAATAGAAAATAATGTACAGTTATTACTACTCCCTTTGACCCTGTTGAATGAAATCTGAGGATTCAGTGTTATACTAAATTTAGATGTGGTGTAGGTTACATTGTTATGTATATTGGACCTAAATTCATTTATTTGTGTATTCGATTTGTCTTTATCTTAGTTATTTTTTTCTTCACTTTACAAATGTATTTAATTGAAATTGAATTGAATTGAAAGATATATTTAATTACATTCCATAACACTGTTGCTTACATTTTTCAACTCAATTCTTTGCCAATGAATCTTGAATGTTTTTTCTTATTTGGATAAATAAAGGGCTTCAAGTTCTTATTTTGCCTTTTATTCTTATTTTCTTAGAGGTTTTGGTGATATTACTTGCAAAAAAATTTAGTATCTCAGTATTGATGTTAATTTTGCTGGCAGAAATAGATCTGGCTGCTAGGTTGCCTCCTTTCTTCTTGCCAGCTTGCTTGTGATCCCTCCAAATATTTTTTAGAGCATTTTAAGCTCCTGATGTTGTTCTAGGTAGCAGTGATCAAGTCAGCTGTTCTGAGACATTATTTTGTGAAATTTGTAATGATTTGTTGGTGGTCTCCTGTCTTATGACTTGTGTGTCTTAGAGAGAATGATGAATATTTTATTTGTTTAGGTGGTACTCTTTTTGTTCTTAACCTCTAGAATTTTGAAAAATAAGTGCAAATCCTCTATCAGAGTTTTCTGTCTTTTTTTTTTTTTTGAGATAGGGTCTTGCTCTGTTGCCCAGGCTAGAGTGCAGGGGCACCATCTCATCTCACTTCAGCCTCGACCTCCCTGGCTCAAGTGATCCTCTCACCTCAGCCTCCTAAGTATCTGGGACTGCTGTTGAGGACACCACACCTGGCTAATTTTTAATTTTTTTTTTTTTCTTGTAGAGATGGGGTTTTGCCATGTTGCCCAGGCTAGTCTTGAACTCCTGGACTTAAGTCATTCAGCCTCCCAAAGTGCTGGGATTACAGGCATGAGCCACTGTGCCTGGCCTCCTTTCATTCTTGTTCCTAGTTTTATTAATGTTTCTATTAGTTTCTCCTCATTGTTTCTATTTCATTTATACTTTAAATAAAAAAACCGGCATAGTTTTATTGGCTAATTTTTTAAATGTTTGATAGTAAAAATCAGGGAAGTAGTAGACTATGAAACCTAGTTTAAAGGTACAATATTTGGTAAAAATTTTAAGATTTAAATTCTCATCTTGAATCTTGTAATTTGTTAAATATATAAATAATTAAAACAACCTATAATTATAGTTTTGTGTTTAATTTAATAAAAACACATTTTAAGAGCTTTCATAGCCTCTTACAACTTTACTTTTAGATGTGCTGCTGTGACTCTTCTTTTTCTCCCATCCTTGGAAAGCACAGAAAGGGCAGATTATCCTGCATACTGTTGGGCACGTTGCTTAATCATCCTCTAGAGCCAGTCAGTGTCTGCTTATTACAGCAGTAACTCAGACTTGTATACAAATATATAAATAGCCCACATAAAAGACATAATGCTTCGAGTATTAATACACTGGTCTGTCTTCAAAATTCATCTACTTAGATTGCATGTCTTCTTTCTGAGCATTCATTTAGCCGCTCCATCCTTTTTCTTCACTTCTCTGAATAGCACGATTACTAATAATGTTGGTGGAATGAGAAGAAGAATGACTAGAAGGAAAGGTGGAGAGGGAAAAGGGAGAGAGGGAGAGAGGCCAGAAAATATTTCATTTGGACCCTGTTGGCCATTAGCACTTGTATTTTAGATCTGGGTTATCCTTTGATAAAAAGACAAAGGTATTTATTGCACGTAAGTAAACAGTGTGGCTAGAATATATTCTTATCTGTATCAGTGGAAGATAAAATTTGAATTGAGGTAGAGATTATCACTTGGAAATCCTTGAGTGTTACTTAAAGAGCCATGTGCTTTTTCTGGTTTCAGTTTTAAAATTATATATGTGGGAAGATACTTTATAGAAAAACTCCAATTAAATTTTTTTATTGTAATTTTTTTTTCTTTTAAGAGATAAGTTCTTGCCTTGTCGCTCAGGCTCAAGTGATCTTCCTACCTTGGTCCCCCAAGTTGGTAGGATTACAGGCGTGAGTTACTGTGCTCTGCTTAATTACATCTTGTAAACAGTTGTTTGGAAATGATGCTATTTTTAGGGTAGAGTCAGAGATCAACAGTGGATTAATTGAGCAGAGACTTTATCTCTCTCTCTCTCTTTTTTTTTTTTTTTTTTTTTGGTGAGACAGGGTCTTGTTCTGTCACCCAGGCTGCAACCGCTTAGCTCCTGGGCTCATGTCTTTATCTCTGTTTACTTCAATCCTGGATTGTATTAGTATAGAAGTTTCTCTGGGTGATTTAGAATAAAGTATATGCTCTTATATGCTCTTAAAGATTAGATTATTTAAATTAATGTTTATCATTTTGTGAAGGTTTAATGGCTTATCAAAGAAGATTAGAATTTTCTCTCCTTAATTAGGATAAGCATATGTTTCTTATTTATTTTATTCATATGTTTTGGCTTAAAGTACTGACATGGTCAGGTCATTTTTTATTTTTAATTTTATAGCTTGATCTCAGCTTATCATTAATATACTTCCTTTAATAGGTTTTGAATATGGAGGCTTGTTTTGTGCACTTTATATGGGATTTTATATTTAAATGATTTTTCAATGGTTACTTTTTTTTTTTTTTGGATGGAGTCTCAACTTTGTTGCCCAGGCTGGAGTGCAGTAGCAATATCAAGGCTCACTGCAGCCTTGATCTCCCTGGCTCAGGTGATCCTTTTATCTCAGCCTCCCAAGTACCTGGGACTACAGGTGCTCGCCACCACACCACAACTAATTTTTGTACATTTTGTAGAGTTGGTGTTTTGCCATGTTGCCAAGACTGGTCTTGAACTCCTGCTCAAGTGATCCTCCCACCTTGGACTCCCAAAGTAATGGGATTACAGGTGTGAGCCACCACACTGGTCTGTGGCTACTTTTTAAGCTTGCTTTGTTCTGATTTATGTAAAAAAATGGTGCTGCGTTTGAATTGTGCTTTTTCACCCCCTAAAAATGCTAAATTCTACTAGATTTCAGAGCTTTAAATGTTTTGCTAAATAGGATTTGCTGTTTGACATTTTTTTACCAAGACCAAATGTATGTGACTTTTAGGAAAGATGGCTTGGATATAGCGTGCCTGTAGAATATGCTTATGTTTGTATAGATGTTTCATAGCCTTACACATTTTAAAAAAACTACAACAGCATCTATGTACGTAGGATCATTTATTAAATAAGAATGATTATAGAAAAAAGGGATGTGTATTAGGGATAGGTGAAAAACGGAACTCTCATAACCTTTGAGAAGAGTAAAATAAAAATAAAATGAAAATAGCGTCATTCACTTTGTTCAGCAAATATTAATCCATACTGGCCACGTGCTGGTCCATATTCTTGGCTCTGGGAATTTAGCAATGGTCAGAATAGAAATGCCTGCCTAATAGGGTTTATTTTAATTGGTAAAGTTAGACAATAAAGAAATTAAAAAGTTGATAGTATGTTCAGGAGATAAGTGATATGAGAAAGTTAAAACGAGGGGAGGAGAATAGGTACAGTCGGATACAGAGGACATTGCAGTGTTAAATAAGAGTGGTCAGAGTGGAATCTGAAAAGATGAATTTCTATGAATCGCCAAGGAAATGTCACTGACAATGAAGAGACAAAGGCAGTTATAAGAAGATAGAAGGTGGTAGATACTGTGCAGCAGAGAAATCTGCTGAATTCCAAATAAACTGAATTCCAAGTGGAGAGTCAGGAGAGCCATTTCTCTATATTTTTGCTTTTCTACATGTAACTATCTTCTGTCTCTTTTTATTTGCACATTCTAGAGAATAGATTATTTCATAGTCCTAAGAAATTATTTTATCTAAAATAATCAGATAAAAGCTTGCAGCCTGGTCTTTTTGCTTCCATTCTAGCCTCTGTAATATCATGAGTTGTTTTAAAATGTTCAACTAGGGATTATCATGCAAAGTAAGTTTGGAAAAACAGGTTGATGTGAGGATGTAACATTTATATTAAATTACTAAGGTTTTATATTCTCAGGATGAAATAACTTTATGGAGTATTTGCTATCTCCATTTAAAGTCTAATAAAGCATATGGATACCTTGTGGTCTCTGATCAAGGATACTGCCTTCCAGAAAAAGTGGCTACTACCTGGGCTAAATTTCAACCGAGAAAGATCTAGACTGGCCTTAAATGTGTATGAAGCCCATTAAAAATTTTTTTTTAATTTAAATTAATTTTTTCAGTTACCAACAAAATCTATTCTTTCTGAGGTTCCAGGCATGTGTATTCTGTGATGTTAGAACCTTTACATCCCTTATTCAAAGTTGTTACTGAGAGCTTTAACTGAGAAAGGTGCAGAGAGATAACAGTTTAGGGATTTTTGTGATACTGAATTATTGGATGTGCTGGGTGAGAGACAGAGAGAGATAGATGTTGCAAGGAGGCAGATACATGGAGAGTTAGGCAATAATTCTTCACTATAAGAATAAAGGCTATGTTAATATATGGAGATGATATTTTGAAAAGTGAGGCTTTAGTAGTTCTCATATTATGGAAGAAAATCTTTGGAAGCAATTTATCCTCTTCTCTGTAGCTAATTCTAAAGAAATTACTATATTTAGAAGGATTGCCAATTCAGGAACATTATTTCCACATTCTCAATTATTAGAGTGTAGAAAAGTAGTAACTTTCCTTTCTCATCAGTGGTCATGTTTAGTAGTGAAAATGACAGTTGCTGCTAATGGGGGTCACAGAAAGCCCAGGAAACAGAGCAGTAATATTGGAAAACTCTTGGTGAAAATGTGTATGTGCTTACCCAAGGTCTAGACTAGTATAATCAGATGTGGACAATGGGCTGTAATGTAGTTATGGGAGATGGTTGTCATCATTACTGTTATTTATTGAGCCTCCAGTATGAATCTTTTCTAGTTGGTTACTTGATAGGGCTGTTTGTTTCCTAAGGCTGACACAAGCATTTTTTCTTCCTTCTTGCACTGTAGGTGTAAATTATACATAGTTTTTTCTTCTTAATATTAAAATATGTGAATCATTTTATGCTCTGCATTTAGACATTTAATCTACAGTAAACCCAACATTTTGAGCCTGCTTATAATAATTAAAACTTTAATTTACCTTTAATTCTTTTTTGAAAGAATAGTTTACACAGCTATTAGATAAAATTGCTGTTGCTAAATATTGTGTAATTTGCATATTTAGGAAAATAGGCATATAGATAAGAAAAATTGACCCCTTAGAATAGCAAAAAAAAATCATTTAGATATCTTATTAGTTTAATTTTTGAAGTCATTTTAATATTTTCATTAATGAAAGGACAAATAACATTGTGTGAATATTTAAAAAAATCAGAGGTATGTATTCAGGACCTTCTCAGAAACTTTGATTTTAAAACATTTTGTAAATTGTGAAGGAAAAGATATATATGCTTCCCTTCTTCTCTGAAAGTATTATTAAATACTTTACATACATCCCAATCACTTTTTATAATATTCTTTTAAATAAGTAAGGTTAGATGGTAATCATTTTGTATTATCCAGCAAAAATATTTCAAACTTAAATTTATGATACAGTTAAGTCTAAAAGCTCCATGGTGTTGCTGTTAATTGCTTAGATAAATTTAGATGCTTGAGAATATTTGGTTTGAAGTATTTTTACAAACTGTCCACTCATCAAATAATGATGGGGTATAGCCTACCTGAACAGTACCTCTTAGATGTTATGTTTATTAAAATAAAAAGAAGCAAAAGATTTTTTTAGTCCTTTTTTTTTTTTTTTAAAGATTTTTCCTTTTTCCTTCCCTGCTTCCTTAATCAGTTCTGGTTAAGGAAGCACATCTTCTGAGAGAATAGAGTAATACACATATAATTCTAATAGAATGTTTATAAGATATTCTATAAACAAGTATAATATATGCCGTACCTACAGTAATCATTAGGGATAAGATTGACATAAAATAACCTGGGCATTGTAGTTCACTCCTGTAATCCCAGCACTTTGGGAGACTAAGATGGGAGGATTGCTTGAGCCCAGGAGTTCAAGACCAGCCTGAGCAACATAGCATGATCCTATCTCTTTAAAAAAAATTGGGTAGTATGCACCTGTAGTCCTAGCTACTTGGGAATTTGAGGCCAGGATTTCTGAGACCAGCCTGGACAACATAGCAAGACCCCTGTCTCTACAAAAATGATATTAAAAATAAAGATTGACATAAAGTAAAGGTCTTTATAGGATAGAATTGCAGAATATTCCTTAGAGGGAAAGAGGATTGAAACGGATATAAGGAAGTTAAGGTTTTGGATATAAGGAAAGGACAAAAAAGTAGATTGGGAGTGGTTTATGGCACTCATTTTTTATCATTCAGTATCCATTTATTGATTATAATCCATGTGCCAGGTACTATTCTGGAATCTGAGGATATAGCTGTGAATAAGTCTGTGCTGTCATAAAGGAGAGAACAAATAATAAACAAGTAATCAAAATAAGACAATTTAGAAAGTAATAAATGCTTAGAAGGAAACAAAGCAGGATAATGTTATGAGAGTAAACATACTGGCTTTTAGGGAGTGTGGAGTGTTTAGAAAAATCTTGTGAAGGGGAAACAGTTTGAATGAAGAGAAGTAGCTAACCCTTTTGAGATGTATGTCACAACATTTTAAGGCAAGGAAACAGCAAGAGCAGAGGCCATAAGGAGTGAATAGTATTGTGTATTATTTAAACAAATTGAAGGCCAGAGTGGCTGGAACAAAATCAGCAAGAAAGAGTAAGGCTTGGGAATGTCAAGAGAAGTATTCAATATTCAGATCATATAAGGCCCTATAAGCTATGCTAAGAAATTTGGATTAAACCATATTCAGTAAGAGCAGAGTTTTTAATAGACGAGTGGCATGATATAACTTACAGGGTTTTTTTTTTCTGCTTATTTGTTTGTTTTGTTTTTGAGACAGGCAGCGTCTCTCTGTTATACAGGCTGGAGTGCAGTGGCTTATTGCAGCTACATACTCCTAGCTAATGTGATCCTCCCACCTCAGCCTCCTGAGTAGCTGGGACCACAGGCACATGCCACCATGCCCAGCTATTATTATTATTTTTTTTTTGGGTAGAGATAGGGACTTGCTATGTTGTCCAGGCTGGTCTTGAGCTCCTGGGCTCAAGCAGCCCTTCTGCCTTGGCCTCCCAAAGTGCAGGAATTATAGGCATGAGTCACTGGGGTTGTCTTTTCACTCTGTTGGGTTTGTCCTTTGATGCACAGAAGGTTGTTGTTTTTTCCTTTATCTTTTTAAAAATAGACGTGGAGTCTCTCTATGTTGCCCAGGCTGATCTTAAATTCCTGAGCTCAAGCGATCCTCCTGCTTTAGCCTCCCAAAGTGTTGGGATTACAGGTGTGAGCCAGTTTACCTGGCCCAGAAGTTTTGATGTAGTCCAGTTTATCTATTTTTTTTTTCTGTTATTGCCTGCGCTTTTGGTATTACGTCCTAGAAATCATTGCCAAATTCAGGGTCATGAAGCTTTTCCTTATGTTTTCTTTTAGGAGTTTTATAGTTATAACTCTTACATTTAGGTCTTTGATCCATTTTGAGGTAATTTTATATATGATGTAAGGTAAGTGCCTTAGTCTCTGTATGCTGCTATAAAAAATACCTGAGACTGGGTAATTTATAAATAATAGCAATTTATTTCTCATAGTTTTAGAGGCTTAGAAGTCCAAGATTAAGACACTGGCAGGTTTCAGTGTGTGATGAGGGCTGGGTCTTTGCTTCTAAGATGGCACTTTGAGCACTGTGTCTTCACCTGGTGGAAGCCGAAAGGGCAGAAGAGGCTAAACATTGTGTGAAGACTATTCTTTAAAGGCCTTAATTACATTCACTAGGAAGGAGCCCTCATGACCTAATGACCTCAGAAAGGCCTCACCTCTTAATACTATTGCATTGGAGATTAGGTTTCTACAAGAATTTTGGAGGGGATACAGATATTCAAACCATATCAACAAGCATCCAATTTCATTCTTTTTTTTTTTTTTTCTGTGAGATGGAATCTTGCTTTGTCACCCAGGCTGGAGTGCAATGGTGTGATCTCAGCTCACTGCAACCTCTGTCTCCCAGGTTCAAGCGATTCTCCTGCCTCAGCCTCCTGAGTAGCTGGGATTACAGGTGCCCACCACCATGCCCAGCTAGTTTTTGTAGTTTTAGTAGAGACGGGGTTTCACCATGTTGGCCAGGCTGGTCTCGAACTCCTGACCTCGTGATCTGCCTGCCTTGGCCTCCCAAAGTGTTGGGATTACAGGCGTGAGCTACCGCGCCTGGCTCAATTTCATTCTTTTGTATGTTGATATCCAGCTTTCCCAACACCATGGCTTACATTCTTAGAAGAATGAATTGTGATAGGATTGGTATACAGGGCAAGAATGAAAGCAGATAAGTCAGTGAAGATATTACTGAAGTATTCTAGAAAAGAGGGAATGGTGACTTAGAATGATGTGGTAGCAATGATGATGGAGAGAAATAAACATATATGTGATGTATTTAATAGTTAAAGCAGTAGAACTTGCTTTCATGAATGGGATTTGGAGGTGAGGAAATGACAAAATCAAAGATTATTTCTTGAGTTTGAGTGGACTTTGGCGCTATTTATTGTGGTGGGACAAACTGAGGTAGTGATGGGGAAGAGGTATTATTGGCAGTGAGTAGGTAGAATCAAGAGTTCTGCTCTGGAAATGTTAGATTTGAAATGCCTTATTGGGTATCCACGTGAAGATTTTAGTTGGACAGTTGGCCCTGTGAGTCTGAAATATAGGAGACCAAGGATAGGGTTAGAGATATAAACACAGGAATTAGTACTATGTAGGTGAGATTAAAAGTCATAGAACTGGATGAAATAATTTAGAGGGAGGAAAGAACACACAGCTGAGCTCTTGGACATTACAAGATTTGTAGGTAGTGCAGCGGAGGATGTAGCAAAGTGGGCAATGAAGAAGCAGCAGCTAGATAGGAGGAAAACCAAGAAAGTGCTATGTATTATTGCAAAAGTTAAGAGAAGAAAATGTTTTAAGAACCTTAAGAACCTTTTCACAGTTATCTTGCTGTTTGTATATAGTCCTATAACTTTCCATATTAGATTGTGAACTCTTTGTGGACAGTGTTATGCATGTTTGTATTCCTTACAGTTAGCAGCTTAGAAGTGACTGGCAGAAGTGGATAGTCAAAGTTTCTTTTCCTTATAAGCACTGCTGGGTCCCCAGGCACTGTTCTATGCTTTGGTTGTGTAAAGATAAATTATAAATGGTTGGTGCAGTGTCAAATGGAAGACAGATTTGTAAATACATAATTGAAATTGTGTTATACAGAAAGTTTCAAAGTAATAAGTACTAAAGAAGAGACTGATACACGTTGGTAGGGGATTACTTCTGTGGAGGGAAAGCAGGTGTGGGATCAGAAAAGGTTCTGTAGTGAACCTTTACTTTGGTTTAGCTTTGAAGGTAGGTTAGATAGAATATGAAGTGAGGTCATTCCTGGGACAGTAGCAACAGAGGCAAAGGAGTGTACAGTAACAGGGTGTAATGTTTGAGAGAGTAGTTCCTGACCTGGAGTTCTTAGAGTATAAAAGTTTAACAACAATGAGACTGATTTATAAGCCATGGAAAGGTGTTTAGTCTCTTTTGTAGATCATGGGAAGATGGCTGACGGCTGATACCTTGTCAACAATACAGTGATTATCAGATTTTCATTTTAGAAAGATGATCCCAGTGAAGAATGGGCAAGAATAGTAAGACTCATGGAAAGAAGTTGGATTGGAGGCTATTATCATAATCAAAGACATGATCCTGAGTTCCAGTGAGTTTCCAGTGAAGGGCACCGGAAAAGGTTACAAAGAAAAACAACTTTTGGCCGGGCGTAGTGGCTCACACCTATAATCCCAGCACTTTGGGAGGCTGAGGTGGGCGGATCACAAGGTCAGGAAATCAAGACCATCCTGGCTAACACGGTGAAACCCTGTCTGTACTAAAAATATAAAAAATTAGCCGGGCATGGTGGTGGGCTCTGGTAGTCCCAGCTACTCTGGAGGCTGAGGCAGGAGAATCACTTGAACCAGGGAGACGGACATTGCAGTGAACCGAGATCATGCCACTGTACTCCAGCCTGGGCGATGGAGCGAGACTCTGTCTCACAAAAAAAAAAAAAAAAAAAGTAAGAGAAACAACTTTTAAAGTTATTGCAGAGGTAGAATGGGCAGTACTTGGTCTATTGGATCTGTAGGATGATGAAGAAGGAAGATATGACTGATATTTCTAGCTTCAGTAACTGGATAAATAATGGTTATGTTAATGGGGCAAAGAATGAAAGAATGAATGATCTCTGGATAAGGGACTATTTTGATAAATTACGGTACATTCCATCCACATGAGTCACTTGAAGCTGTTCTGATTACATAATGGTATACGGTTAAGTAAAATATACAAGTATTATAGTATGACTTCTTAAGTATTTAAAAATATTTTTACAAAACACATGAACATGTACATTTGTATATATGTATATATGCACATAAATACTGTATGTGTTTCATATATATGCACATAAATACTGTATATGTTTCTATAAGTTTAGATAAATGTAAGGACAGGAACATAAACTACTCATGGTGGTGATGTATTCTGAAAAGTGAACAGGGAAGGGGGCTGGGAGCTTTCACTTGTTGCTTCATTATTAAAGTGTTGCATGGTTTTTAAATGCTATGTAACCAGAAAAATGAGTGAAACATCAAGACAGAAATATCCTACCTATCTAAGTGTATATGTCAGTAAATGGACATCTTGAAAACTAAGTGATAGAAAGGGATGTTTCGGTTCTCTTGAAAATAGAACACACAAGATTTTTTCTCGGCTGGGCGCAGTGGCTGACGCCTGTAATCCCAGCACTTTGGGAGGCCAAGGCGGGCAGATCATGAGATCAGGAGATCGAGAACATCCTGGCCAACATAGTGAAATCCCGTCTCTACTAAAGATACAAAAATTAGCTGGGCGTGGTGGTGCGTGCCTGTAATCCCAGCTACTCAGGAGGCTGAGGCAGGAGAATTGCTTGAACCAGGGAGCCAGAGGTTGCAGTGAGCTGAGATCGTGCCACTGCACTCCAGCCTGGGCGACAGAGTAAGACTCCATCTCCAAAACAAAAACAAAAAACAAAAAACAAAGGTTTTTTTCTCTTTATAACTTTGTTCATACTGTTATCTGAAGTATCTTTCTCTTTTTGTTGCTTTTGCCCTTTAAGGCTCATCTTCATGCTCTAATTTTCTATTGGAGCTTTTTTTCATCTTTAGTAGATTATTGTGATCTTTGCTTCTATAGAGATATGATAGCAAACATATTCTTATGTTCTAATTTTATTTGTATTGCTTATTTTATAACAAATTCCCACAAATTTTGCAGCTCAAAGCAACTTATGTTTACTATCCTACAGTTTCTGTGGGTCAGAAGTCTAGACTCAGCTTAGCTGGATCTTCTGTTTAGGGTTTTACAAGTCTACAATAAAGGTGTTGGTCAAACTGCATTTCTTTCTGGAGCTTGGGGTCACAAATTTCTTGGCAGAATTCAGTTCCATGCTGTTGTGGTACTGAGTTTCCCATTTTCTTGTTTACTGTCACTGAGAGGATGCTCTCAGATCCTACAGGCTGTCCATACTTCCCTGTCTCATGGCCTGGTCACACATAGCCACTTACTTCTTCTTCAGGGGTGGCAGGAGAATCTCTGCAGTATGCTAGGGCAGAACTTTATTACATAAGTACCAGAGTGATTATCCCATCACCGTTGGCATGTAAAGTACCCTAATTAAGGAATGATTATCCCATTATCTTTACTATATTCTGTTTGCTAGAAGGAAGTGCCAGATTCTGCCCAGGTTGAACTCAAGGGGTTGGGATCATTTAAAGCCACGACTCACTGGAGGTCACATTAGGGTGTGTCCACCATAGCACTTATGTTAATATGAGTTTCAAGCTGGAAAGGACTCCAGTGGATTCTCTTTTTCCCCAACTAAAATATAATGAAAGGTCATCTTTGCTGCTTAGCCTAGTCTATAATGTAATAGGTGTTGAACAGATGTTGGACAGTGTTTTTAAAAGGCAGAGGCACAAAAATGTTAAAAGATCAGAATTAGCACTCAGAAGATTTATTCAGTTATAATGTATATGAAATGATGAAACCTTTATTTTTAGGACATTGGCTATAAAACAGCATAAATTAAAGCTGAGAATATTACAAAGGAAATATTGACAAGACTTATTGATTGATTAGGGGCCTGAAGGAAGGTGGTAGAGAAGAGGGAAGAGACTAGAATAACTTTGAGGTTACTTGTTTGGGGACTAGTAGGATAGTGTGCCATTGACTAATCAATTCAATTAATGTTTGAAAGTACAAGGCAATATATTGATGTTAAATTCACAATGTGGTTTTAGGTCTCTAGAGGGAAATTAAGAACCCAAACCAGTATTTCACATCTGTACTCTTGAAAGCCCTTGTTTTTTCTATCGTAGAATCAGAGGAAGTTATTCATTAGTGGGTTTTAAAATTACACTAGGGATGGTTTTTGTCTGTAATGCCTAAATGAGTACTGTTTAATAGCATTTGAAAAAAAATACCCTGATGATGTCACCCCAAAATCATAGATAAGAAATTGCATTAACTTCTAAAGTAGCTGGAAGACAGTTTGGGGATAGAAGAGAGAGTCTGACAGAGCTGGAGTCAAATTAAAATAGTGTATGTGAGCCTAATAGAGATCGAAACAAAGTGATAGAATGGCAGAAAGCTTTTTTATTTTCTTTAAGGATTTTCTGTTTTCCTTTCTTTTGATTATTGATTGTTGTAAAGCTTCAAAGAACAGAGACATGTAAGGAGGAGGACTTAAGCCTCACTCACTAGCCCAGACATGTGCATGCTTTTTCTGTAAAAGGCCAGATAGTTCTTTAGGCCTTGCAGTACACATGGTCTTTTTCACAACTGGTCAACTCAGTGTAGTATGGTGAGTTGAAAACAGCCATGGATAACACTTAAACAAATGGGCCTAGTTGTGCTCTTATAGAACTTACTAACCAAAAAATGTTGGCAGGCTAGATTTGGCACACAGGCCTTAATTTGCTGACCCCTGTTCTAGATTATTGGCAATTAAAAGAAAGTGTATTTTCTTTTATATGTTCCCCAAGCTCATATTGTTCATAATATTCCTCAGGTTTATTTTTCCTCTTAATGTATATTGTGGACATTATTTTGTCAATTTGGAACAATCTACTTATATGATTGTATATTTTGATTCTTTAAGATTCTCACTTTCATAAATAGTGTTGTAGTGAAATTAATTGATTCATGAGGAATATTTTCCACATGTTTTTCTGCATTGTGGGAACATGTTCATATAGCGCATTATTAAGACTGCTGGCCAGGCGCGGTGGCTCACGCCTGTAATCCCAGCACCCTGGAAGGCCAAAGCAAGTGGATCACTTTAGGTCAGGAATTCAAGACCAGCCTGGCCAACATGGTGAAACCCCACCTCTACTAAAAATACAAAAATTAGCCGGGGGTGGTGACTCATGTACCTGTAATTCCAGCTACTTGGGAGGCTGAGACATGATAATCACTTGTACCCAGGGAGCGGAGGTTGCAGTGAGCTGAGATCCTGTCACTGTACTCTAGCCTGGGCAACAGAGTGAGACTCTATCTCCAAAAAAATAAAAACAATTTTTGTGACAATTGCTTTGGATCCAAGTTTATGTTTGCTCTTTTTTTGTTTTTGTTTTGTTTTTTGTTTTGAGACAGGTTCTTACTTTGTCGCCCTGGCTGCAGTGCAGTGATGCCATCATGGTTCACTGTAGCCTCTACCTCCTGGGCTTAGGTGATTCTCCTGCCTTGGCCTTTTGAGTAGCTGAGACTACAGATGTGTACCACCATGCTCAGCTAATTTTGTTGTTTTTGGTGTTTTTTTGTAGAGAAGAAGTCTCTTTATTTTACCCAGGCTTGTCTCAAACTCCTGGGGCTCAAGGAGTCTCTTTTCTACGTGCTGGGATTGTAGGCATGAGCCACTGTACCTGGCCTTATTTATATTTTAAATGAAAACATTGCTACAAAGTGAGGCAAGTGCCCTGTGGAATGGGAGTAAGTTCATGTCATTGTTGATGACTGCTAGGTGTAACTTTTGTAGGTGGGCATTTTCTAGTGGCAGTTTAGCCACTTTTGTTATATAAATTTAAAAAAATAATCCTTGCAGGCCATGTATGTTCATGCCCATAATTTCAGCACTTTGGGAAGCTAAGGCAGGAGGATCACTTGAGCTCAGGAGTTTGAGACCAATATAGGCAACATAGTGAGACCCTGTCTCTACAACACCACCAAAATAACTTACAGGGTACGATGGCACATGTATATAGTCCCAGCTACTCAGCAGGCTGAGGTAGGCAGATCACTTGAGCTTGGGAGGTTGAGGTTTCTGTGAGCCATAATTGCACCACTGCACTCCAGCCTGGGTGACAGAGCGAGACTCTGTCCCTAAAAAAAAAAAATAATAATAATAATAATAATGATAATAATAATAATTCTATCCCTGCCCGCTCTATGTTCTCAACTCCTATTAAAGAAGGAAGTTTAGAAGACCTATACATATCAAAAATGTTCCAGATTACATAAAGTGAATCATTCTGTTGATATGTTTATAAGTAAATGGTGTTATAAAAGCGCTAATCAGAATGGGTCGTTTGTTTATACATCTAAGACATTTTATTAAAATATTTAGAACTCCGTGGCCATTATCAGTGTTCCGTGTGAGTCCTCATATGGAGAGGTAGCACTGAAGGTTACCATTTCTTAATCTCTTAACTTCTAATACCATAGTTTTGTTTTTAAAAATTTTTATCTTTATACAAGGCAATTCATACATTTTATATTTTTTGTGTGCTTTTGCTCAATATTGTTAGTGAAATTCATATTGTTAGTGAAATTCATATTGTTATGCATAATATTGATTCTTTTTTTTCCTACTTAGCATTTTACTTTATGAAAGTCCAACATTTTAAAAATTAGTTTTATTTTTAATGGACATTTGGGTAGTTGCTAGTGTTTGGCTATTGTAAATAATTGCCATGAACATTTTTATTAATCGATTTTGTGATTATAAGAGTCCCTGTTACTTCACATCTTTGATATAACTTGGTGATGCCAGCCTTTTAAACATATATAGCCATTCTGTGGAGTATAGTATATCTTATGGTTTTAAGTTTTATTTCCTTGATGACTAGTAATCCTGAACAACTTTTCATAATCTTATTCACCATTTGGAAATCTTCTTTTGTGAAGTGCTTGTGTACTTTTCCCATTTTAAAAATTGTGATCATTTTCTTTTATTTGTAAGAGGCTTTTTAATATATTTAAGATAGCAGTTCCTCGTTGGTTGTAATTTTTCCAAGTATATTCTCTCTCTCTGAAGTTTGGCTTTTAATTCTCTTAGTGGTGGCTTTCATAAGCACAAGTCTTTAAATTTTGATGTAGTTCATTTTGTCACTATTTTTCTTATGTTTTGTGTATTTTTGTTTGGTGCAGTAAGTCTTTACATCGACCCAGTCAGGAAGATGCTCTCTTATGTAATCTTCTAGAAACTTTTTAAACTTCCTGAAATCTTTAGGTCTTGTCTAGGATTCATTTGGAATTGGTTTGTTTGTATGGTTTGAGGTAGAAGTCAGGGTTAATTTGTCCATATGAGCATCAGTTGATTGATCTAAGACCAGTTTTTGGAAAAGACCATCTTACTTATAAGTCTTTTAATATCATTATCATTATTATCATCTCTCTTCCCCTCTTTAAGAATGTCTCATGTATTCTTGTTTGTTTACATTTTCTATAGATTTTAGAATTAAATTTGAACTCATCAGATTATGCAGAAAGACCTGCTAGGATTTTGATTGGACTGTATCTATAAATAGCTTTGTGGAGAATTGATATCTTTAATACAAGCCTTTCCCTTTCATGAACATGGTATACTTTTTTCTTTAAGTTTTAACTTTTTTTTTTTTTTTTACCATTCTTTCTGTTTGACATGCAGAATTCTAGCACATTTTTGTTTCTTTTTCCTACATATTTTGATGGTTTTGAATGCTTTTCAAAATAGTATTTAAAAACCATTTTTACTTTGTTAGTAACCTATACATATAATCTAGTTGATTTTTGTGTATTTGCCTTAAATCCAGTGACCCTCCTAAATTCAATTATTACTTTTAATTGTTTACATTTTTCTTTTGGATTTTTTCAGTATTTCAAATAACTAACTGTTAACTTTATCTTCTAAAGTGTATTTTTTATTTTCTATTTAATTTCTGTTCTTATCCTTATTTAACTTTCAGTGTTCACTGGCTGTTCTTTTTCTGATTTCTTCAGTTCAATACTTGCATAATTTATTTTGACAATTTTTTTCTTCTTTAGTGTTTTTATTCAGTGTATCAATTTCCCTCTAAGCATTGGTTTAAGGTTTATCTAAATCCACAGATTTTGGCACATTGTTTTTACTATGTTTTACTGCAAACGTTTCCTAATTTCCATTATGATGTATTCTTTTATGTGTGCGTTTTTTTCAGAGGTGCATTCTTTAATTTTTAGACATGAAATGATATTACTTAGCGACTGCTGTGTTAACAATATTATCACAACTTAGCCTTAAAGAAACATACATTTGTTATCTCAATTTTTCTTGGTCAGGAATCCTAGGCATGGCTTAGCTGGGCCTCTCCTTCAGGTTCACTTACAAGGCTGCAATTGAGGTGCTGGCCAGAGTTGCAGTCTTATTTGATGTTTGACTAGGAAAGGATCTGCTTCCATGATCATGTGATTGTTGGCAGGATTCACTTCCTTTTGAGTCGTTAGACTGAGAGTCTGAATTCTTTGCGGGCTGTTGTCTGGGGCTCTACTCAGCTCCTTGCCATGGAGGCCTTTACACAGGGCAGCTCATAACATGACAGCTTTCTTTAGCTAAGCCATTAAGGGAGAGCGTCAATAGAGTCTGCTAGCAAGATGCAAGTTACCATCTTATTTAATGTAATTATTGAAGTGTTATTCCTTCATTGTTGCCATATTTTCTTGCTTCGAGGCAAGCCCCATCTCCTTC